>NC_000004.12:46861530-47170954 GCF_000001405.40 Homo sapiens | reverse complement strand
TTTGAGAGGCAAAAATTGCAGTTCTTTCACTGGAGAACATTTTGAATAGCTTTCTCTCTACTCCAGTGATGAAACTCTAAAATACAAGCCAACTAAACTGTGAGGGGAATATCAACACTGTGTCCTTTAGTGGGAATTGTAAAGTCTCCAGGCATTCTTTCTAATAAACTGAGTTACCTATTCTTTATGTACGGTCTGCTGTTTCTCTCTTCCATTTGAAATAGCAGGTTTCTTTCTCTTAACAAGATGCATTTGTCAATAACAGCCAAGCTTCCTCTGCAAATACTACATCAACTCTCATATTTATTTCCTGCAATCAACCGCACAGTATTTTTACCTAGCATATCTCACAGTAAGCCTTGTGAGATCTGCCCAGGACTTTTGAATGTAATCATAATTTCTTCTCTACAGGGAAAGTCTGTAGAAGAGAGAAACAATTTCTTTCACTGTGGATAATCAATACAGAGAGCTAATGTTAGACATTTAGGACCCCAAACTGCTTTAAAAATCAATAATGTGTGTGTGTGCGTGTGTGCGTGTGTGTGTGTGTGCGTGTGTGTGTGTGTGTGTGTGTAGTGGATCTGTATTATCAAGATAATTGCCCATATTTTTTACTTTGCTTTATCATGAAGACTAAGGCAAGATGAGATGATTCTCCAAGGAATAGTGAAAAACTCGTCTTTCTTTTACATTCAGTAAGTGTAGCCATTGATTTTATTCTCACACACAATCCGTGGTCAGACACTGCCAAGAATATAAAAAAATTGATTCGAAATAGAGCCAGGTAAACAAATATGGTAGAGGAGTTATCAAAATCCTCATCAGGTCACAGGTTTTTAGTTAACATTAGACTCATTTCCAAAATCTGAAGCAGAATGGCTTCTCTTTGTAATTTAGAATCATTAGTATGAATTAGAAAAGCCAAAAAAATTGTATACATTTTTTTAAAAGCTCACACACTTGGCAGAGCTACTCCCATTTAGGCTGTCTACCTTCTGCAGTTAGTTTCATTTCTATAATGGTGAGCAGTGAAATCACCATACATAGACAACTGTCTTCCTAGAAATGATGTGCAGGGACAGTAAGATGCCTTATGCCAGGGCTGAGAGTGTAGACTCTGGAGTGAGAAGACTTGGGCTAAAAATGCTTTCAAGGCCGGGCACGGTGGCTCATGCCTGTAATCCCAGCACTTTGGGAGGTCAAGGCGGGGGGATCACCTGAGATTAAGAGTTCGAGACCAGCCTGGCTAACATGATGAAACCCCGTTTCTACAAAAATACAAAAAATTAGCTGGGTGCGGTGGCACGTGCCTGTAATCCCAGCTACTCGGGAGGCTGAGGCAGGAGAATCGCTTGAACCTGGGAGGCAGAGGTTTCAGTGAGCCAAGATTGTGCCATTGCACTCCAGCTTGGGCAACAAGAGCAAAACTCAGTCTCAAAAAAAAAAAAAAGTGCCTTCCACATTTATGGTGGCTTTGCAAAATCACTTTGTAAGGTACAGAGTGGTTGGCATAGTGTGCTACCTTTTAAACAAAGGAAGGTATAAGAATATGAGACAACAAAATACTAACCCTTGGTGGTCACATTTGGAAGATTTTATGGAAAATAACTTGTTTAGAAAACTGCTAAATAAGAGGAAGCAGTCAAGCATTTATCCTGCTTTCACTGTACAAACTCTACCTCAAGATAATCAAATAGTCAGTGAGTTCAGTCCTTTTTTAGAGAGTAGTATAGTTCATAAATAAAGAAGAGATGATAGAATATCTCCATTTTGCAAATGCTAAATAGGTTTAGAAAATTATTATCAGTTGCTATTATGGGTTGAATTGTGTCTCGTCAAATTCATATGTGGAAGTCCTAAACCTCCGTGACTTAGAATATGACCTTATTTGAAAATAGAGTCTTTAGAGGGGTAATCAAGTTGAAGTGAGATCATTAGGGTGGGTCCTAATCCAATATGACTGGTGATGGCTGGTGTCCTTACAAAAGGGGGACATTTAAGTACAAATACACATAGAGGGAAGATTATGTGGAGACACAGGGGGAAGATGGCTATTTATGCACCAAAAAGAGAGGTCTGAAACAGACCTTCTCCTCAGAGCCCTCAAAATGAACCAATTCTGCCAACACCTTGATTTTTTATTTCTAGCTTCCAGAACTGTGAGACTATAAATTTCTACTGTTTAAGTTATCCAGTTTGTGGTACTTTGCTACAGCAGCCCCAGCGAAGTAATACAATTACATTAAAATTAATATAAGTGGATAGATCACGCTGTCAATATATCTGAATCTGCTCATCAATCTTCGTATCATCAAAGAAGACAGTCAGGCATTTTGGGTCCCTTCATAGAAGTATACTATACTGCCTATGAAGCAGTCTTGCCAAAACACAACCCTAAAAGCAGGTAATCTAAATCTGATCAAGTCTTAATATAGGAGATGGAGATAGAGAAAGACATTTACAATAAGGGAATATAATCACAAACATGACATCATTTCTTCAAAAAATAATTTACAAGGGGGGCTAAAAAGGGAAGAGAAGAAACTGTAGAGTAAAAGAGATGTGAATGTTAACGATTTAGCAGCCAAATGCAATGTGTGTACTCTTTGGGACCTACTTTTAAAAAGTAAAGAAGTAACAAATTATGAGACAGTAAAATTTACTTTTGATCTCCCAGTGTTGGAATCTTTAGTATTAGCTTAATAGTAGTACATAGCTCATAGTGTTGCAGTAAAGATGACATACGACAATATAGGTGAGCATTAAGCATTGTGTCTGTTATATAATATATTTTCAATTACTTATTTACATGGGTTTTGGTTAAATTTCATGATACAATTGCCACTAATATTAGTTAAAATGATACTGTATGTACATCTCACTCTGTATATACTTACAATGTATGCATAACAGACCTACATACACACTCAACAACACAAGTACAGAGACCTGATGTGGAGCAGTATTGGAATGGAAGGCTTTTCACTTCCCATCTTAGTCCATTTTGTGTTGCTATAACAGAATACCATGAACTGGGTAATTTATAATAAACAGAAATTTACTGGCTCCCAGTTCTGGAGGCTGAGCAATCCAAGATTCCCTAGGGAGCTGCATCTGGTAGGGCCTTCTTGCTGAATCATAGGATGGCAGAAGGGGAAATTGAGAGAGCAAGAAAGAGAGAAAGTGGGCACGGGAGACAAAACACATATGCTAGAGGGGGCACACCAACTCCCATGAAAAGCTTTAGTCCATTTGCAAGGATGGAGCCCTTATGACCTAGTCACCCCTTAAATATCTCTGCTCTCCAAACTGTCACAATGGCAATTACATTTCCATATGAGTTTTGGAGGAAACAAACATTCAAACCACAGCATTCCTCATTCCACTAGCTGTTTGCACACATTCATTTTTAATTCCTCAAAACCACCTGGCCCTGGGCTCACGTCTGGTAAAAGAAGAAGGAAGGATCACTGTGGAACTTTGAAAGAAAAGCAATTGTAGGGGCTAGGAGGAGAAGGCAAAAAATTTAAAAAGGCATTTTTTTTTTCAAGGAGGTTAAATGCTCCACTAAATGTCTTCTCAGAATTAAATTCCTCCGTGCCTGCCATTTTCAGGGAAAGATAAACACAGTGTTTCAGCGCGCACATGGCTGGGGCTTGGAGAGAATAAGTGTATGCAACCATCTGGACCATGTTTGGAGAAGAGGCAGAATACATCTGGTCATTAATAGTGATAATTGCTCTTTGGTTACAAGCCATCATGTAGATATAGAAAATGTTGCAGCTGACAACTATTGTGAATCAGGTGACTGCATCCTACAATTTTTAATTTCATTTCTACAAACATTTATTGGGCATCTATTTGGTTTGAGAGAGAGGATACAAAGTTTAAGGAAATACAATTCACATTTTCAACAAATACACAATCCTGTACATCAGTGGAAAATGACTACAGAAAGATAAAACATTGTAAGAGAGTTATGAATTTCAATTTGTAAGATTAAATTGCAGTAGGGCATCAAATGAGAGAGAGTTTTCATCTGGTTAGGAAAACTGTGAAAGTTCTCATGGAGAAAGTGGAATTTGAGGGAGACTTTGAAGCAACAGTAAGATGGGAAAAGGTGGTGGAGTGGGGGCAGAGAAGGGAGGGCATCGGTAGGGCTGTAGGGTTACCAGGTAAAATACTGGTTTCCCAGTTATATTTGAATTTTAGAGAAATGACAAATAATTTTTGTAGTATAATTACCATTGAACAATGTAGGGATTAAGGGCTCTTACACCCCTCATGCAATC
Organism: Homo sapiens; assembly: GCF_000001405.40. Taxonomy (NCBI): domain Eukaryota; kingdom Metazoa; phylum Chordata; class Mammalia; order Primates; family Hominidae; genus Homo; species Homo sapiens. The sequence continues at coordinate 47,166,662 of NC_000004.12, read as the reverse complement.
AAAAATCCATGTATAACTATGGACTCTCTCACAATGTAACTATTAATAACATACTGATAACACCTTACTAATAAAAAGACTTACTAATAATGTAAACAGCAACAAACACATAATTTACATTATAGGTCTTTATTTTTACAATAAAGTAATCTAGAGAAAATAAAATGTCATTAAGAAAATCATAAGGAAGGGAAAATATATTTGCTATTTATTGAGTGAAAATGGATCATCATTAAGGTCTTCATCCTCATAGTCTTCACACTGAGTAGGCTGAGGAAGAGGAGGAAGAAGAAGGGTCCTTCTTGCTGTCTCAGGGGTGGCAGAAGTGGATGACAGGGAAGAGGTGGAAAGGGAGGCGGGAGAGGCAGGCACATTCAGTGTAACTTTTATTGAAAAAAAATCCTCCAATAAATGGACTTACGCAGTTCATCCCATGTTATTCCTGAGTCAACTGTATATTCCATGAAATGTTTATGGGATAAAATATTTAAAACATACTTAAGCTTGAAATGCCTCAGATATGTTTACAGAAATAAGCAGAGGGTCTTAGATTTCTGAAAGAGGAACCATTTTTTTTTCTAGGCGAAATAAGATGGCAATAATGAGAAAAATTGAGATAGGAAATGGGCCAGGAAGTGACAGATAGTGAGGATGTTAATTTAGATGGTAGAAGTGATTTGGAAATAGAGAAGATTGAGATAGAGTGGAATTGAAGCAACAGATTAAGTCTCAGTGACAAAAGAGACGTGGAATTACAGTTGCCTTCAAGTTTATGTCTATTGAATGGGATAATGGTAATTTCATTAGCACTTGGGAAAGGAGGACGGCCCAGTTTTGAGAAAATCAAATGATATGAACTAGAGGTCATGTGAGGAGGAGCTGGCAGGCAATCCAAATACAGGTGCTCAGTGAGCAATTGGAAATTTTGGAAACTCAGTGGTTTGGGAGGTTAGATATTTAAAGCTGTTAAACTCAATAAACTGATCAAATCGTGAAGAATCCTTACAGTTCCCAATTAGTGGCAAAAGAGGAGTCAATAATGAAATAACAAAAAGACAGAAGAACAAGAATAATTTAAAAATTGGGCTGGGTCTTGGAAGTCCTGAAGTCAGAGTCAGTCATTACTCTTAAAGCATTCGGAGAAGTCAAGAGTAGAGATTGAGAACCAGTGATTGTTTTGGTAATTTTTGGCAGAGTTGTTATAGGAAAGTAGCATGGATGGGAACCATGTTGTTGGAGATAGAGGAGTAATGTGTAGTGAGGCAGTAGAAGAAACCAAAGCTGTGAGAAAACTGGTGCTCAAAGCAGAAACTGAAGAGAGGGAGTCAACAGAGAGGAAGGGCTGGAGAGGTAGATAAAATGGGGGAGCAAAGTCTGTAAAGAGTGTGTACCAAGAAGATTACATGCAGACATGGAGAGATTAGCCTTAGAAAAAAGAGAAAAATCCTCCTCCAAGTTAAGTGGAAGTAAGGGAGGAAAAACAGAAGAATTTTAAGTGACATAGACGGAGGTGATATTGTATAGTCTCCGCTTTTAAGTAAGAAAGGAAATGACATCATGTGTTCTGAAAAGACCAAGGTAAATGGCTCATGGCACATGGACTAAAGTTCTGGTCTCCTAACACAACTTACGGCACATCATGGACGTTCTTTATTTAGATTCCCCACCTAAATGGAGGAGGAATTACTAGAGGTTACTGGGTTACTCTTTTGTGTAATACGTTTTGTCACAGGAGGGTGACCTAAGGGCAAGAGGCACAAGGAATGAAGTCTCTCCCAAGGGCCGAATATCTGTTGCATAGTAGCCTGGTTCCTCTAGAAGTGCCAGTCCCTTACCAGACACCATTCTGTTATGTCAGAGTGTTTACAGGACTATGTGCCATCCCTTTGGTGAAAAATATGAATTGACATAGTTCACAAAAATAGACAACTGACTCTATTCTTCTGGCTTCATGTAAGTTAAGTTATAGTATCTCATATTGAGCTTACCGAGTTTGAATATAGCAACAAATTGATTTTGTTTAATGACATGCTGTTACGATTATGGAATACCTAGCCAAAGGCTTTCCAGTGCATTCAGAACATCTCATTGATCCCATGATTGCTAAAACCTGCTCATTAATATATGGACCCGTTCATGATGACTATGAGCTGGACTGATGGAAAGGAATAAGACAAGAAGTTTGATTCTCTTAATTACTCATGCCTAAAATAAATACAGCTATAAATATGCCAATATGTTATATGATAAGGATATTCTTATATGTGTGCTTAGGAGGTGACAACAGATATTCTTTAAAAGACTCTTACCTAGGAAAAATGCAGACTGTCATTTCTTAGACTAGGAAATGTTACATCAGGGGAATTAAAATGAACATGCCCTAATACATAGGATCACAGAAGCAATGGAATTTGCGTTTAGTAGGTGATATAGTTTGGTTCTGTGTCCTGCACCCAAATCTCATCTTGAATTGTAATCCAAATTGTAATCCCCAGGTGTCAAGGGAGGGCCCGGTGGGAGGTAATCGGATCATAGGGGTGATTTCCCCATGATGTTCTTGTGATAGTGAGTGAATTCTCATGAGACCTGTTTTTTTTGGTAAGTATGGGGTTCCTCCCCCTTGGTATTCTCTCTCCCACCTGCCACCATGTAAGACATGCCTGCTTCCTCTTCTGCTATGATTGTTAAGTTTCCTGACACCTCCCCAGCCATGCAGAACTGCGAGTCCATTAAACCTCTCTTGTTTGTAAATTACCTAGTCTTGGGTAGCATCTTTATAGCAATATGAAAACAGACTAATACAGTAGGAAATTTAGGAACAGTTTCATCCAATCACTTTTTTTTAAGGTTGGTGGATCTGAAGCCCAGGGAGGTGAAATGGCTTACTGAAGGGCATCAACTGGTTAGGCCACAAGTCTCTTGACTCAAAGTCCCAAGTGTATTCCACTGAAAAGTTTCTTTTTTCTTTAAAATTTTAGATTTAGGAGGTACATGTGCAGGTTTGTAACATGACTATATTGTATGATGCTGAGGTTTGGGCTTCTGTTAAACCCATCACCCAAATCATGAATATAGCACTCAATAGGTAGTTTTTCAACACTTGCCACACTCCCCTTCTCCCCACTCTTGGAGTACCCAGTATCTATTGTCTTCAGCTCTATGTCCACTGGCAAATTTCTACTCAGCTTCTGGAATATTATTCTCAGGGCCAAAATAGTGAGTGTGTGGCAGATAATAGGCACTCAATTAGTGTATTTTTAATTGAGCAACTTTATCTCTATTTTAATCACCGATACCCCTGGGAGTTAGAAAACTATCCTGAGTATGCAGTTTGCCCAGTACCTAATAAGGCTATATAAGGCACAACTACTTTAGAGAAATATAATTTAGGACTTACTATGTATTGTCATATTGATTAGTTCATAAGATTGTTCCAATAATGAGTAAGGGGGTATTAGCCCATTACTATACAACTGATATACTATACAACTGATAAAACTAAGTCTTAACAAATTTACATAATTTGTTCAAGGTCAAGAAGTCAGAAAATTGTGGAGTTTATGCCCAACCTTGGTCCTCTGACACTAGATGTCATACTTTCTCTGCTATACCTTATGGCCTTTCCAGGATATTGATAACATTTAGGGAAAGGAAAACCAAATCTGTGAGGGAAGAGGAAGTGGGAAAGACAGAGGAAGAGAAAGGGAAGCTATGAGAACTAGTGTGAGGCTCTTACAGAGAAAATTGGTGCCAGAAAAAAGAGTAGGGCATAGATGATAGATGAATGGTTTGTGTTTCTCTTTGGAAAGGTCATTGTCTGTTCGCTAGACAACAAGCTACAAAGAACTGGGTTGGCTCCGAAGGGATTAAAGCAGTGGTGCACAACCTGAAAATAGGAGTTGACTTCTAAGTGCACTTGAATGGCAGTGGAGTGGGAAAAGCACAGGCATGGGAATCAGGATACACGGATTTTAGTCCCAGTTCTGCCATTACCTTATTATTCCCTTATATAAGGTACTTCTCCCTTTTCTGTCTCAGTTTTCCCAGTTGTAAAATGAAATGTATTCAACTTCATGATTCTCAAATATTTTCCTTCCTTTGTATTATTCCCACTGGTAGATGCTGGTAATAATTTGGGAAATGCCTGAAGTGAGACTCTGTAATCTGACAATGTAAACCATATTCTTTCTTGCAAAAAAAATCTAGTTGCTCTTTTTTTTTAAACCAATCAACTTTTTATATATTCTTGACTAATCCATATACTTACACATGTCATGGTTGATTAGCCTATTAAATTGAGTCATGGAATTACTCTCCCAGGATACTTCAGAAGGGTAATTCATCCCTTTACACATTGGGCATGTCTGACGGAAGTTACATTGGTAACAGAAAAATTACAATTGATTTATAGTATATGAACCATAACTAATGATTAACCACCAATCTTGGATTAGTAGGCTTTTTGTTGTGGCTATCAATAGACTCAAGGGAACTGTTAGTTTATTTTACCATTTCTCCCAAAGACTTTTAACTCAGAGATTTTTAACTGAAGTTGAAAGTCCTTGGGGTACAGAAAGAGTGAAAAAATTTCAAAGATCATTTTGCCAAGAACAATTGATGTTATTTTACTGTGCAAATGAAGACCAAAGCTATCAACTAAATAACCAACCACTAGAAATTTCATCACAGATATATATTTTTTTCACTTGTATATTGTTTTGGGGCATTGGTGAATTTAGACATTAATTGTTATATTTTGACCCGTAATTGGATTTTCAGCTTAGTGTTCATGGTACATGGAAGGATTTCAAGGGGCTTATGAACACTCTGAAACAACAGGAAAATTTGAGGCATATATGAGTTTATGAATATATAGGTTTCATCTGTTTCTCAAAAGAATGACTAAAGGTGACACCAAAGAATAAAGAGCCACCACTTTACATATCCTATAATAACAGGTTACAGTTCAGATATTTCCTTGTTAAAACTGGTAGTTAATTTTGATGTGTTGCCTATAATTTGTAAAAAGCCCTTAACTACATGAGGGTTTGTAATAGACCTTCATAAGTATATGACACCCCATTTATATATTCATCTATATATTCTTGCTTCTCTCCCCTTTGCCCACTTCCAAAAGTTTAAAATGAAACAAAACAACAACAACATTAAAACATGCAACATAAAGCCATTTACCGGAGTCCATAGAGAACTGTTCCATCAGGATGCAGTCGAATCATTCGATTTTTCACTGTGACCCCATGCACAAATGATTTCTTGTCATTCAGAAAGTAGGTGTCTGGTACCCAGAGTTGGTCAGCTACCCTATTGTCTAGGGTGAGGTTCAGTGGGATTCCAGAATAAGAAAGCCTTTTGTCTTTCCAAGACTGCTGGAAATACATGGTGAGTGTATAATCCTGTGAAATAAAGAAAGCAAAAAAAAAAAAAGAATTTTACTATCATTATCATCTAAGGTTTAATAACATGTAGGATGTCCTGTAAGAGATTACATTTGAATATATTAAAATTTGCACCTAGAGGTATAAGGTAACCAATAGGTTAAAAGTACTAGGGGCCTGGCACTGTGGATCATGTCTGTAATTCCAGCAATTTGGGAGGCCAAGGCAGGAGAATCCCTTGAGCCCAGGAGTTCAAGACCAGCCTACGGAACGTTATGAGACCTCATCTCTACAAAAAATAATTTTTTTAAAGTTAGTTTGGTGTGGTGGTACATGCTTATAATACCAGCTACTTGGGAGGCTGATGTAGCAGGATCTCTTGTGCCCAGGAGACTGAGGCTGCAGTAAGCCAGGATTATGTCACTGTACTCCAGCCTGGGTGATGGAGCAATACCTTGTCTCTAAAAAAATATATAATTAGTTAAATAAATAAATAAATAAATAAATAAATAATAAAAGTACTAGAACTATACTTGAAAGTATATATAAACATTTCCACCAATATAGAGCAAATAGATGTAATTGAATTTTAAAGTTTGAAGTTAAGGTAATGATGTCATGGGGAAGGCCATAAAGAGAAATTGTACAGAGGAATCTATGTTCACAAACATTGACCTCTGGACATTATATTACAGTTCTGTTTTGGAGAGGAATGCCTGATAAATAATAACTAAAACTGAATGCACTGAAAAGGAAAGGGTGTTTTTCACACCCCAAATTCTTTTGAATGAACACTGCTCGTTTAACACATAAAGGTTATCAATTTGCCCTTATCTGGATTTTTCTTTGAATTACAACTTATCGATGGATGAGTCCTGAAAAGTAGTTATGAGGCACATACAAATGGAGATGTTTATTTGGTCTGAAGACTAACCTCAGTGGTGGCACTATTCAACATTTCTCTCTTACCACATTCCTGTTTCATTTCAGGAAGTGGTTTGAATTCAGAGTTGAAATTGATCTTGAAAGTTTGTTTCTTCACCTTCGCAAAATATTACAGAGGATATCCCCCTGAACTTTTTCTTTCTACTTAGGTTTCCCCTGGCAGTTAGAGACAGGAATATTGGGCTCACTATAAATGGCTCAAGTTGCTGGAAGGGATGGTTTTCCAAATAATAATCTTAGCACTTTAGTTATTTTCTGTTTTTAACAACTCTATTAATACAAGGTAAAATTGCCCATTAAAGGAAAATAAATTGGCAGCAGTAAAATCCTAAAGTCTTTGATATGAATCTCAACATAATAAAAACAGAAAGTTCACTTTTTCTAAGACATTCATATGGCAATAGTGACTTTGTGAATGCCTTAGTGACTATTAAGAACACACTATGTACCTCCTGCACAGTGTTCCTGTACTGCCACTGTTATATATACCAGTGGGGAAAAAGAATGATTAGAATCATGTCTAACATCTGGGCAAACTGCACTTCATATAGACTTCCAAATGGATATTTATGCATTTCTGAAAAATCTTAAAATATAAAACAATATTCATTCCTCACAATGAATTCCAGGGTCTTTTAACCATATTGAAGAACATTTATACTATTTACTCAGAAACCACCTTGCAATAATTTAAAGACATTCTTTCTTGTTTAATAGCAAAAGGATATTCACGTTTGACTGTTAGTCACACAATATCCTTTCTAAAGATATGAAACCTCCTTCCACCTTACCTTCATGTAAAAAAAAAAAAATAACCCTCAGGCTACTTACAGTCCTCAGTTACTACCATTCTCATTTGCATCCTCTACAAGTTCTTAACATTGTGACTTTTTGGAGGAAAATGAATTGGGCAGATTATGGGTTTATATTACAAAACTGCTTGATTTTAAGCTCTACCACATGTAAGCCTAATTATGCGTGAATGACATAATCTCTTGCACCTAAGATGCCTCTTTTTTTTCTTTTCTCTTCTTTTCTTTTAGAGACAGTCTCACTTGGCCATCCTGGCTGGAGTGCAGTGGTGCCATCCTAGCTCACAGCAGCCTCAGATTCCTGGGCTTAAAGAATCCTATCTTTCAGCCTTTCAAGTACTTGGGACTACAGGCATGCACCATCACACCTGGCTATTTTTTTTTTCTTTTTCTTTTTTTGAGACCGGGTCTTTCTCTGTTGCTCAGGCTGGTCTCAAATTCCTGGCCTCAACTGCTCCTCTGGCCTCAGCCTCCCAAAGTACTGGGATTACAAGTGTGAGCCACTGTTCCTGACTTGCCTTATTTCTAAAATGAAAAAGTAGCATTTTACTGGTTTTTTGTGAGCATCAATTGAGAAAATTAAGGTTAAGGTACTTTAGAAACCATAACATGCTAAACAAATAAATTATCTTCAAAATTTTTAATTGCTATGTACACATTAGTATTACACTTCCAAATAGAGTGTGTATGCTCATTTTCATAAGCATTTCTATTTTTAAAGAGATGTTTATATAAGAATTTGTAGGCAGATGGACTCAGTTGGCCATGAAAATAAACAATTGTCTGTAATGAATTCTAAGTCTTGGTGTTGGGTTCTTGTTTATAATTCAGCCAGTATAGGAAAATTAAGTATCAACCACAGTCATAGTGTAAATTTTGCTATGGCAGTCAGCATTGTCAACAATGGAATACATGTGTCAGCTTATACCGATTCCTCATTAGCATACAGATTCTTACGAGTGCCACACAGGATTCCTCACAATGAAACCTGCGGCAAAATCCTTGCTCCACAATTCTTTTCTATAAAGCTTTAATGTGTAATGGTGAAAATATATGATTATAAACTATAAGGGACTATCTTGAAAATTGGTAAGAGTAAATTTTACCACAAAAGAGAAGTATATGAAGTAACACATTGGTTAATTAGCTTTATTTAGCCATTCCACAATGTACAGATATTTGAAAACACCATGTTGTACACAATAAATATACACAATTTTAATTTGTCAACTTTAAAAATGGCAAAATAACACTGAATGATAAATGCTATATTAATACATAGCATTTATTATCATTTACTTACTCTGTGTGGTAAGTGGAGAACAGAAAGGAAAAAACATGGGTAATCCCTGCTTAGACCTCTGTGTGTGTGTGCGTGTATGGGTATAGACTTTTCCCCTTTCCTCTTTGGAAACTATTTTTGTTTCCTGTAGAGAAAGAGCTACATGCCATGTGGTGAAACCTTTGTTATACAACTCATTCTGTTTTCAATACATATTGAGTAAAAATTATATCGTGGTTATAAATTCAAGCAATAATGTACCCAATTTGCTATAGAAGTTATCCAGTGAAAATGAACATATGCTAGCATATTACACCTGTGAGTAGGTAAGGGGGAGCAAGTGCCCTTCACACCTGGTCTTTTAATGCATTTCTGGAGTTAGTAGCCTAATCTAGGACCTGATTCTATGATAAATAAAAATACAGACATATGATATTGATAACCTTAATAAAACCTTTTTGAAGATAATAATAATTGTGATGATAATAATGAACATTATGGAAGGACTAAAATACACCAATTTCTCCTTTTTCTACAATCTATATAAAGCCACATGTATGACAATAATTCCCTTCTCCTGTGGCGTGCTCTGTGCTCGTGGTTCTCATAACCCTTTCATATCTATTATAACATTTGTTCTCACACAAACCTTGTGAGATGGGCAAATTTTCCATGAAAGTGTTTATTATTTGCAAGTCAGAGAAACTACTTATTATATTTTAAACAATTTTTTTATCCGTCCCTTAATATAAAGGTTAACAGTGACATCTGAATATAATAAAGCCTATGACTTCGTTTTGGTGGATTCTATTTTTAGGTAGAAAAGAAAGCCTCTAAATTGCTGTATTTTTGTTCTCTTACACAACAAGTTTTCTATTAATTCTTCATTAGTCCAAAGTGCAAGCACTCCAGAGAAGATGGGACATTTTTCAGAAAGAAATTAATGCTCTTTGGCCAACAGCATTAAAATTACTTTCCTTCTAGGTGAGTTTACAAGTGTTCCACCATCTTTCTCAAGTGTGCAAGCTATTTCTTGAGAGAAAGTGTGACATATTTAGAAACTGTGGGCCATAGGGAATTCTTTGACACCGAGGTAAGTTAATGTGATTAATGGATATGAGCTTGCTAATAAAATTAGTTGGGCTAATTCAGGCATGACAGAATTTGACTCATTGAGGAAAGGCAAGATAGACAATACCAAACCAGTAGCACTCAATGAAACTCCAAAACGACATTTTAAAAAATTTATTTTTATTTTTTGAGATGGAGTCTTGCTCTGTCACCCAGGCTGGAGTGCAGTGGCATGACCTCGGCTCACTGCAACCTCTACCTCCCAGGTTCAAGAGATTCTCCTGCCTCAGCCTCCTGAATAGCTGAGATTACAGGTGTTCACCACCATGTCTGCCTAATTTTTGTATTTTTAGTAGATGGGGTTTCTCCATGTTGGTCAGTCTGGTTTAGAACTCCTGACCTCAGGTGATCTGCCCCCCCTCGGTCCCCCAAAGTGCTGAGATTACAAGTGTGAGCCACTGCGCCTGTCCCCAAAACAACATATATATGTTTTTTTTAAAATCTAGAGATGATTAAAGGTATAGTATAAGAAAATTATGTTAAACAAAAGTCACTCTTTTGGAGAATAAAGGTAACATTCTTCCTAGATTTATAGTTTTAAGGACAGGCTGATTTTTCCCTCATGTTAGGTACATTTAGCAGTGACTGAAAACAGTTTTGGTTGTCACCAGTGAGATTAGTGGTGTGCTACTAGCATCTGTGAGTAGAGGCCAGAGATGCTCCTTCACTTACTACAATGCACAGCACAGGCCCCCATAATAAAGAATTGTCTGGTTCAAAATGTCAATAGTGGTAAGGTTGAGAAACACTGCATTACATGAAAATATCTCTTTTTATCACTAATCATCAGAGAAAAGCAAATCAAAACCACAATGAGATATCATCTGACCCCAGTTACAGTGGCTTTTATTAAAAAAACAGGCAGTAATGGATACTGGAAAGGATGTGGAGAAAAGGGAACCCTTGTATACGGGGAGGAATGCAAAGTACAGCGACTACAGAAAACAGTATGGAAGTTCCTCAAAAAATTGAAAACAGAACTATCACGTGATCTAGCAATTCCACTGCTGGGTACATGCCAAAAGAAATGAAACAATATATCAATGAGATATCTGCACTCCCATTTTTATTGTAGCATTAATCCATAATAGGCAAAATATGGAATCAACCTAAGTACCTATCAATGGATGAATAAAGAAAAAGTGGTTTCATATATATATATATATATATATATATATATGAAAATACCTCTTTTTAGTATGAGTAAAAGATTTAAAAATGTTTTACCATTGTTTATCATGAAAAATATGTGTATGAACATGCTTATCTGGAGATTTTAATGTATCCTTCAAAACTTTATGCTAGGGAAGTCTGACATAAGATGGTTTCTAATTTGCTATTTTACCATAAGAAATCATTTTATTAAAATCCATTAATTATCTAGCATTTGGAATAGGAAAAACAGCTATGCACTGTAGGCAAATATGTTCAAATATGTTGAGGTATGTGTTTTACCAGAATGAGATCTAAGAAGACATCACAGTGAGCTGCAAAAGTGAGGGTCCCTTGTTCACTGCCCCCATAGTCTGCACGTCTCAGACTATGTTAGGAAAGAGACAGGATATTTCTTTAACATCTAGTAATAGAGCATCCACTCAAAAGGATCATTCAAGCAATTCCTCCTTTTCTAACTATTCTCAAGAAAGGCATTACATGTATTTTTGTAATATGTGTGTATATCTTTTGGGGAAAGAACCAAAGCCCTTGTTCATATTTATGTTTTATCTTTCATTGATTTTAATATATATTAAAAGCAGTCCCAAGTACAGGCCTCTGTTCCCCGTAAAATATTCATGCCAGTTTAGCTGAGCTCTGAGATCTGCCCTTCGTAAAACTTGGGCTGCTTCCCCGGAAAGCCTATTAGAGTAGAGCTGTGCATCACTGCCTATGATTTCCGCAGTTCTTCTGTGATGGAGACTGCCTGCCTGTAATTCCTGCTGCTTGAACAGAGTCACATTCTATCTCACATGAGGCCGCTCTCCTCCCATCTTTGGAATAGGAGTAGATACCTGATTCAAGAGCAGTTGCTTCACAGGCAGTCAATAAACATAAGCCTGGCTCGAAAAAGTTGAGATGGACCAATCAGAGTCCTTTCTCAGGAATTTGCTTGTTAGACAAAGGATCTGAGGCAGGAGTTGTGGGACCAAGTGCAAAGATACAACTAAGAATTAGGGCTGCACTGCTATTATGAGGTTACAAGAGAGGAGAGACTGTGAATCAAAAGAGGAAGCTAGCCTGTAGAGAAAGAAAGAAAATGGAGAAAAATGCAGAAAGTAGCCATAAGGGCAGAGTTTATTGTTAGAGAGTGAATGAACAGGTTCACGAAGACTGTCTACTTCTGTTTCTAGTTCTCCTGAGGTCTGAACACGTTCAGTGCTTTAGCTCCTTGTGATCTCTCTTTGGTATCCTGACACCAAATTCCACTTTCCTTGTGCTAATTTGCTCCCATCTTTATTGCCTCCAACCAGAAAAAGCTGTAGTAGTGATGCTCATCAACACACATATCAGAATCTCATTACCAATAATTGCATACATTAAAGGCCAAGGAAACCTCAAACAATCATCTAGCCCACCTCCCTGAACTGAAAAAAGGGAGGTATGCTGAGAAATCTTAGACCTAGAGATGTTAAACGACTTTTAAAAAGGGAGAAATATTTGATTTGGGTTTTGTTTATTAACCAAGACAGCAAGGAAGAGAAGAAATACATATTTACTTGCCAGCAAAAGAATTCCCTATCAAACACAATAAAAATAAATTACCAGGACAAGTCACCTGTATATACTAGTATACATGCCAGTAAAAAGAAACGCCCCTTAGGATAAGAAAAAAAAAAAAAAACAACCATAATTTGTATGTGACAAAGACATTCAGTGAAAAATGGCCTGATAAATAAACCAATCTAAACCATAATTGTAATCAACCACAAAACACCTGTTTCTAATAGAACCTTCTGTCTAAATGAATGTTTTTCTTTTCACTGTCACCATTAAGTACATTCTAAAGCAGAAATTCATCACTGTATCCTTCAGGTTTGCTGTTAATTTCTAATCTTTTATCTTTACATCATCTAGTGTTATGTTAACTATTAATATGTGTTTGTTGTGCTTATTCCTTAGTCTTGTTTTGTTATAATACCTTTAAAATACATGCATTCTTTATTACCATTGTTGCTAAAGTCCATGTTCTTATTTATTATTGATTTTTCCCAGCTGTAGCCTAGTGTGTGCTTCAGGGAACATAATCTTCTTTTACCTTTGTCGCATCCTAAATAGCCCCATTTGGTCTACCCAACTGTGTAGTCAGACTTTTTGTTAGTCTTGTGTTCTGAAAAATTTTGAAATTAATCAACCCAATGACTGAACAGAGTCATGTAGTTGTGATGCTACACTGAATGATAATCATCTAAGAAAATCACATGGAACACATTTTAATACATGGGGCACATATGACACTGATATGCCAACTGGAGTATGGATTCCAATAAAATGAACCGCATGGCATGAGACTCAGTATATGAAACTCTGAGCCTGTACTAATATAGCACAGAGTTTTAGCATTCTTAATCTAATATCTACTCTTAAAACTATAAAGATCCATTTTTTAAAAAAATGTAAAAATCTTTTTTGATGATGAATCCAATTTCTTTAAATAGATATGATAAAATTTACATTTCACACAGTGACAGCCTAAATGGCTTACATTCAAGAATCTAAATAATCAGAAGCTCAAATAGTTTTTGTTGTTTCCATGGTAAGATATAGTTAAATGTTGAGCCTGAAGTAGGGAAAGTTTTCTAGAAACTTCCAAGTCAAAATATTTTAGCTTGTTAGAATGGCTAATTCATTCTTTCAACTTTTAATGGTTGTTTACTATATTTAAACGATTGTATTATGCCAGATGCTGAGACATAAAGGCTGACTGGTATATGTTCTCTGCCTCAAGGAACTCATAGGCTAGTGGGGGAGACTTAGCACTGCTTATTTCCAGGCTTTTCCACTGTTCTCTGCAGGCTTCTCAGTTCTTCCATCACCTGTGTAACCAGCTCCGTGCGTGAAATTCCCGTCACTTCAAACTCTCAGAGAACTCAGAGTGGTTCCACTTTTCTTTACTGGCATCTGCCCAGTAAAGGATACAAAATGATCGAGTAGGAGGATATCAGTTTAATAAGTGCTTGCATTAGCCTAGAGAATAGATAAATCAGAGTTGACTTAATACTCCACTAAAGGAAGGTGAAAGAGAGGAAAACTGTGAGTTATTTAAGGCAGCACTTGGTGACCTTTTAATATGGGAGGTTAGGGAGAAGGAGGCACCAAAGGATGGCCACCAGGTTTCTGACCTGAGTAGGTAGGTAGACTACGATAAGAAGAGTTGAAGATTGGGGGCTGAAGATGGCTAATTCATCTAAGATGGGTTTGTGTTGTGGGTGTCAGTGGCGCATGCACATAGAGGTGCCAAATAAGTAGTTATGGGTCAGAATATAGGAAGACAGGGCTCAAGGAAAAACACAGCTATGTGACTCATGAGTGACAGATGAAGTTGTGGGAATGGATTAGCTCACCATGGAGAGAGCATAAGGTGAGAAGAGGATAGAGCCCCTGGGAAATTGGATTCTAGGATCAGTCACTCACTCTTTTGAGCTCCCACAACTCTCTTCTACTTTGATTGCAGCACTTACCCTATTGTTTTAAAATTATTTCTCAGTCCCACTAGATTCTGAGTTCCTGAAAGGCAAAGTTTATCTTTCAGGGCCCTGGCATAGTGTACAGTGGATAGCAAATGATCAAATGCATCAGTTGAATGTGAATTAAGTGGTGTCATGTGTTTGGGGCACTCAAGATCAGCAATAAGTGTGTTAGTGCTGTCATCTTATTACATTCCAAATTTCTGAAAAATTGTTCATCCTTATAAAACATAAATGGAGACTTTCACATAACTAAAATAATTAATAATCCAGAATTTCCATTCTCTAACAACTCAAAAATGAATGAGTCTATAATTCCTGAAAACATAGAGAATTGACAGATTTCCAGGAGATGACAAAAGCATATGGCAAAAGTAAAATTAAGTTAAAAAATTTACTCTTTAGAAATGAATTAGTAGTGACTTTATACAAAATATTAATAAATATATTTTGAGATATGTCAAAGTGATATTTTATTGATTGTTCCAGCAATTACTGTCATCAGTTTGATAGTATAAGGCTACTTGTACTAAAGTTTTAAGAACTGATCTCTATTCAGTGAAATTTTGGGGCTTGTTTACAAGTTAGTCAATAATCAAAACAAAAAAATTAAATTGATTAATTCATCAAGATAATGATTCATAAACTTCACTCACATTTTTAAAACCACATAATGGAATATGACACAATAGATTTTCTGTAAGTTCCTTAGTTCCAGAGGTTCATAGGATATTAGTGTTTCCATTTTTCTCAATATCTAAATAAGAGCAGAAATAAAATCAGATGCATGGAAGATCTAATCGGATATTCAGAATATGGTGGTTTTGGCTGACTATCCTTAGGTGGACTATGACTACATGACCAGAATGGTAACCAATATGTGGTATGCATGGTAACCCAAGAAAGCAAAGCTAGTTATGAAGCAAGCTAAATTGAGAAAGGATATATGAATCTGAATTAAATCAAGTTTATATCAAAACCCACATTACTTTGAAGAAATGAAGAAATTAATCTATCATTTTCTATCCTTGGAAGGCAGTCTTATGATTTGTGATTTTGTAATAAGTACAGAGCTTAAAAGGGAGAAATCTATAGGAATAATTCTAGGTCTGTACTGTTTTGTTGGAGGAGAAAGAGGTTTTAGGAACTCTTGACTGAAAATAGAGTGGAAAAGGATTCAGTAATATTCCTTCCAAAAATAAAGCAGTTCTGATATCCCTTAGAACTTTTAGTTACCTTTCCAGTAAGGACTCTATTGGGCCCATTTGGAAACCTTAATATCAGATGTTCTAACAGAAAGAATGATTTTTATCAAATTATCCATCAAATTCTCATTCTAAAAAGACTAATGGTAATAGTCTCTTGATAGTCCCTGGGGAAGTCTTAAAATAGAATGAATAGCCTGATTATAATGCCCAAATGCCAACTTTACCACATTATCTCTCTTGCCACCTTCTCTGTCTTCTGTATACCACCTTGTATTTTAAAAATTTACTATTCAGAGACAATCACTATCAACATTCTGGTGGTTTTCTCTCTCCTTCTACTTAAAAAACAATAAGATCATTTTATATATAATACTTTTTAATCATATGCATTGTTACTTTTTTCACAGCTATTTGTTTAGTCATTTATTTATTTTTGTCTGTTTATTGCTTATCACCTCTCCTCCTCTATCCTACTTCCTTTCTCTAACCAATTAATAATGTGGTAGGCAATTTTGTGTATTTTTGCTCATGCTTATAACATTATGTGTGTGTGTGTGTATATATATGTGGCTTTTGTCATGTATTGAAAAGATAGTATATATTTATTTCTGTAATCTTTCCTTTCTTAATGACACAGCACAGAAATTCTCCAATTAAATGAGTAGAAATATAACTCATTTTACTTAATAGCTACATACTATAGTATGATATGAATATACTGTTAATTATTTAATCATTATTCTATTAATGCTCATTGCAGTTGTTTTAGGTTTTTTACAACTAAAACAATTCTGCAACGAATCTCTTCTACATCTCTCTCTCTCTCTGTGTGTGTGTATGTGCGTGTGTGTGTGTGTATGTGCGTGTGTGTGTGTGTGTGTGTGTGTGTGTGTGTGATGGATTCTCATATCCTATCTCAGTTAGCTCACTTCATAGATAGCTTGGCTTTTGTCATGCTCACCAAACATGCAAAATGAAATAACTGTGTGCGTGTGTGTGTGTGTGTGTGTGTGTGTGTGTGTGTTGTGTGTGTGTGTGTATAAGCATAGGTACTGGTACTAAATTACATTTTTTTTCTTTGTACGATGCCATGTTCTGGAGCTCAATATTATAATTTGCTAAAGTAAATAAAATAAGACCATAGCCTGCTCCTTTGGAACCATCATTTTCTAAATATTTAGCTAAACCCAAATGTGTGAAAAGTCTCAAGTAAGGCCTTAAAGTCAGGTTTACAGAGCCACATAATATCCATATTGACCATCTCCAGTGGCTCGAACTCATTGAGCATCTGTTCTAACTTCTGTTGGTCTTTGACTGAGTCTGGATAGAAGTGTCTTGGCAGACATTACTTGAGAAAAGGATTTTTGGCTACTTTATACTTCATAATGAGAAAAAAAGAAAAAGAAAACTCTAGAAATGTCTTTGTGAGTGAAGAAAAAATGATTTGAGAATATTAAAGCAAAAATTTGGATAACCTTAGTTTTCCTCTGATGTAGCTTTATAATCATCCTTGGGCCTGTATCAAACATACACATCTAAATGAATTAAGGATATAGACTGGACCTAACTAGGAAAGAAACCTCCATACTAATGGCATGGGAAAACAAACTGAGCTATCAACTAAGTCTTTGGCTAAAATAGACATTCAGTATAATAATGACATGTGGCATTAGGAATTGGCAGACTTGGAATCTAATTTAAAGACTCATTGCTTATTAGTCCTATGATTGTAGAGAAAATTTATCAACTACTCTGAAACTCAGTTTCCTTATTTGTGTGATCAGCAGGAACACTATATAATGAGACTGTTGGGATGATCAATTGAAATACTGTATGTAATAGTCCTAACAAACTTTAAAAACTATAATTTAATAAATAAGAAAAATCAAGTAGCCTAAAATATGTTACAGAACAATGCAGTTAATAATACACATTTTCATTCTTTTTGAGTAAATGATCAATTTTGGACCCCTAAATACTTAATAATAATTTCTGTCTGTTTCTGAACATTTAACTGTATGATCAGCATTTTACCGGGTGCTTTCCCTATGTTATATTGTTTATAACAATATAAAACCACCATATAGAGTTGGAGTTAATATCTTCCTTTGATAGGTGAGACTGAGTTTAAGGATGCCCTAAGTGCCTCTTCTCAAAAATATCACAGCTGTGATTTGAACCCTGATCTGTCTGACTCTATGGGCAAAGTTCTTTCCACTGTATCATATAACAAGCATGGTTTAAGCATGTGCCGCAAGCACAAAAGGTTTTCCTCCTAGGACATAGCTTTTATCTGTTGCCCAAGGCTGACTTCTGCCTTGCTTTCTTATGGATGGCAATTAATCATTAACATTCAGTTCGTGGGTAGATTTTCCAGTTTTCTCTGATGTTTTATCCATGAATTCTCCTTCATCAGCCAGTGATGCTGATGAACTCTGCTGCCATGATGTCCTCTGTGTGTGGTTGATACTAGATACAAATCAATTGTTCATCACTGCCCTGGACAACTTTTCAAATGTTAGCCAAGGGAAGGCCAGCATTTTTCTTCCACAGTGATCCTTAAGGAATATGGGGAGTGGAATAATTTTCTTTTGGTAAGATGGCTTCCCCTTTAAAAAGTCTGCCAAAGTATTTTACCGCTTCTCAGTAAAAACCTCATTAATCATTAGTTATAGTAGCAACTATATTTCCCTTGCTAGAAATTATTTGTAAGTGACAGTAAGTTAAAAGGCAAATATTGTTATGTGCTTAGAGGCTAAATGTCTCTTAATTTACATTGTGAGTCCATGACGACTCTAGGATAAAGGATGAGCGTAAACTTATTAAGAGAAGGGGCTGGTGCACTTTACTTCTATGACCCAGCACCACCAAGCTGACAGAATGCCAAATAAAGGAACTATCTCTGGCCCAAAATAGAATTATGCCCACCCACCTTTAAATCGGGTCCTCCATCTCCACCCTCATTCTCATTGACTGGTACAATCAAACACTCCATTGACCAAACCAGAACCTAAGAGTATTTCTTGACTCTTTTTCTCTTCTGGCATTTCTGTTTCATTAAAATGTTTCTTTATTCTGTCTATACTTGCTACTATCTAGTTTGGTCTTTATCACTTCTCACCTGATTTACTATAATAAGCTCCTAAGTAGACTTCTCTAGTCTTGTTCTTCCCTAATCCATTTGTTATATGGCAGGTAAAATGAGATTTCAATTTTTAAAAAATTGCAAATATGATCATGTTGCTCCCAAGGTTAAATTTGCTGTAGCTCCTCAATGTTATGAGAATAAAAATACAAATTTCTTAAGGGCAGACAATACCTTCCTCTGTCTCTATCTTATCTCTGCAGTCACACTTCTTGCTTGTTTCTTTTACTCTATTATCCAGCCACCTTGGTCTTGGTTCCTCCAACATACCTCTTGTCTTGCTATAAAATCTTCTTGGTCTGGAACACCCATTCCTCCTGTCTTTCCCCTTTGCCTTTGCCTAGCTAAATCGTATTGAACAGGCCTTAGATTGGAAATGGAGCTACACCCTCTTCTCCCATGTCAGGAGCCAGGAAGTCTGGGTTTGGCCCTTCCGACGTGCTCCCACAGTAGGCTGTCATCATGGCCTGCATTGCTCTGTGTGGAAATTAGCTGGGTGCTCTTTTATTTCCTCCACTAGAACCTGGGCTTCCCAAAGGCGTAATTCTCTTGCTACATCCTCAGTGTTGAGGGCAGGGCCTGCCGTCTAGTGGATGCCCAAACTACTATTTGCTGAATAAGTCAATAAATGGATTGGAGTCAGGAAAATCCAAAGATAGACATCCCAGTTAAGAAAAAATTAAAAATAGCAGTGGAGGTGAAACACTCTATTAGTCTGAATGAAGGCAGAGGAATATGAGGTTGTATAAAATAAGGAGGAAAGGAAAAAAAGAAAGGAAATAGAATGGACTTAAATTGGTTGCTGTGGATATGGGAGATGAAGAAAAGAATGTAAATACTTGAGGAGGACCAGAATTTAAAGGAATGAAATATTGGATGTTAATTTAAAGTGCTTGAAGTAGAGACATAAATGGTAAAGGATAAGATGTAAATGATGAGTAAGACTTACTTTTAGACTATATTATCTTATGTATTTAAAATTTATTTTTAAATACATTTTAAATGTGCCTTATCCACTCTCTAGGGTAGGTATATGTTTCAAAGATAGGCATCAGCAATAAAAGTGGCCCAGAAAAAGAAACTGCCCTAAATAATTTATCATTCAACCAATCAAATTCCTAATTAAACTGAATAGTCACACTAACACATTTCTCTTTATGACATTAAAAGTTATCAATTTTGTCACATTCTAAGTTTTACATTATTTAACAATTTTTCTAAAAATATTGCCTTTAAGAAAAGTCACGCAGAAAACTCGGTTTGCTGAGAATGCACCTGAGGATCTAGAAAAGTGGGTTTTATATCTTTGGCAAGACAAAAATCCCAGAAAGTGAGCTCTTCTGTCTAGCAAAATGAGTAGATTGACCTGTATCAACAATTCTTACACTCAGTGTGCATAATTATCACCAGGACAACTTGGACAGTCCTGAAATTTACATTTTTGGATAGATGCCTCCACGGAGATTATTACGCTATTAATTCTCATGTCATTATTGGGGAATTAATTTGAGAGTGGCCTGGAATTCCCTAAGGGTTCTTCAGAATCCTAAATGAGCAATGTCTATGCTTTCATTAAGCCTAGAAAATCTGTTCCTGTCTCCATTTATAATGTCATTTCATATTTTATCAATTTCCTCGTATACTTTCTTTCTACTGCAACAAAGGGAACTTAAGCCTGAAATTTTCTCTTACTGTTGCTCTACAAAGACGCATTATCATGACTACCAAAAAGAGGAAAAGGGGGAGAGAGAGGGGGAAAAAAAGAAAGGAAGAGAGAAAGACAGAGGCATTTATTATCTTTACTTTCTGGTACTTTATGTTCCCCTGTCTTTTTGACTTGCTTACTTCTGGCTCAGCAAATTTTTTTTAAAAAATGTAAATTCTGGAAGATACAGAAAATTGAATCCCAGCTCAGACATGAGTGGAAATCAAGGTTCAGCAACGGTGTGACCGCTAAAGTGATACCTGCAAACATAATGCAGAATTTTATTTTTGAAAAGCAGCTTGAGTTGCCCCAATCTTCCACACTATGTCTGTGCCCATTTCCCTATCCTGAAGGTGGGAGAGACTGAAGGACAAGAGACACCTTGTATAGAAATAAAACGGAGAGTTTTAAGAAGAAAAAAAAGGCTGTGCTGATGCATTTTTTTCATCTGCATGGAGCAATGTGTATTTTGGTACAGTGTTAAGAATCCTCGAGCAATTTCTCTCATGTCACAAGTTTAAAGAGTTATCTATGAATGAGTCAGCCTGGGAGTTGCTATGGTAACGATTCTCATCCTGTCGGAGCCAGTCCCCTTCTGATGTTACCACTGAAAAATACCTTGGTTTCAGAAGTATGTGAAGTTCCCCTTGCATTTAAATATTCATTATGTTATATATGCATTCCCTGATTTTGCAAGATTACCTGACTAGAAATCATTTTTAGTGCCCTATAAATAGACATGCTATGTCGTGTTCCTTTCTTCCACAAGATAAAAGATAAATTCCTGTACTCACAGAACAATCTCTCTCTCTCTCTCCATTTTCTTTCTGGGGCGATAAGTTTATGCATGTGCGTGTAATCAGTGTCCTTCACATTTTAGTATTTGAAGAAGACACTCTGGACAGCAATCATAAGCCCCAATTTTCAAAAGAGTAGTTGAAAGTACTTGTGGGCTTGCCACACTGCAAGTGCACATGAATGTAAATGATCCTATAGTTTAGTGTGGAGTCACTATGGGCAGCATTTGTGTGGTTTACCAATTTATATCCCAGGAAAGAGCTGCCTGGCAGAATGAAATTGCGTGTAGCTGCCATAAGTCCAAAAAAGGAAGTCCAGACTCTTCTTTGACAAGAAAGGTTTTCAATAATCTAGCTCAACCTACTTTTCCAACATCTTTTCCCCCTTGGCTACCTGCTCACTAAGGCATACCTGCTGCAGATACAAAGAGATACTCAATATTTCCTTAACATTCTTGCCTTTCCCATATCTTTTAGGTTGTATTTTTTTTTCTGTTCTTGAAGGTCAAAATTCTACTTATCTACAAGTCCCAAGGGGAGTCAAGTTTATTCAAAGCCTTTCCCAATCCCCACTCCAAATCAAATTAATCTCCCATTATTTTACAGTTTGTTACTTTGTTAATGTCTCTCTCCTGTAGCATCATACATTCGGCTTGGCATGCGTGGTCATGATCTAACTATTCATCTGTTTCCCAACTCTATACTCTCAAAGGTGTAGCCTATGTCTCCATTTTTTTTTTTCTGTGTATATGAGGCAAGCATGACACACTGTTAGTTGTGATGGTTTCCCTAAAATCCATTGCTGTGCTGTGCTGTTAGAAACTGTAACAATATAGTATCATGATGAGAGTATAAGATTTGGTGTCAAATCAATCTAAATTCGATTCCAGTTTTGTCTATAATGAGTTCTGTCACCGAGTCACTTAACCCCTTTGAGGTTCAGTTACCTTATCCATTAAATAGAAATTTAAATAATGTAATAAAGAGCTTAACACAGCACTTGGTGTACAATTATGTGTTCAACAAGTAGTAGTTGTTACCACGGCAAATATAACTCAGGGACACTGAAAGATGTTGCTTTTTCTCAATTGTTCTCACATTACCACTTTTGTGATTGGTATATGAAAGACCCCTCTGAAGTTATGACATGTCTGCAGCTACATTTTTTTGTACATATTTGACCATACTTTGGTGCCTTCAGAGGGAGCACAGCTTTGCTGACAACTTAATTTTTAACTTCTGACCTCCAAAACTCAGAGGGAATAAATTTCTCTTGTTTTAAGACACTTTGTGGTAATTTATTAGGGCAACCATAGGAAAATAGCTACCTCCTAAAGTTGTTCTTTTGAATTTAATCTATAGTTTTGGATATTCACAAACATTATCAGTCACTCAGTCAACCTTATCATTTGGCACTTCTTCTTATCTGTAGCATTTTGGTACTTAGCATTTAGATTCTTGAATTTTTGGTCCTGTGCACAATACAGAATTTATCATGCCCCTTCCTTTAGTGTGGTTAAGGAGAAACAACAAATACATATCAAATACCATCAATGAAAAGTATTTATACATATATTTAGAAATACTTTTTCAGCACATATTTTGGAGTAGAGATAGTTTTAGGTGCTGAGGATGCAACAATAAACAAGACAGAAAACTTCTCTATTCTCAGTGAGATTCCAGAAAAAGACAATAGCTAGTTCCAGGCCATACAAAAGGAGCAATCATGGTGGGTTAAAGGAGCAAAAAGGAGGCCTGACATGTATTAAGCATTTCAACAGGTGTGAGCTGCTCTACTATTATTATTATTAATCACCCAATCAGTGTTTAAGCAGAATATTTAGAATGTGGTGACCAAAAGAGAATGTTAGATTATTTTTGAATATGCAAATACAAATAACCAAGGTACAGGATCAATCTGATCCAGCTATAGAGAGTTGAATGACAAAGCACCTCCAAAACACTTCTCCATCTAAGCACCATGCAGTACTCACACGATTTCTAGAATTCTAGGGAAACCACAATAATAAATGAATATGTTCAGTCTTTTATCTCTGTGGTTTACTTTAAAATCTTTCTCTAGCAGTGTTTGTGTGTATGTGTGTGTGCCTGTTCCTCCTGTCAAGATAGAGCAATCCTCAGAAACACTTGACATTTTGGGACGGAATGTCCTAAAAGGGAAGGAAAATAATACCGGGAAAGAAAAAAATGAAGGCCACCACTAAAGACACATTTTATACAATCTACAAACTGCCTGAAGTCAGCACTGCTGGCAGGACATTGCTCTCTCAGTGGCATGTTAAAATAGAGAAAATGTGGAATTCTTTTTGATGATACCCTCAGCTTCCTGTTCTGACCTGGCAGTCACCAGGTGGAGGAAGCATTTTAGCTTCCTGTTCTTATTCCGTAGTATCATAGAAAAGTCATACCAGAATACTGCTGCTAAAAGTACTGGTACAAACTTTCTGAGTGTAGTTCACAGCATATTTTAAGTTTCGTTATTAGTTTCATATTTCATTATAATGAAAAATATATCCACAATTCTGGCTCCAAGCAGGATGGTCAAAGAAATCATCCTTTTCATGAGGACTAGGTGAATATGATTGCAGAAATAATTTCAGTGGAAGGAAATTAATAAAGAAGAAACATATTTGTTTCGTAATATACATACAGTGCTAAAAAGGATACTGAAAATCACTGATTCAAGTGGCAATTATTTACTTTTCACATCCCAGGCACATCTTGGTCATGCATTCACTTGGGTATCTTCCTTGATCTTGTCTGTTTTTCCTTTGTCTATGCTTCCCACATCCTATCAATTACCAATTTCCTTCATTTATTACTTCTAAATTCAATTCAGATGTATCCCCCTCACTCTTACTGATCTTAGTTAAGGCCACGATGTACTCTCTTCTGAATAACTATATAATTCTAACTAATTTGTCTGCCTTCAATTCACTTACCCCTCCAAACTCATTTTTCACATCGGGTTGGAGTAATCATGTTATAAAACAAGAATCTGATAATGTCGCTTCTTTGCTTAAATGGCTCCTCATGGATCTCAGGATTAAATTCAAATTTGTCAACATGCTTTTTCAGACCATTTATGATCTATTTATATGCCTAGCCACATCCCTTATTTCTGTCCCTATCTTGAACTCTCTTTTATAGCCATAAAATCTTATTTGTCTTTTATTCAAAGGATGCTGTTCTTCATAAGCATTCTCTTAGATGCTCATATAATGACTTTCAAAATACATATTTTGGCATTTATACTTGTCTTTCTCTTTGCCCCAAACCTTCTTGAACTGTCTACCTATGCCTCCTCTCCAACTCTCATTTAGTCCTAAATCAATGATATGAATTTGGATGTCCTTTCATCTGGATTAATTCCTTCATCCCACAATGCAAGAGACACTTTTAGAGCACCCTCGGCTTACCTTTATTTTAGCATTTATCACATTTATTGAAATTACTTATTTCTTTAATATCTTCCCTCTGTAGTGTAGGCTCCCTTAGGGATGGAATTATATTTTATTCACTGATGCTTCCTAGCATGTAACTGATGGTTGGCTCATAGTTACTGCTCTCAAGAAATATCTTCTGAATTAGTACATAATCCAGGCAAACAAAACAGCCATTTCAAGGAGGGGGTATGGTGATAGAGTCTGCTTCTGTGATAGCTAAGTTTTTGGCCCAGAGCTATCTTTACAGGGCTAGGCACTTGTTAACACAAATTCTTGAAATGATTTTTTGTGCAATAGATACTTATATTTACTTGGATTTACCTTTAAGTTAGTGAGTGGCATGAATCTCTAGAGAAGAAGCTGAGTATCAAAGAAACTAAGCACTCTCGTGCTAGCTTAAATGTAATTAATAAAGATATCAAGTGTTTCTGAGAAATGTTTGCCAGCTTCAGAAAAATTAAAAAAGACATACAACTTCATAAAATAATACAGGTATGTGAATGAGTCAAGATGAAAGGGGCAAATAAGAATAAGGCAAGAAATGAATTTCATAGTCCATAAAATATAACGTGCATAATGACTACTTATTTCCCCAGCTGCCAAATTTACAAAATGTGAATGATCCCACCCCTAGCCATGGTTGATAAGACTAGGAGAAAATATCTGATCTAAGTGGAGACAACTAGCTACCTTCTCAAATTCTAAATTTCAATAAAGAAATTATAATTATGTGGGAAATTTTAACTTGAGAGCTTGGGCATGTGCATAAGCTACTTGTCATGTAGACCAAGAAGCTGACCTTTATAAAGAGAAGAATGAAGCAGGCTGATGGACGGGAACAACGATGAGAAATGGAGAAGTTCTGGTGGATTTCTAGTTCCAGATTTTACCTCTTTCCTGAAGCACAATACAGGCCTAGCCTCTCTTATTATCTGACATCTCTACATAGGAGAAGAATTCAGATGAATATGCTAGTATAGCGATATTAGTTGTTTTTTTTTAAAAAAAACTGTTGTACACTCTAACTGATGGGTACCCATCCTGTATTAGTTTTGTACTGAAATGTTTTCTACCTTCTGAATTTAGGGCCATTGGTAGTAAATTTTGATATTTTAAATATCTTTCTCACAAACACTCTGAGGGATTGTAGACAAAATATTTTCTATTCAATCATTGAAGAAATATATAGACAACTGCTAAGAAGGTTGTAATTTGAGAGTTGTTAAGTATTTTAAACATCACATATACCTTTATATTCATATAGGAAATATCTATTTTTTTTGATAAGCTAGCTTAAGTTGGTTCTGGTCTTTTAGGAAAAAAAAAAAACAAAAAACAACTCTTAACCACACAGGAAAGAGCAAATAAATAATGGTTAAGGTATACATGTTCCAAAGTACAGGAAGGGGAAAGGGCACTTTCTCATGGTGGGAGTTAGGAAAAAAAGTAGTAGGAAATATGGAATGTTGGAGCTAAGTAGCTCACGGTTTGTGTGATGTGATTACCCACCATGTTTTGCATGTCACTGCCAAGATACTGTTTTTACTTCATACCTGGCAAATGTGATCATTGCCAAGACAATTCTATCCTTTTTTCAGATACAAAAAAAGTGTTTAGGAGCTCTTTTGGGATTTTCTAGATTTCCCTACCATCTAACCTACTTGGATGCCATTCATATTCTTTTCTCTAGCTATTATAAATTTCATATCTGTACCATGCAAAGTCATCAGAGAATTGTATATTTTGATCAGAAATGTTTGGCTTCAATGAACTAGGCTTTCTCTGTTATATTTCCTTATTATACTCTCAAACCTGATATGAGAAATTATGTATGAAAAAGTCAGACAAAATGTTTTATATTGTAAAATTACAACATACATTATATCTCACAGTGTTCACAGGATTTGTGCTTCCCCTTAAGTTTTGCTTTGCCTTCAGGCTTTGGAATCTTGTGTGTGTGTGTGTGTGTGTGTGTGTGTGTGTGTGTGTGTGTGTGTGTTAATTTAATTTAGTTACCAGGAATATTAACCTGCTGTCTTCTTCCACAATTCTATAGTGTCACACAACCTGTGTTTCCATCTGATATTCTTACCGCTGCTGTCCTATCTTCATTTTTCCATAGATTAGATTTACTATTTACTTAAACTTTTAAATTATATGTACTTTTGTTGCTACTTTCATATTCTTTGTGAAATGCTGTAGAACATTTCTATTAAAAGTGTGGCCCATGGACCTACAACATCAACGTAACGTCGGAGCTTGTTGGAAATGCAGAAGCTCAGGTCCCACCCTAGGCCTACTGAATTTTCATTTTAATAAGACCCAGTTGATTCATATTTACATTAAAGTTTGAGAGCACTACAGTAGAGAATTTAGAATCAGCTAACACAAATTTATCTCCGTTAGTGGTTAAAATTACATACTCATTTCAATCCTGTCAATGTCAAACTGGCTTAAGCCACTTGGGGAGTTGGTTAAAAATGGAAATTTCTAGACCTAGTCGTGATTCTATGATTTGGTAGAGACAGAAGGACACCATGGAGTCTGCATTTTGTCAGGTTCTCCAGGGATTCAAATGGCAGGCTTGAGTCCTAGAGATCTTCACTTTCTCCAGGATATGATTTCAAAATGTCAGTACCAAATGTGAATCAATATACAGCTTCCTTGTTTGTCCTGAGATGGAGAAATAGAGGTGAATAAATATTTTAACTTTACAAGTTGCTGGTGAGTTAAAAGCAAAAGGACTGAGATGATATGGACCCTAAAACCAATTCAAACTGTTGTCTGGAGGCCTTTGTTATGTGTATGCTTTGCTGAGGTCTGAGCAATATGAGAGATGGTGTGTTTATTTACTCTTGGGAACTGTTTTAGAGGCATCCCAGTCTTAGAGGCTGTCCTTTCCAATTATACACACCTAGGTCTGCATGAAGGATTCGAAGTCTGTTGGGAGAGTGACAGAAAGATTCACAGTCCTGATAAATTTATTTAAAGTTATTCTATACTTGGTAGAGAAACAAGGTCCAGAAGGAGATGAAGAAGGTGCAGAAATGGTTGGAATGTGTAGGAAGTAGAGTAGAAGGAGGCTGTTTTTTCAATTATTACAGTTACACTTTCATCCCAAATGTTTGGAAGCCACTTATTTAAGCAAATAGCTTAAATAAGGGTGAATTAGTCAGGCTTTAAACATTTTAATGGCAAAAATCCAAGTTAAACTAATTTAAATTAATTTAAATGTATTAGAAAATTTACCCACTCTAATAACTGGGAGGGCCAAGAGAAGTCTCGCATTTCAGGATTATCTAAATCCAGGTATCAAATGGCATCAGAATTCTGCCTCGCTCTAGCTCACAGTTTTGAACATCTGTCTTCATTCTCTGGGTCTATGGTTATGCATATGGTTACAATGTGGGCATGCTTCACATGCTTGAAAGGTATCGAGCAGCACCAAAATTATGATGTCTTTATAGTTTCTTGCAAAGAAGAGCACATTTTTTTCCTTGACCATTGTGGCAACAATCCGCAGAAGACTCTCACTGGTCTAGCTTTGATGACATGTTTATGTCTCAAATAGTCACTCTGGCCAGGCTAATAAAAAATTCAGATTGGTCAGACTCAGGACATGCCCAGCCTTCGTACTGAGGGGTAGTGTCAGCCCCCATCAGAACTGCATAGACTGAACAAGATTACTGAAGGAAAGGGTTTGGGTGATTATCTTAAAACAAGGGGTTCTGGACAAATACCTGTACATCAACTACATTGATCGAGCTGAATTGGCTCAATATCTTATGATACAAATCGATAAAAGCCACCTTCAGAACATTGGTCCCAAATTGATTTCAGGTTAATAAACATACTCTCCTCTCTTTCACTATTGAGACATCTACAATGAGCCTAAATGGGCAAATTTGCTACTTCCCTAAATGCCCAGCAGGGATTGTCTTAAGAACTGAAGACCATAGAGTCCCATCAATTTTTTGTTTCATGGAGAATCAGTGGTGGTTTGTAACTTGCCATCCACACAATCTTGAATACATATCAACAAAACACTGCTATGTTACAGGAGGCTTTCAATACTTTTTCTGGACAACTTAACCTCACTGCAATGGAAATAGTCCACTTAATCACAATTACATGGGTATACATTAATATTTCTATTTCTGTGGAATATTTCTACTTCTATTTGTATCAAATTAGTTTTTGCATTCCTTTGTTTATATATACATATATTGGATGGGAACAAATTGAATTAAACTTGCTTAAAAAGTTCCCTAAAGTTCAATGTGATTTAACTGATTTGTATTACTATGTGGTCCAAATTTTAGTAGAATTTACAAGAAAATAGTTCACATAACCAAATATCTTAAATTCTTGTCATTAAGTAAGAAGAGTTGATAAGCATTTGGTAGATACTCTGATTCATATTAGCCTATGTTTTTGGAATTGGAATATAAATGTTGTGGTTGCTCATTATCAGCAATGAATTTTGTGTAATTGTAGATGAGAAATAAATATTTTGAACTAAAGAGAAAATTATCTTCTTGGTTACTTCCAGCTGATTGTACTCTCTTTATGTATCTAAACAGGACATGAACATCTGTATTAGGTGGACAGATTGGTTACAAATGATAAATATAGCATTCTCTTCCATTTGGCAAAAACTAATATTTCTAAAATTTTACTTGGGGTATTTTATCACCTGTCTGTTCTGTCCTCAATCCTCTAAGTGGTCTGGTTAACTCACACACCAACATGCCAGAAACAGCAAAGGACTGACATGCGATATCATGCCAATCTCTGGTGTTCCTCGCTCATCAGACCACCTCCAGATCCCTCTTTCCTACTGTTCCTTCTTCTACTGCAGCTCTGATCCTTGGTTAGCCCACACTTTCAACTGCATTTCCTGATACCTATCCCAAGCCTCTCCTTCCCTCAACTTCCTAGAGGCCAGTTAGGGATGATTTATCAATATTTGAGTCTTTAAGCCATTTTTTAGCGCAGGACTTGTTTATAAATCAATGTTCAGGGTAGGTTACCCTTCTGTGGCGCCCTTTCCGCATTTTCATATCGGCAAAGTCAGTCCTAGTCTCCTTGTCTCTCTTTGTACAATTATTTTATGTTACTTCTTTGCAGGTGCTTGATTTTTGGAAAAATATAAGTTGAAAACTTTGCCTTCTACACTGTTTGCTATAATGATATTGTTCTTAGTAAGCTTATATAGACATTAAATGTTTTTGTTAGTTTCTAATTATATAATAAAATTAAAGTATAGATATACAATAAATGTAGTGTTTTAGTTTGGAGAGATAAAGTATGCATATATGGATCTGTGGCTATCCAATTGACTGCTATGTGGAAACCCAGAGACCACAATTTATTGAAAGTATAGTATCATCTATGGATTAAACAGGAAGGTTTTCTGAAAAGACCATATCATTAGAGTGAATTCTATTCACTTTTTTATTTCCCTAGAGTTTGTAAACCTATAGTTTCAGCTAAACTACTATGGTCCTCCTTGATCTTCTAGACAAATTTAGCAGTATTTTGATTCATTCTTTGTTTTTATATATTTTTTTTTAATTTGGTCTTTGTAAGAGAGACATCCCCCTGTTTCTTAAGCCAGAATTGTTTTCATCCATGCTTTTCTCTTTAATTGAATTAGCAGTTACCATTTTTTTTAGGCTGTACAAGTCAATCAAGGTAATCTTCATGTGACAGAGAAGGTGTGACAGAGCAAATCCCCTAACGTTACATAAGCATGAAAGAAGGACACCTGTTCCAGGGAAAGGAAAATCTTCTTAGAAGTGGTATTCAAGGCCGCTATGCCTGTAATCCCAGCACTCTCGAAGACAGAGGTCAGAAGATCACTTGAAGCCAGGAGTTCAAGATCAACCTGAGCAACACATGGAGACCTCAACTCTACAAAAAACAAACAAAATTAGCTGAGAGTGGTGGCACATGCCTGTGGTCCCAGCTACTCTGGAGGTTGAGGTGGGAGGATCACTTGAGTTCAGGAGTTCAAAGCTTCAGTGAGCTATGATTGTGTTACTGCACTCCAGCCTGGGTGACTGAGTGAGACCCTGCCTCAAAAACAAACAAACAAACCCCACAAAAACCAGTATTCAACCTAAGTCTTTAAGGATGAGTAGGAATTATCTAGATGAGGAAGAGAGAAGAAGCTATTACAGACAAAGCATCTAGTATTTTTAGAAGGGTGAAATGTGTTCAATATCATAGGGAATTTGGGAATTTCAAATAGTAAATATGTCTGTATTATTACTTAGTTTTTTTTTAAGTCAGGAAAGAGCCACTAAAGCTTTTTAATTAGGAAAATGCTTTGAACAGATGAACACTTTATAAAGATCACTCTGACAGCAGTGCTGAAAGTGGATTGGGAGAGGAAGGTGAAAGAACGTAGAGACAGGGAGACCTCTGGTTGACTGATGCAGAAAATAATGAAGGCTTGCACTAGAGAATAGGGAGTGATGATGGATAGAAGAGACAGATTGAAGAGAAAATAAGAAGGGAGAGTCATTAAGACTTTGATAACATAAGATTTCAGAATGGTATCTTTACTTCTTTCTCTTTCAACCACTAAAATGTCTCAGTGGCGTCTCTTCTTTTGGCACACTTTGACTAAGCTGTGCCAAAAGTGGAATCCCTGGTGCTGTGCCTTCTTTTTGTCTCTGCTTTCCGTGGAAGTAATGTGGGCTGCCATAGCTTCATCTGCATGAAGGATGACTCAGTGTCAATAGCACTGATCTTTATATCCTCTTATCAAACTGCTAGTAGGCTATCTCCGCATACATGTGCTGCCGATTCCTAAAGCTTACCAAAATAAAATGAAACTCAACACCTTCTCCCCAAAACTGGCATCTCACCATTATCATTAAAAAATATCCAAGTCATGCTCCAGTTTTTCCAGGAAGAAAATATTTTACTACTTTATCCTCTACTCCTTACATGTTTTTTTTCTGAGACAGAATCTTGCTCTGTTGCCCACACTGGAGTTCAGTGGTGTGATCATAGCTCACTGCAGCCTTGAACTCCTGAACTCCTGGGATCAAGTGAGACTTCTGAGTATCTGAGACACGGGCACATGCCACTACACCTGGCTAATTTTATTTTATTTTATTTTTTAAGTAGCGATGAAGTCTCACTATGTTGCCCAGGCTGATCTCAAACTTCTGGCTCTAAGTGATCCTCCCACCTCAGCCTCCCAAAGTGCTGGGATTAGAGGCCTGAGCCATTGTGCCCAACCTACTCATTACATTGGTAAGTGTTAAAGTCTTACTTGTCCTTCCTTGTATATCCAGCCAAAACTTTTTGCTCATGTCCCTTTGTGTCCTTTTCCACCTACTGTACTATACATTTAGAAAACGGAATTATTTCATCTTTATCTCTACTTCAAGACTAAAATCAAATTTCTAGGAATGTCAATCACACATCTAGAAATTTGACAGATGATTCCTTATTATTGGTAACAGTTTCAAGTTTATAGAGTATTTACCTATGAAAATAATCTAATACAATTGTTTAGCAAAGTAAATCAATTTTTAAATTTTTATTGACTTTATTTTCTTAAGGGCATCCATCATTTTCCTCTCATTAATATTTGAAATTTTTATTTCATTTATAATTGTTATTGATTTTCTAAACTCATGGTAAGTGACATCAATCTATTATTTGTTTTTCTTGTGTTTTCTCTAATAAGCTAGTTATGGGTGGATTATTTACCTTTTATGTGATATACTTCTCTCCCCAATTATTAGTAAATAGAGGGTGCAATTATCTAGCATTTGTACTGATGGGATAAACAGCACTAATTCTTTTCAAAGTACCAATAAAAACTGTAGCATAACCTTTATTTTCAGCTTTGTAATGATTCAGTGGAGTACAACTAGAGACAACTAATTGCCAACCTTTTGGTAGCAATATCCTAAATTACTAAATGGAAACCTAGAAGAAAAGACTTTTTAAAACTTATAAATAGCAATGCATATACAAAACCAACAACAGTAGTTTCCAGTCTCCCTCTAATCATTTTGAAGTGGTAAGATACTGACTGAAAGTTCTTAAACACTGAGATAAAAATGAAAGATTAGTATTTTCCCAAACTTTCTTTCTACTTCTTAACATGTAAAATACCAGATTTCCAAACTAAAGCTAGTGAATGAAAATTTGATGAGGAATAGGATATTTAAATAGTGTCAAGGATTCTTTAGTAATCG
Organism: Homo sapiens; assembly: GCF_000001405.40. Taxonomy (NCBI): domain Eukaryota; kingdom Metazoa; phylum Chordata; class Mammalia; order Primates; family Hominidae; genus Homo; species Homo sapiens. The sequence continues at coordinate 47,133,864 of NC_000004.12, read as the reverse complement.
CAGAAAGAAAAATTATAATTTATAACAGAGAAACCTGGAAGCCTCCACATTACCCAAATGATCAAAGAGCACATCATCAGTAATGGGACATCTGACATCATGTACCTTCAAATGGGATGCAGTGAGAACACAGCATTATTTCTGTGATAGTCCTGCTAAAAACACGTAACCTGAATCTAATCATGAGGAAATGTCAAACTAACTCAGATGGGAAGATGGTCTATAAAATAGCTTGCCTGTCTCTTAAAAATGTTAAGGTCATGAAAGACAAAGAAAGACTGATGAACTGCTCTATGTTAAAGAGACAAGATCACTGCTGCCATGTGTCCTCCTGGATTAGATACTGAATTAAATAATAAATAAGCTGACTGGAACTTTGCACACATAGGGGAATTAATGAGAATGAAGCCACTATATTGAAGAAACTTCACATGCCCAAGGCATCAATATCTACATTCATTGCTACAGTTTGCTTTGACCCTTTATTAATTATTTAGAGTGCTCTGTTTCCCCACACTGACAAATTGGGAGTGAATATCTGACTAGATATTTTAAATATTGTAATAGGGAATTATGCAGATGCAGTGAAGGTCACATACAGAAGTTTCTATCACATTTCAATCATCCATTCACTGAGTCAATCTACAAATTTATGTAGTTTGAATGTTCCAGGCTGTGCTCAAGGTGCTAGAGAATATACATTTTAACAAAACAGATACATTTAATGCTTTTGTAAAGGTTACTTTCTTTTGCAAGAGATATTGAACAAATTAAAACATAAAAACATAATATGCTGTATATCCTGAAGAAAATTAAGACATAGTAGAATAGATACAGAGTGATGGGTTTCAAAAAAAGAAAAGAGACAGTTTTGTTTAGCTAAAGTGTTTCAGGGATACCTCTTTGGTAGAGTAGCATTTGAGCAGGGATTTAAACAAAATGAGGAAAGACATGAAGATATTAAAGGGAAGTATGCTGTAAGCAGAGGAAGCAGAAATGCAAGGCAAGATGGGATGTGTTCTGAAGGATTTCTAGATATGTCTCATGATTGCACTGGAGACTCTCTGGGTCTGGCAGGCACACTGTTTTACTATTTAGCAGTAGGGCTCTCTGAACACGTTCTAGATTGTGGCTATTCACTTCCAGCTTCATCAAATACCCATCTATTTTCCTTCGTTCAAGAAATTCGTTGAGCGTTTCCAGTATTTGTTGAGTATTTCCAGTTGAGTATTCCACACTTGGTCCTTTTTTTCATTGCAATACAATTGTACCTTATAAAAAGTTCATTTTAACTGACTGTTCAGGAGTAGAGAACATAAATGAGTGGACTCAGGTGCCATCTTGAACTAAAAACAAAAGGAAAAACAAATCCTATCCTCTAAAAATATCTCTTAAAGCTTTTTTAAAGTGATGCAATCCAAACCAAACCAAACCAAACCAAACCAAACCAAACCAAACCAAACCAAACCAAAACAAACCAAAACAAACAAACGAAAAAACGTCTTCACAGAGATGGTAAACAAGCCCAAGGGCATTGGAGAGTTTTAACAGTAATTCTAAGATGAGAATATTTGTTATTATGGTATCTCTCACATCAATAGAAAAATAATAAGAAAGTTAGCATACAACATAAACAGTGATTGATATTTTCAACAAGAAAATGAAAACAAAACTGTAAAAAAAGAGAGAGAAATTCAATCTGAATGACGCTTTCTAGTGAAATGAGCCCAATGCAGTGTGTTAGGAATAGATTTTTATTCTTCTTCAATACCCCTGCATTTAAATATCCAATAAATAAATGATTTCATAAATCACAGCAAATAAAACTGTTTAAAAAAACATGAAAATTCATTAAACTACCTTTCTTTCTGAGGCAGTAGTCAACAGATTGTCAAATTAAATTTCAAATTGAAATTATAAAGGAAAAAATACATTAATATCAAATTCTGATTCTAGGAGCTATGAAAAAAAAATTATATTGCTCTACTGGATAAATTAGTAATGGTTCTCAGATATTTTACTTGTCAATTAGAAAGAAACAAAGTTCTTAAATCATTTCTGATCATCATCCTAATCTAAATGTTCAGTAATTTGCACAAATTCATGCAGAATTGGTAGCAGAATAGAAATATAAACTGGGCCCTAATACCCCAGGTATTGGTTCTTTTACCATATCGTAACATTGCATCATTCAATTTGAAATCATTGAATATTTTCTGCATTCAAAGTCTGGCCAATATGCCCACTGCCTCCCTAGCATTGCAGAAAGAGACAATGATATTAAGTAGGTGCAAAAAAAAATTGCAGTTTTGGCCATTATTTTAAACAGCAAAAACAACAATTACTTTTGCACCAACCTAATACAATCTACAGCAATGGCTACATTGCACTCAGAAAAACAAGACTCGGCCTGGTGCGGTGGCTCACACCGGTAATCCCAGCACTTTGGGAGGCCGAGGCGGGCAGATCATCTGAGGTCAGGAGTTCGAGACCAGCCTGCCAACATGGCGAAACCCCATCTCCACTAAAAATACAAAAATTAGCCAGGTATGGTGGCACGTGCCTGTAATCCCAGATACTCGAGAGGCTGAAGCAGGAGAATCGCTTGAATTTGGAGGCAGAGGTTGCAGTGAACCGAGATTGCGCCACTGCACTCCAGCCTGGACTACAGAGCAAGCTTCTGTTAAAAAAAAAAAAAATTCTCCAGAAGAAGAAAGTTTGGACTTAAGCATTCATAGAATGGCCTCTTCAGTTTTCTTCCAGGGCTGGGTAGGAACAATATAATCTTTTTGTGAATGTAAGCACACAGAGGCTTTAAATCAAGGCAGTGTGTTATATTTAGAGATGGTTTTGCAAACCCATAAACAAAACTTCAGCTTTAGTTTTATGCCACTTGTCAGTTTGATGACTGGTTGAACTTCAGTAGACTTGTGCTTTTTAAGCTCACCTAATGGACATTAATAACTTTCTTTGTAACCAGCTTTCTTGATATAGCACTTAATCCCTTGAAGGACAAATGTTTATTGAGCTATTACTATATGTGAAGCACTGTACTGAGAGCTGGAAATATAATAATAAATAAAACATCATACAGTCCCTATCCTTTTGGTGCTTGGAGGTTATGAGATCCCTGCTCTCATGATCCCTGCGACCTACTGCAGGAACAGACATGACTAATCTAATAATTACACAATTAAATATAAAATTACAAATGTAATAAGGGTCATGAAAGAGAGGTACTATTCCTCTGTAAAAGTGTATAAGAAGAGCATTTGACCATTCCTAATCTGGGGGGAGGCAAATGGTCAGGAGGTTCTCAAAAATAAGGGATATTTGAGAAGAGCCAGAATAAATACAGCAAAAGAGGGAAGTGGGCTCCAGACTGAAAGGACAACTTGTGCAAAGGCTGGGTTGGAGAAGGAACTGTATTTTCCAGGAGCTGAATTTTCCAGGAACATTGTATTTTCTTAAACTGGAAAAGAAAGCACACACACACACACACACACACACACACACACACACACACACACACACACACAGTATCTGGAGCCCAGACATTATGGGGGAATGTGCAGTGGTATGGGGCTGTGGAGGTGGGCAGGGGCCAGCCCAATCAAGACTGCTTAAATCTTGTGGTCTTTATCCTGAAGGAAGTGGGAAGACAGTGAAAGATTTAAGCAGGAGAGTGACATGATCAAGCTTACATTTTGGAAATAAAACACTTGGTATCAGAGAGAAAATGTGGGGGAGCAAATGCTATGGAGACAGTTAGTACATTATTGCCAGAAATAATCATCCACGCAATGGAGGAGAGGGCATGTGATTCCCTGGGAAATTTGTTAGCAGACTTTTCAACATATACTTTGCGAAAATTGAATGTTTTAAAAATAAAACACAATGTTTTACACTTGAAAAGTAAAGGCAGATTATATCTATTTATTCATCTACATAGTCACACATGTGCTTATCCACCTTTTTGTTCTGTTTTGCTTTTCTTCTCTACTGACATACTTTCCATTCCTGAAAGGGTGATTCTCTCTTTTTTCTTCCCTGGGTTCTTTGAACACTTGATGCATCCTCTCATGAGAAACGCTCTTCCTAGTCTTCTTTCCACTCGGCCCAACCAATGTCTAATCTACTTTGTTCTTGGTTTAAGTATTTCTTTTTCCAGGAAGCCTTCACTGATTTCTAAAATCCATGATAGCTATCATGATGGTGACTCCCATTGCAACACATAGTTTATGGCCATTAATTAACTATTTACAATTGCTCATATAATTATTTGTTTATGTTAGTCAACTGTAAGTGCTTTGAAGGCAGGAACTGTGTCTATCACATCACCATTTCTTATTAGGTAACTACAGTGCCTGGCACATCATAGGAACTGAAAATATATTTGCCAATGATGAATACATTAAAATATAATGTATTTGACAAGACTAAATTCACGTTTCTTTAAAATATCTTTGTTTTTTAAGGTGACAGTGCATGTTTGATATTTGGTTTATATTATTTGTAGGCGGGGACATTTACATTATTTCAGTTTGGGGTCTGCTTTGCTAGTGATTTTCTATCATGCCTCTGTTTTGATCAGTGCTTTAAAAGAAGGCTCTGTTTTGAACATACATTTAATTGAACAGGATATTTAATTTTAACACTCAAAGATTGTGCAATATATTAGCTCACATGGAGATATTCCACCTTTAATTGTCTCACACTAGGGTTGTTGCTATGTTGTGGCTACTTTGCCCCAATCTTAATCTCTTAAATGCCTGGAAAAATTCCCAGCAGCACTTTTGTGTTGGATTTGTACAATCATGTATGTATATGTGATATAAACATGTATATATTGCTGATACTATTTTATTCTTCCTTAGCTATTTTTATTTCCTTAGCTTTTACCACAAAGAGTAGGTCACAAGTAGGTCACTACTTGTTCAACAATGTACGGTTTTGTACCTAAGGGATTTACCTATTTAAGTCAATATAATCAAGCTCAGGGTGGTGTGATACAGACTGAAAGCAATAAAGGAGAAGTTGAGAGAATGGCAAAATCCGAAGGTAAAGAAAGTTAGGAATCCTACATAGTGATATAAAAACCTACTCATTTACTCCCTCTGAAAATAAAGGTCTTTGTCCCACCTTTAGTTATGTTTAAACATTTCAAAAGGGGCAAAACTCTGAAATATTATAACTCTCTGAAATATGAAGAAATAAAAAAATCTTAAATGCATGGAATTGGCTACATGATATGATTTCTATACTCTAAGTTATATTTGCCTTTTCTTGAGTCTCATATAAATGGAATTATACATATAGAGTCTTTGTGTCTAGCTTCTTCTGTTCAGCATAATGTTTTTAACATGAAGTAATATCTTTCCTTTTATCTGTGATATTAATAATTTGTATCTTATCCTCTTATTTGATTAGTCTAATAGATGAATCTAGGTAGAGGTTTTTCTAATTCATGGATTTTTTATTCTACCTTTATTATTTCCTCTCTCATACTTAATTTGGTTTAATTCTCTCTTCCAAGCTTAAGATGGACTCGCAGATAGTTGATGAGAACTTTTTTTCTTTTTTAGTACAAGCAGTTAAAGCCTTAACGTTCTTTCTTCACTACTTTAATGACTTTCCATAATTTTGATTTGTAGGATGTTTATTTTAATTTAGTCCAAGATATAACTACCTCAACTTTCTTATTATTTGTGTTTGAAGATTACATCTTTTTAGATTATTCTATTTTAACATCTTTATATCCAAAATGGATTTCTTATGGGCATTATTCAGACACCCTCTGCCTTTTCACTGGAATATTCATATATAGTTTATATTTAATATAATTAATGACTTTCTTAGTTGTAAATTTGTCTTAGTGCTAATTGTTTTCTATTTATTCTCTTTTTTTGTTTATTTTTCTCCTTTTCCTGCTTTAATTTAGTTAAATTAAACTTTTAGCGTTATATTTTATGTCCACTATTGGATTACTAACCACTCATCTTCAATTAACTTTTTAAGTGGTTGCTTTATAGTTCACAATATGAATCTTTAATTTATCACAGTAGGAGGCATTACTTTAAGTCTTATTTTATAGGTTAAGTAACTGGAGACACAAAAAGCTCTATATACTTCCCTAAGATTATACAGCTTGTAAGAGGTGAAGATGATGTTGAAAGGGAAACAAAAGAGTTTAGTCTAGGTAAGGTAGTTCACATGCAGAAGAATACTGTATGAGCAAAAGAATAACGAGAAAACATTCATTAAAGACACTAGGAGAGAGAAACTACATGCCAAATCACTTTAATGGCTAATGAATTAAATCACAAAAAAAAAAGTGAGAGTCCTAGATATGGTGGTGGCGGTGAATAAAACAAGAAATAATTTCATTAAACATTTTTAAGTTCATTCCCATAGGCATTGTTTGTTATAGAAATTAGTTAAGGCAAATTGTTTAACATCAGAATATTTTTATATCCAAATATTCCAATACTAAACAATTTCAGATATGTATGCATACGTACATATATGTGTGTATCTACACACACATATATCTATATATTTTTAGCATGTGTTATAATCTGTTTTACAATTCCAGTTCTTTATAAATTATAAGCATGTTGATATTATTCCTATGTATTTTACCTTAATAAAGTTCTTCAGTCTACTATTCTCATTATTAATATTATAAAGATTTAATCCAAAAAAGATACTATAATTAGGAAATTAGACTTAATATAAGGAGGGATTTAAATAGGTTTTTTTCTATTCAAACTGTATCTGACTTTGGCATACATATTTTATAATTCTTAAAAATAACATGGAAAAGGACAGCTGTATTATGAACATGAAAGCAGAGGCTAACCACCTACATAGAAAACATTTTTAGTACCTCATCTATCTTATGTAGAAATGGGAGGCTCTCTGTATATAAAAAAGATAGAAATAGATATGCATATATCATTCAGGTATTTTATTACCTCCTCTTTCTACTGGTTTGGCTTCATTACTAATCTTCCTGCAATATTTTCCAGTATGTCCTCTCTTCTATGATTCAATATCTGCATAGTCATTAGTTCAACCTTGTGAAGATTTTCTTACCTATTTGTGTACCCATTAAACAAATGACAAGCTTCCTAGCATAGCATTAAAACATTCCATAGTCTGATTCTTAATCTCCTCTACAGACTTCTCTCTCATCATTCTCTTATATCGACATCATAGTCAATGTAAATCTGATGATTTTTGCCACTTTACGTGTATATTTGTTTTTCTGCAAGTCCAGATATTTTCTAGCTTTGTTGAGGTGTACTTGATAAATAAAAATTGTAATATATTTAAGATGTACAAAATGGTGTCTTAAAATACACATACATTGTGAAATAATTACCACAATCAAGCTAACATTTCTATAACCTCACATAATTATGATATTTTTGGCATGTGGTGAGAATACTTATAATCAACTTTCTTATCAAATTGCAATTAAACAATACTGTATTATTAACTATAGTCACCATGTTATACATTAGGTCTTTAGAACGCATTTATCTTTCATAACTGAGCCTTTATAACCTGACCAACATCTTTGCCCCCAACTTGGCCCAAACCTATTCTATTATTGAGTTCACCTTTTTTACATTCTACATATATGTGAGATTATGCAGTATTTGTCTTTCTGTGCCCAGCTTATTTCACTTAGTATAATTTCCTCTAGGTTCATCCATGCTATTGCAAATGTCAGGATATATTTTTTAAAGGCTGGATAATATTGCATTGTGTGTGTATGTATGTGTGTATTCACACATACAATGCAATACACATACATATATATGTGTGTATATATGTATGTATACATATATAGACACAATGCAATATTAGGCAATATATGCACAATCCAGCCTTAATATATATTTATATATATATTATATATTTTCTTTATTCATCAGTTGATGAGCACTCAAGATTTCTTCATGTCTTTGTGTTGTTTATTCATTAAGAAATTATACTTTGGGCCGGGCGCGGTGGCTCACGCCTGTAATCCCAGCACTTTGGGAGGCCGAGGCGGGCGGATCACGAGGTCAGGAGATTGAGACCATCCCGGCTAAAACGGTGAAACCCCGTCTCTACTAAAAATACAAAAAATTAGCCGGGCGTAGTGGCAGGCGCCTGTAGTCCCAGCTACTTGGGAGGCTGAGGCAGGAGAATGGCGTGAACCCAGGAGGCGGAGCTTGCAGTGAGCCGAGATCCCGCCACTGCACTCCAGCCTGGGCGACAGAGCGAGACTCCGTCTCAAAAAAAAAAAAAAGAAATTATACTTTGTTGTGTCTAGAGATACCTATGTATCTATAGCTATCTTGAAATAATTTTATCTTTTAATTTTTATACTAAAGTTTAAATAATATATGCCCCATTATTACTGTATTAGAGTATTTTTAATTTGACTATATGTTTACCTGTATCAATGAGTTTTATATTTTCGTATGTTTTCATGTTACCAATTAATAGCATAAAATAATTAGCATCATTTCATTTCAATATGAAGAACATCTTTTAACATTTTGTGTAAGGCAGGGCTAATGGTGACAATCTCTTTCAGCTTTTATTTGTCTGAGAAGATCCATATCTCTCCCAGAGCTTTGCTGGGAGTAGTACTCTTGTTTGGAAGCTGTTTTTCTTTTAAAACTTTGTATATATCATTCCATTCTCTCTTAGCCTGTAAGGTCTCTGCTGAGAGAAATCTGCGATAGACTCATGAAAATGCCCTTTTATGTGGTGTTTTACTTGCTTGTTTCAAAATTATCTGTCTTTAATTCTTGATAAGTTAATTAGAATGTGTCTATATATAATCTTCTTCAGGTTAATCCTGTTTTGGAATCTCTAAGCTTCATGGCTTTAGATGTCCATACCCCTCCCATTATTTTTTTGAATAAATTTTCTGCAACTTTCTCTCTTTATTTTCCTCTAGAAATCTCATAATGCATATTTGTTTGCTTGATGGTATCTAATAAATCCTGTGGTCTTTCCTTCCTCCTTTTCATTTTCTTTCCTTTCTTCCTTGACTGGATGATTTCACATGACCTGTCTTTTAGTTCACTGATTCTTCTGCTTAATCAAGTCTGCTGTTGAAGTTCTGTATTGCAATTTTATTTCATTTATCATATTTTTCAGCTCCAGAATTTGTTAGGTTCTTTTCTGCAATTTCTATTTCTTTGTTGAACTTCCAATTTTGTCATGTATTATTTTCCTGATTTCACTGAGTTTTCTGTCTGTTTTCGTGTAGTGCACTGAGAATCCTTGAAGCAATTATTTAGAATTTTTTTGTCAGGCAATTTATAGATTTCCGTTTCTTTAGGATTAGTTACAGAGCTTTATTAGTTTCCTTTGTGGTTTTATATTTGCCTGATTCTTCTTAAATTGTGTAGTCTTGTGTTGATGTTTGTGTATTTGAAAGACCAAACACCTCTTCCTGTCTTTACAGATTAGTTTTGGCAGGTACAGACCTTCTCATGCTGGGGCTAATGGTACTGCCTCCAGGATTGCAGTTGAGCAGGTCTGAAATCAGGTCACGCAGTTGTTGCCAGTTATCCATAAACCCAGAATGAACATGCATTCTGTTTGCAAAACTCTTCTAATGCCAATATCCAATTTTAAAATTCTACTCATCCTTTAAGACCATGAGGTTTCTCTCATAAATTTTTAACTTTTTTTCTCAAATGATCTATAAGCCCTCATGAGCTCCTCTAACAATTGGTTTAAACAACTGAAAGACTTATCTGAGGCCTTTATGACTGCAGATGTATAGTTAGATGTGTATATATATATTTTTTTCAGGTATATATATGCCAGAAAAGCAAGATTATATATATATGCATGTGTGTGTGTGTGTGCATGTGTGCATTTATACATATATATGATATATATAATATATATAATATATTATATATCATATATTAATATATAATATATTATATATTATATATATTATATATAAGATATATATCATATATATGATATAATATATATAATATAATATATAATATAATATAATATATAATATATGATATATAATATATTATATATAATAATATATGATATATAATATATTATAATATATTATATATATAATAATATATGATATATCATATATCATATATCATATTATATATATAATATATCATATATATGATATATCATATCATATATATTTATATATATAAAATAATGTAATATATTATAATATATAATATATTATAATATATGAAATAATGTAATATATTATAATATATGAAATAATGTAATATATTATAATATATAATATATTATAATATATGAAATAATGTAATATATTATAATATATAATATATTATAATATATGAAATAATGTAATATATTATAATATATAATATATTATAATATATAAAATAATATATTATAATATATAATATATATGTGTATATATGTATATATGTAATATATATATAAAATATAATATCTAAAGTATAATATATTATCTAATATATATTATATAATATTATCTAATATATATAATATTATATAATACATATTATATATAATCATATATATGTATAAATACACACACACACATACACATATGTATGTATAAGAACTGGATTTATTTCGTCTCTAGCCCAGAATAGTACCTTTTGTAAAGTAGGTAGTGAATAAATTGTATTTAAAAGAGTGAAAAAATAAATACTGAATCATTGAATTTCAAGTTATGTTTGTGATGTCAAAAAGGCAGAGCACTGGAATAATTCAAGAGAAAATGAGTTGTACATCTACTCGCTTTCATTGCATTGTATAATTGCAGCTTCCTATTTTGTAGGTTAATAAGACAGTATAACAGCTATTAAATTTCTGTTTCACAGCTTCAATCCCAAGCTTTTACACTATATACGTGCTGAGTTAGGGCTAGTATTCTACCAGTCATTTCAGCTGGTCAGCTCGTTTTTCTCAGGATCTGCCAGTAGAGGGAGCTAGAGGAAGGCTTCAAGGCTAGGGGAAGAAGAAAGTACTTGCTCCTTTCTACTTGTTTCCAGTGAGCTTCTTGCCCACTGTGGTTCCTGTGAGCCTCACTTCAGCAAGGCTTCATCAACTCAGCAGTGACAGTTTTGTCCTGTGACAGCAGCTGTTGCAGTTTTTACAACACTTGCAGAACCAAGTCTATCATACTTCCCCTCAGAGACATTAGCTCCTGCTTAGAAGCACCCAGTGTCCTTTGAGACTGGAGTTTCAGTTCCATGGGGTTCTTCCTCTCAGTGTCTTAAGTTTTCTAACATCTTTCCTTATTTTACCATGAGAGTAGTACCTGCTTTCTGAAGTTGGTGCTTCCATGATATGTTAGAATTACCTTTTACTCTTTCAGTTGCTCAGTTGACAACTTTACGGCTAGTTAACAATTCTTTATATTTCTCTGGTCAAAAAGAAATCTGTTCTGGTTCCTGTCTTCTTATTGGACCTTAACTGATAATCATGGGAAACGTATCAAATGTGAAAAAAAGGAAGACTTTTTCTACAAAAAATGATGAACTAAACAGTCTGAAAATTATTTCACCCAGAACAAATTCAGCAAATTGAGATTCAACACTGTCAACTAAAAATTTAAACCTCTCTGCAGAAAAGTATTTCCTTGGCCACTGATGATTCAAAGTTTTCAAGCATAAATCCAGTTATGTGATTTTGGAGGTATAAGCTCAGGGCAGTGTTACAGAACTAGGATGATCACATATTAAGTACTGACAGGACTTTCCCAGAAGCTCTGCTCTAGGCTGTTTTTGGAGTCTGAGAGTCTAGAGAGGAGTTAAGGATATAGATATCATGGAAATGGATTAGAATACTAGGAAATAGACATGCCTTTTTTCTGGGTATGTTCACAAGAAGATCATGCCTAACAAATTAATATTATTTAACTATTAAGTAGTAAAAACAGAAGCTTTAAGAAATTAAATGCATTGAAGTATGTTCAAATCAAATGGGATTGCTTGATAAAACATATTTTGTTTCCATTTAGAATAATCGTTTATAAGTCCCTAGTATAAGAAAACCATCTCAAAATTCCAAACGACTGTTGTCTTTAATTTGCATAAAATAATTTAACTATGACTCAGCTTAACAAAAATTAGTTTGCATATTCATTCTTTGAGGTGGATTCCTTTCCCATATTGAAAATATATTATGATAGAGAAATACCTTAGATACATCTCAATTTAGTGGCATTTTTGTGTCCTCATATGTTATAAAATATAATTTTGTGCACAATTTTTGAAAATCACATTCTATTTAGGAGTGGGAGGTGAAGCAAGATGGCCAAATGGAAGCCTTCATCAATCATCCTCCCTTCAGGAACACCAAATTTAACAACTATTGACACAAAAAAGCACCTTCTAAAAACCAAAACTCAGGTGAGTGATCACAGTACTTGGTTTTTTAACTTCATATCGCTGAAAGAGACACTGAAGAGAGTAGTAAAGACAGTCTTGATTTTCCGATGCCACCCATCTCCTATTCCCTGGCAGTGGCCTCAGGGGTGGGGAGAGAGAATCTATGTGCTTGGAAGAAGAAAAGCACAGCAATTGTGGGGCTTTGCATTAAAACTCACTCCTGTCAACACTGGGCAGAACTCAGCCAACACACATGGACATGGAGGGAGCATTTAGATGAGCCCTAGCCAGAGGAGTGGTCAGAGCCTGAGTTTACCCAACCCAGTGGTCAGAGCCTGAGTTTTACTAAGCTTTGCCACCAAGGACTAAAGTGCTCTGGGGTCCTAAATAAACTTGAATGGTAGTCTAAGTTACAATGACTGCAACTCCCAGGCAAGTCTTAGTGCTGTCCTGGGCTCAGAGCCAGTGGAGTTGGAGGGCATGCAGCCTAGTGAGACACCAGCCAGGGCAGCTTGTGCCCCTTCTTCAACACCAGGCAGCACAGCTCATAGATCCGAAAAGTCTCCTTTCTTCTGCTTCAGAAGAGGAGAGGGGAGAGTAAAAAGGACTCTTGCAACCTGGATATCAACTCAGCCACAGTAGAATAGGGCACTGGGCAGAGTCATGAGGACCCCACTGCAGACCCTAGCTCCTGGATGACATCTCTAGACACAATTGGTCAGAAGGGAACCTGCTGCCTTGAGAGGAAGGACCTAGCCCTGGCATGATTTATCAACTGTTGATTAAAGAGCTGTTGGATCCTGAATAATCAGTACCTGTAACTAGGAGTACATGCCGTGGACTTTCAGTGAGACTCTTGAGACATGCTGGGTTCAGGTGTGACCCAGAATATTCACAGCTGTGGTGATTATGAGGAGAGACTCCATCTGCTTGAGAAAAGCAGAGGAAAGAGTAAAGGGGATTTTGCCTTGCAGCTTAGGTACCAGTTCAGCTGCAGCGAGGTAAAGCACCAGGCAGGCTCTCAGAGTCCCCAGTTCCAGACCTTGGCTCATGGATGGCATTTCTAGACCAGCCCTGGGCCACAGGGGAGTGGAGATTAAGTCCAATGTTTCCTTGTTGATTTTCTGTCTGGAAAATCTATCAAACGCTGAAAGTGGGTGTTGAATTCTCCAGCTAATATTGTATCAGAGTCAATCTCTCTTTAGCTCTAATAATATTTGCTTTATATATTTGGGTGCTCTAGTGTTGGGTGCATATGTGTATATATATGGATATATACACACATACACACATTGTTGTATCCTATTGCTGAATTGACTGCTTTATAATTATATAATTAACTTTTTTGTCTCTTTTTATAGTTTTTGACTTAAAATTTATTTTTTCCTGCAGATCATGAATATTTTTGTTTATCCAGTTTTTCAGCAACATCAAATTGACTTTTTAATTTGTGCCTACATGGGTGTTTAATAATGTTGCATTGTTTTGATTTCGCATGTCCTTAATTACTAGTTACATTAAACCTCTTTTCAGAAGCTTATTGGCCACATGCCCTTTTTTTTTTGAAACAGCCTTTTAAAATCTGTTACTATTTTTCTACTGAGTAGTTTTATGTTACAGATTGTAATACTGTGTGTTTATACACCCTTTAAAAATGTTCTGCCCAGTGGCTCACCCTGGTAATCCTAGCACTTTGGGAGGCCGAGGTGGGCAGATCACCTGAGGTTGGGAGTTCAAGACCAGCCTGACCAACATGGAGAAACCTTGTCTCTGCTAAAAAATACAAAATTAGCTGGGTGTGGTGGTGCATGCATGTAATCCCAGCTACTCAGGAGGCTGAGGCAGCAGAATCGCTTGAACCCTGGAGGCAGAGGTTGCAGTGAGCTGAGATTGTGCCATTGCACTCCAGCCTGGGCAACAAGAGCGAAACTCAGTCTCAAAAAAAAAAAAAAAGAAAGAAAAAGAAAATGTTTTGTCAATCTGAGTTTTGTGATTTAACTTTATTCATGATGTCTGAGGTTGAAGGAGGTTTTATTTTAATGTGGTCAAATTTAATAAACTTTTATTATATGTCTTTATTTTTGTATCTTGTTTAAAAACTCCACTGTTTCCTAAAGTCATAAATTTGCCCCTATTTTCTTCTAAATTTGAATATTTTACTTTGGGTTTTATGTATATCTGAAATTTATTTGGGGTATAATATGAATAAAAATATAATTTTATTTTATTGTATATTTGCCATTGATTCCCAGCACATTTTATTAAACAGTCAATCTTCCCCTTCTGATTTGTAATTCTCTCTCCATTCTATGCCAAATTTCCATGTGGTTATAGATAGATAGATATGTTTATATACACATATATTTTGTTCCTATGTATATCTCTTCCTGTATCAATATCACAGTGTTTTAAATAAGTTTCAAAATCTGGTAGAGTACATTTTCATATGCATGTACAGCTTGCAAGTGTTACTAGAAAAATGAAGGATTACTTTTTATCAGTTCATTTCTACCCATTTTAATATTTATTTTAATTAACCCTCTCTTTTCCAAATATTTCAGTGTATATGACACCTGCCTGCATTAGCAGTTTTGGTTGTTAATATTAGAAGCAGATGTTTCATTTAGAAATGCATCATCCAGCTGGCATATCTCTATTTAGCTAGTCAGTTTCTTGGCACAGACTCTGATGTTTATTTCTGGAGGTATTGAGAGATATATATGTATGCATGCTTGAATGTATGTATATATTAGGATGTTTGTGTGTGTACTCACATGCATTTTTGAGGCTACTAGTTCAATAATCATCCCATATGATTAATAAGAAAGATTCAGGAAGTATTTCATCCGCGGTCACACGTACATAACCAAGAGTCAATTATGGAATTCTGAATATTGCTTTTATCCTGGAAAGGCATTTTCTCTTACATTTCAGTGAACAAGATAGTAACTGGCAAATCAACAGAACTTTTGAAAGGGTTTCAATTCATTTTTTTAAAACTGTAAAGTGATAAAAATAACATTAAATATTTTATCACATGAAAAGGTGTGAAGTCACTTAGACAGCTGCAAGACACCTGGCTTTTTATGACTCTAGATAGAATCATTCTAGTCAGAGAATTTCTCATTGAGTCCTGTGAATGAGTCTCTTTAGTTATACTCACTGAAATTACATGGCAAATGCAAAAGCAAACTAGTATTTTAAAGGGCAAAATATTCTTCAAACTCATTGGTATTTGAACTTTATGACTCTATGATTGAAGATGAGCTCATCTTGATTCTTATTAACATAGTTTTTAACATCTACACTAAATTCCAGTCATCTCTTTGGACTCAAACCATCAGTCAGCAATAAAAAAGTCAACTACTTACATCTTAATGTTTTATATCCTATATATTTTATTTTAACAGATGCCCATTAAGTATTGCCTAGATGCCAGGTTCTATTTTGGGTGCTGAATATACAGAAGTGGACAAGTCACAGAACCTTCTTCAAGAATTTAGCAAGAAAGGGAAATAAATACTTAGAAAGCCTATGTAACAAATGACTTTATAATAGTGACCATTCACTGATTGTCCCTTGTGTACCAGACACTTTATTTAAAATGTCTTTAATTATCGCAACAATCCTATGTACATTTTTCCTTATCACACAAATGAGGAAACTGGAGATAATGCAGTCTAAACAAATTTCCCAGCGTATTTCATAACCAACCTTTATTATATAAAAAGATATTTTGAAATTCAACAGTATTTTATAACCAAACCTTATTACATAAAAATACATTTTAGTTGATTATTTAACAAGAATGTTTCCTAGACCCTAACACCAAAAAGTAGTCTTATTGCTACCCAAGTGTTAGTTCTATTAAGTGGTAGAACCAAATATATTGCAAAACTATTGTTTTCCCTGAGCTCCTGAACGGCATATTGGGTAGGAGTTTGAGAGTTGAAATGGGAGGATCATGAAGAGATATTGATATTGGAGGAATGTTTCACAGAGGAAGATGTAGCTGAACTGAATCTAAACAAATGGTTCACCCAGTGGGACTCAGCACCCTTGCCAGCAATTAGAAAGGCTGAAGAAGGCATCCAGATTAGAGAGACTTACTCATGCAAAGACCTGGAGGCTTGATGTTATATAGGGATGCATATTATATAGGGATTTTAAATATTTTTATATGAGCGAACTCCATAGCTAACATGCATGCCTTGATCCCTATAATTCAACTATTTTTCTAAAAATTCAGAGGACCTGCTCCTCTCGTAACATAAAAAGATAAAAATCTTTAATGGCTCTTATTATACATAAAAGTGGTAGTTTCTGAGCTTTCTAAGGGCTTGTGTTTTATTATGCTTGCTGATATGGTTTGGCTGTATGTCCCCACCAAATCTCATACCTAATTGTAATCTTCAGTGTTGGAGGAATGGCCTGGCAGGTGGTGACTGGATCATGGGGGTGGACTTCCCCGCTTGCTGCTCTCCTGATGGTGTGTGAGTTCTCATGAGATCTGGTTATTTAAAAGTGTGTAGCACTTCCCCCTTCTTTCTCTCTCTCCTGCTCCACCATGTGAAGAGGTGCCTGCTTCCCCTTGCCCTTCTGCCATGATTGTAAGTTTCCCTGAAGCCTCCCCAATCATACTTCCTGTACAGCCTGTGGAACTGTGAGTCAATTAAACCTCTTTTCTTTACAAATGGCTCAGTCGCAGGTAGTTCTTTATAAAGATGCAAGAATGGACTAATACACTTGCCCAAAGAAAAGTACTAGATATTGTAATTACAACAATAATAATACAGGACCAGTAAGCCATAGTATCTAATCAGAAATCCCAAGGAAAAAATTAGTAAATGTATACCTTTTATTTTCCCACCTAACTTAACAGCCAAACTAATTTACCACTATATGTTCCAAAAGATTTAGCAGTGACAATGCTGCTGACATAGGAGACTAGATAAGTAGAGACAGTGAATGAAGAAAAATTGTAGTACTAAACATTATGTTATAGTGATATTCTCTGCATGTCTAAAGACATCATTTGAAATGGTTTTTACACATCTTTGCCACCAGGTTGAGCACTGGCAGATATCTGTGGCAACTACTTTGTAAGTGAATGATATCACATATTAAGGGCTATCTGCAGGGAGCCAATTAAAATAATTGAGATGAATGTCTTAGGCTAGGAATGAACCTCCAAATACTTCACTAGCAGAACAGAAAAATAATTCCTAGGAAAAAAAAACACAAATCAAACCTTATTTATGGATCCCATGAATACTGCATTAAGTAACTAGTTGTAGAGTGTACCAAACTTGACAATTTATTTTTCTGTAAAAGACTTAAATACAACTAGCAAGTAAAAACCACAGGCTACTTGCATATTTTCAAAATTTGAAGCTTGCTTCTCAAATTAACAAAACAAAACACCAATACTGTGAATGGCTTATATTGGTTAAATGTAGAAAATATTCTGAGGTTGTCCTTGGCGAAGATGATATAGCCTGACTAACATGGTCAATCAGAATAAAAGTAAAATAAAATTTAAAAAATGGAATGCTATAGAGTACAGTACAAATAAAAGCACAGTACCATGTGGTTTGCTTCAGCATTAATGTAAAATTGGATTGAATATATGAGAAATGGAAAAGATTTTCCTATTTTTAAATAATCACAGAAATTCCTAATTACTGTTAACTGTTTTTTTAACATGCTGTTAACATAATACATATGTTTTATTTAAAAATCTTATTGTGTTAGAAAAAGCCTTTACCAGTTTACTAATTTGCTATAAAATATGCACTTTTTTTCAATGTATTAAAAAAGCAGAAGAGCTTTCAGTTGACTCTTTACTAAGGATATTTCCTAGAACATAACACCAGAAATGAAAATCAAGTTAATTCCCCATGATTTAAAGATAAGTTGAATATATCATTAAACAACAGTAATTTTTATGATTTTATATTTAAAAAATCATAAAAAGTCAATTGTTCCAATTCACATTTCTCAAGATATTATTACTTATACTAGATCTTTTTCCAAAAAAGAAGAAAAAATTTTGAAAGTACTTAAAGCATTCAGACAGTGGTACAAGATAGAATAAGTGAAAATATCAGACAAATATTATCAAAGTTAGTAACCAAATTTTTTTAAGTAGAGGTTAATTTTTATTTATATTTGTGAAGCTAAAGAGAGCAAATGTTCAAAATATTTAAAGAGAATTCCTAGGAAAAAGCCTGGGGATAAGAAGGATTCCATTTTAGATGTATTAGCTATCAGCATAAATGTCTGCTTGCAATTAGAAATTTGTTCCTCAATTCATGAGAACCATGAAGGCTTGAGATATTAAGTTTAGAGTCACCTTCAGAAAGGAGTAATCATTAAACTACTTGTGATTTCTTAGAGTTACATAGTAGAAAAACAGTATCAGAGAACGGGAACTATAATCTTGGATTCACTCATATTTAAAGAGCTTAAAGAAGAGAAGTCAGTCAAGGAATTGAGAAGTTCTAGTAGGGAAAGAAGGAACATTGAGATGGCAGGGACCTCAAACCTGAAGCTGGAGACAGTTTTAAGTGGACCAGCTTAGCGTGCAGTCACACAGGACACAGCGCTTAGATAGTAGCCATGTTTGGTTTATATTCTGTCTTCCTGTGCTCTTGACTTAAGAATTTCTGAACAAGGGGCTCTGCATTTTCATTTTGCACTGGGCCTTGTAAATTATGTAGCTAGTACAAGTTTCAAAAATGAAAGTTGGAGTCAGCTTGGAAGTAGACTAATAAAGGTCTCCCAGGATTCTCATTAAAATGCCTGTGACTATATGAAAACAGACCCCCAAAATGGTCATAATGCTACAAACTAACAAAGAAGAAAAGTCACATGCCAAATATCTGGGCAGAAATTCAATTATGTGCTTCCTTGAAGAAGATGAATGCAAAAGTACATTATTGGACAACATACCTAATATTGCATGCCCAGAATCATAGTTTGGCAGATGGCCACAAAATATAAAGGTGGAGATGAGGATGAACACACTGGTTTATTGATACTTTTAGTGCCCAACCTTGATATGTAGGGACACCAAGACCAGAGAGAAAAAAGCCTTCTTCCCCTAAATACAGTTGCTGTCTTTGAAATGAATCAAAACCAGAATCCAGAACCTTCTGAGCCAATCAGTTCTCAAACCCTGCGTGCATTCAGAGAGTACTCTGAGGATGACCTGTGCAGGAAGTAGATGGCAGCAAGAGAGGTTTAGACAGTTCTCTTCATACGCCTTGGAATGATTAGCTGCCTAAAAACATCACTATACATAGGATTGAGAAAAAGTAGATGGTCGGGAATAACGCATGATTCTGGTGGGATGTGGTAGAGTATTTCAGAACCAAATAAGAACTGTAAACTGCATATGCATCTCTAGCTTGGTCAGACAACCCTAACCACGGAAGCAGAAGGAACTGAGGCCTGTCAGACTTAAATTGCCGTAAGGCTGTGGCCACATACCTTATTTTCTGGCTGAGAAAGTAGAAAAGGCTAGATCCTACTCAACTATAGGTGGTATCTGGACACTCTATGTATGGATCCTGTCTGTTATTTAACAACAGAACTGCAGGGAGAATAAATTGAAAACAGAACTGCGGGGCTGAATAAATTGAAAAATAGAAAATATTTGGTAAATTTGGATTTATTGGTGAAACCAACAAAAAACATTGGTTGCCAGGTTGTGTTCTGCTAATTAGATAAGGTATTTTATTTATCTGAAATCTGGCACAACTAGAGTAATGATACTAATTAAGGATCTGAGCATTAGGAGCTGGGAGAAAAAAAATGTTACCCTCTCATGATTGTTCTTCTCTTCTCCATGTGTTGAAAATGTATCCATCCTTCAAAGTTGGCTTGAAAGCCACCACTTTTGTGAAGGTTTCTTTTGATTAATTTTATATTGACTTATTTTTTCCTTATCTGAATTCTCATTTTGTATATTTCTATTTATTGTTTAACATATGGTTCTGTATTCATAATTATATTTTTATTTCACTTAACACATTATGTACTCAACGTTAAATGATTTTTTTTTTTTTTTTTTGGAGACGAAGTCTCACTCTGTCACCCAGGCTGGAGTGCAGTGGCACGATCCCAGCTCACTGCAACCTCCGCCTCCCAGGTTCAAGCAATTCTCCTTCCTCAGCCTCTGGAGTAGCTGGGATTACAGGTGCACGACACCACACCCAGCTAATTTTGTATATTTTAGTAGAGACGGGGTTTCACTATGTTAGCCAGGCTGATCTCGAACTCTCGACTTCTGGTGATCTGCCCACCTTGGCTTCCCAAAGTGCTGGGATTACAGGCGCGAACCACTGCACCCGGCCCTGATTTTTTTATTTTCTGTGACATTCAGCATTTTTGGGGTAGGGAATAACATTCCTGTATACCTTTCCCATCCAACCTTCTAACTCCATTTCAAGCCTAATACAGAAGTAGACACATAAAAATTATCATAATTGCCAAGGGAAACAGGAATGGCTAAAGAAAGGCAATAAAGAGATAAAGGAAATATAGATTTAGAGATAGGGTTTCTTTTTAGCTTAGAGAAGATAATTTTATAATTATACATATTTATAATTTCACAGGCAAGTATGTGATTAACTTTCTTAATAAGAATTTAGTCACATCTCACAAATAAGAATATAAGCTCCACAAGGCAGGATTTTTTTTTTTTATTTCACTGTGCTTAATACAGTGCTTGACACAAGGTAGGCACTTAATAAAGATTCATTGAATGAGTAAATGAATGGATGAATTATGGATATTGGGTACATAACTCAGAAAATGAAATAAACTGACAGGCTCTATGCACTTTCTATATATGTTTTCCTTTTCATCTTCAGGTGTATAAGTTGTTTCTTTAACAAATAGAGAAACTGAGGCTTCAAATTTTAAATAGTTGGATCAAGATTACATAAAGTATTCAGTGGTGAACCTGACAATCAAACCAAGAACTGCCTTATTCCCTCCAAAGCCATTCACTTTCTGCTATATAGTAACACAATTGTAGAATACTACTTTTTAGGCTGGGTGTGGCGGCTCACGCCTGTAATCCCAGCACTTGGGAGGCTGAGGCAGTCGGATTACGAGGTCAGGAGGTCGAGATCAGCCTGGCAAACATGCCTGTAGTCCCAGCTACTGTGTAAATATTTCTCACTATCAGATTTGGCCCAATATCTTTAAGTAGGGATTCAGGACAATCTTGCTGTGATTTTAGAAATAGCCCAGAACTGCTAACTTCAATGTCTACTAAAAATACAAAAACAAACAAACAAGAAAAAACAAAAAAAATTAGCCAGGCATGGTGGCACACGCCTGTAGTCCCAGCTACTCGGGAGGCTGAGGCAGGAGAATCGCTTGAACCCGGGAGGTGGAGGTTGCAGTGAGCCGAGATCGTGCCACTGCACTCCAGCCTGGGTGACAGAACGAGATTCCGTCTCATAAAAAAAAAAAAAAAAGAATACTACTTTGTATTCATGAAGGAAAGCAAGAGAAAATAGGACCTTTAATGTGTCAAATGATATTTAAAATTAAACATAAGAAAATTATACATTACGATTGTTGCATTGCAGGGTCTCACTCTCGCCCAGGTTGGAGTGCAGTGGTATGATCTCAGCTCACTTCAGCCTCGATCTCCTGGGCTCAAGTAATCCTCCCACCTCAGCCTCCCAAGTAGTTGGGTCTACAGGTATGTGCCACCCTGCCCAGCTAATTGTTGTATTTTATTGTAGAGATGAGGTTTTGCCATGTTTCCCAGGCTGGTCTCAAACTTCTGAGCTCAAGTGATCTGCCTGCCTCAGCCTCCCAAAGTTCTGGGATTAGAGGTGTGAGCCACCATGCTTGGCCTGCAATGGATTTCTAATAAGGATGTATTTTTGACACGCAACTGAATGGCAGATTAGGCACCGATTTCAAGTTTAAAATTCTACTGTCCTCTGTCCCTTAAAGTGCCATTAGGAAAGATTAATCTTAATTTTAAATCCATATATATAATATAAATTCATATATATAGATATAGATATGGATTTATAGATATATCTATATTCTGCAGTAAAAGTATGTGCTTGTGTTACTTGCAAATTTACATTTCTGTTTTATTCCTCATAGCTGTTACATTCCTTAGTTGGACACAAACCCCAGTTTGGACTCTCCCACCCAGAAGCTTAATAATGCCAGATATTTGTGAGACGTTGAAAAATTATCTTCAACTGTCAACTGTACCCCAACATTTTAAGTATAGGACTATAAAATGACTTGTCAAAACAGAAACTAATTTTACCTCAAAAGGCTTCCAGTTCTGCACACAGAGATAAAATCTTTTGAAGAACTACTGAAAATTAATGCAATATTTTTTCCATATCGCACTGAGAGATGCTGTAACTAGATCCAATTCATTTTGTTATTATGGGCATATAAAATCCCTGCCTTATGTTATAATATCCTTTTTTGTAAACCTTATTTGCAATTATAATCTAAATTCACTTGCCTCATAGTGAAACTTACCCAGCTTCTTCAGAGAAATATAGGTTAAAAAGTCCCTGGCATATGGTGAGATCTCAATAAATATTTGTTGAATGAATTGAAACTCACATACTTTCACATTTTGGTAATCACTTCTCTAAATAAGGAATTAATGTTGCTTCATCTTTTAGATTCCACTGACAGAACTGATGGTGCTAATGAACCATCAGCCTATCAATATCAAAGAAGATAAGATTTCTAAAACTTGGCTTTCATCAATATACTAAAATATTTTAATTGAGTGAAAATTAAATCCTATCTCATTTACCATGAATAAAAATGTTTCTCATTTACAAAACAGATTCCCTTAGATGCCTTTTGGAACAAAGTATCTACATAGCTATTGCAACTGGCTAAAAGAAACTTGTTTAATTAAAATAGCTTTTTGATTAAGCAAAGATTTGACAAACATATTTTTTGGATAAACATTCAAATATAACTTTATTCAAAAGATATATTCTGATGGCTTGTGCATCTTTTCCACTAAGTTATAATTCAATTAACAAAAAGAAAAGATAGCATAGACTATGTTCAGAAAAATGAAGTTAGCACCACTTATGGAAGAAAGCTTCATTTAGTGCTGAATAGGTAAGAATAACAGTGCCTCTTGAGATTTGTATTTTTTTTTAATCTTCTTAAGGGAGACATTGAAGAAAAACATAGTGAAGATGGAAGATGGGATGATGGTCTGTGTAAATATTTCTTACTATCAGATTTGGCCCAATATCTTTAAGTAGAGATTCACAACAATCTTGCTGTGATTTTAGAAAAAGCCCAGAACTGCTAACTTCAAGCTAGACACATTAGGTTCCTTGCTGTTCCTGAACAAATTCATCTCTTTTTTAGGTCTTGACTAATTTCCTGGTTACAGCCCCCTTCTTGACCCAAACTCAATGCTTAATATCACCCCATTGGCTTTAAACCTCTGATTTCTGGCTTCTTTCTTCCACTACAATGTTGAACTTTTCATGATCTTGCTTCTGATTGTTCCATTTTAACTCACAAGGCCTTACACAATGACACTAGCTCTGGGGACCAGCTAGTGTCTAAAGTTCTGGTTTAATTCTTGAGATTGAAAGAAATAGACTTCTCAAAAGATCAGAAAAGAACTACTCCAGGAAATTTCAAATCTTGCCATTCATTTTCTATATGCAGATAACACCTAAATTGCATCTTTAAATCTACCTTTCTCATGAGCTTCAGCATCCCAGGTGAGACACCTGAGAAATATCTCCCCTTAGACATCCCTGTAGCCTCTAAAATTCAAAATGTCCAAAACCTTATTTACCACATTTTCCCATCTGATACCTCAGGCCTTACACATGGCCGCCACCTATAGGTCTCCCTTGCAGTCTCTATTTGTATAGAGACATTATCATTCTTTCAAGTCTACCTGCAACCAAACTCATGGTCCATCTCCAATCCCTACCATTCTGCATGAAGTTTAGGCATTTGTGGATTTCGTATAAAATCACATAAAATTGTGAGTATATGAATGGCAAGGGCATTGTTTTTTTTCAGATTCTCATATTCTAATCAATTACCAAATCCTATTTAAGTATTTACCAACTCAGAGTGTCAATGTTAAAAGGGACTTTAATGATCACCTAAGTTACCCACCTCTATGTTATTTGTTCTATTCCATTATTTATTCATAAGCCACCAATGATGTCTATTACAAATACTCTTCTATCTGGTTCCCCAGCCTGTAGTCTCTCCCCACTCTAAGCTATCCTTCAAACCACATTCACGTTAAGCATCCTAAAATAAATATCACTAGTCTGCTAAAAATATTAGTAATATCCCATATCCTACCCAAAACATATCAGACTTGTAGAGTGTTTTAATGTTGTCAAATAACTTTCACATGTTATTGCATTGTAATCCTCCCAACAATCTTGATACCCAAAGCAGCTCAAAGTAATAAGTAATTCTCTCACTCACTTCACCTCGGGAAGCAAACTTTCTATAAAAAGCACATCAAAGTTTACTCTAGTAGCTTAATGTCTCCAGATAATAGGTAAGGTAGATAATTTGAGCTCTGTGGGAAATGATGTTTATTTTCTCCATGATCTGTTTTGGTGTCCTGACAATTAGGAATTCATCATTTCTTTCAGAACTGTATTTGTCAAAAAGGAACAGTGTAAGGTAACACCTAGGATGCAGTTATTGCTTTATTACTTTTTACAGTAAAAACTAATATTCACTAAAGATGCTCCTCATAAAAGCCTAAAGCAATAATCGCAATTATTATAACATGTAATTATAAACTAATTAATATGATAGTATGGCTGAAGAGCAATACATTATTTGTTAAAACTTGATTAGGTGGAAGATTCCCTTAGCTTTCTCTTTGTGCTGAGAAATAATTAATATAGGTGAAACTTTGGTATTTGTATTCAGAAATTTATGCTTTTTTATTAAAGAAGAAATAAAAAGTCAAAATCCACAATGTGCTATAAACATCAAGGTGACTCTTAAAAGATTTGGGTTTACCAAGTTACCTTCAAACTATTTCAGCACAAAACACAGAATACTCCGGAAGGTTTGTCAAAGTTTTCTCTCTTTTACTCCTTTCCCATTTATTTCATGGATTCATTTATTATTCACAAAGTGGAAAATAATCCTGGAGATATTAATTTAGACGACTACTGAGATCTAAGCTAAAAGTATTCTTTTAAAAATTCCATGGCCTCTGAAACCTTTTGCAGAATTAATTTTCAAGTGTCTATAAATTTCATCTGAGGGATTCCGATTGTGGGTGGTAGCAAGGAAAGTTCAGAGATGAATAACATGTTGTGAATATAAAATTACCAAACTATGCATGTGAAGTGGATTCAAGGTTGGTTCATTTAAATTGGAAATGAGAGGAGATATGGTTTATTATGAACACAATTACTGGTTCCCTAATAATGGGAAATAACAACAAAAACAAAATATTGTTGATCAAACGAAGTATTGATAAAAAGAATTCAAATGTTAGCAGCTTTTATTTTTTCTGGGTTTCTCTGTCATTCTCAAGATTAAGTGATACTATCTAAAAGTTACTCTCCTAAAATATGAGCTCTTTTAAGTTTTGGGAAAATCCTGTTTTAAGAAAAATCCGTGGATATTTGGAATTGCTGATAAAGAGCAACTTTTGTTTTGTTTTTTCTCCAGATTGATTTTCCTCCCAACCTACAAATATTAGTTAATTCTTACAGATCATTATGGGCCAAACACTGTTCTAAGGGCTTAACATACGTTCATATATGTCAACTAACTTTATTCCTACAACAACCTTTAAGGAGTTGATATTATTGGCTCCATTTTACAGATGAATAAACAGAGGCACAGAGAGGTTATTTTCCCAGTGTCACACATATAGAAAGTAGCAGAATTGAGATGTCATTATTGTTGTACTGAAAACAATGATACCCAATGCAAATATTATCTTGTATTAATTTTCCAAATTCTGATGAGTGAAATCAATATTGAAAAAAAATCACAGTGGGACAAACTGGAATTTGTCCAGAGGAAAGTAATTAGGTTGGTGAGCAGTTGAGAGAAGTGTCAAGTAGAGGTTGTATATCCACCCATCAGAAAAGTTTTAGCAAGGATCCCAGAGGCTCGATCCCTTTTTTTAGAATCTAGAATTCCAAGTACATCACTTAATATTGATGGTAGTGCAATTACATGAAGAGATCATCATAAACAAAAAGAATAGGGAATATTCTATTTTTCTTTTGAGCTGATGTCCTTGATCCAAATTTTGTGGGGTTCATTCAATGGCTGCCTTGAAAAGTTTCAAATCTTTCTGATGCTCTTTAGCTGTTAAAGTGTTTTAGCTAGTAAATAGTGTTTCAGAGAGGATGTGACAGAGTTTATTTTCCTGCCATAAAGGAGGTTCTTTTCTAATAATACTCCAGCTGGAAGATCTTCTGCCTACTAAAAAGCCACCCAATCACCATGGTGAGATGGAGAAGAGGACAGAATGAGAAGCAGTTACCCATAGAACAAAGGCTGTTCAGAACAGGGCTAGGCCATGAAGGGAGAATCACACAGATAAAGTGATCCCATATTTGGGAAACAAACAAAACTGTTATGGTCATTTTTGCAGAATTTATTGTAGGACAGGTCTGCTTGTCATCAATCATTGATGACTAAACATTAAGCAACCTCGGAAAGAGATGGGAGGCTTCTGAGTAATATGAGTCCTCATGCAAGAAAGATAGAGAGAAGAGGATGAGGGGAGAGAGGGAAATGCAGAGTTAATGTAGACCAAGGCTAATGTAGACCAAACCCAACAAGAGTTGGTTGGGTTTGCAGAATCTGAGAGAAAATAAGTCTGAACCCAAAATAAAACAGTACCTTAAAAAACTTTAGTCTTAATGGAAAGTATTTGAAATTTATTACAACTCTCCTGTAAGTCATCTGTAATTGTATATAATGAAGCTTAAGTTAACTATATAGTAAACTTAATATAGATTTTTTTTCTATAACATAGATTTGAATTTCCAATAACATTAGTTCCATAAGCCTTCAGACTGTTGTTAAAGATGGGCATGAAATAAATGCCTCTAGAAATTCCTACCCTGCTTCTAGAATTAGACACATAGACCAAGCCTGGAGTCTTCACTGTGTTGTTCAATTTTGGTTTTTTAAAATATTGAGGAAATTAATTACCTCTTTGAACTTCAGTTTCTTCTCCTGTAAACTGGACATAAAAACAGAAGTATTTTAAAATGTTGCTGTATGGATCAAATAAAAACCTATTTTTACGTAAAAAGATAAAAAGATCATCACTCTTAAATGAATAGCAACAAAAAATCAGATAATTTGTAAAATTACAGCTTTTCTTGAATTAATGAGTGCTGAGGTCACAGGGCAAGCAAGCAATTTAAAATTTAAGGAAAAGTAGGCACCTCTAATGAGAGGCAGATGTGAATACTTGCTTACCTATGGTCAATGTCAGATCTTATACAAGCCAGTTAAAATTTTTTTTCAAAACTCAACTAAAATTTTCAATGAACTGCTGAAGGCTGAGTGTGTATTAGTGTAAGCATCTAGAAATACAGCTCAAGAGAAATTTACACTAACTCACTGGATCCTCTCCACAGTTCTTATGAGGAATATTGGGGGCAGAGAACTGGGAAAGCCTCCCTAATGGCATAAGCCTGGAGGAGGGAACAGCATCTGCTGCACGAAGGACAAGAAGGCTCACTCGGATGTTTCTTCCTTATTTCCCGTCCTGAACAAAAGCCATAAAATTCTAGAGGAAGAGACATGAAGCCTGTTGCACTCACTGCACAGATGAAGATCTACTGAGGCAGGAGAAAGGGAAAAGAAAATAACATCTCCACTGGTTGTCAAGGAACAGGAATATAACATGAGTGAAACCATTTGAGATCTCTTTCAGGTGAAGGAAGGGTAAAATCACTGAGGAAGCCTCATCCACAAGAACCAAAGCAAGCACCTGCCTAAGACAGAGCCTGAACCAGAACAACAGAGAGGACCACCTTGTTCCTACACCACTGGTCTAATAAGCTTTGAGGGACATGTGATGGCAATCTCTTGCTGGGAGAGGGTCAAGAGCAGAGAAAGAGAGAGAGAGATAAAAGAGAGATTGATTCTCTGAAGTTTAGGCAAGGGACAGAGGAAAGATCTAAAGCCGATGATGGAGTAATCATTGAGAAAAACCCTCTGGTAAACTGGCACCCAGCCTAAATGTGAGGTAAGACTAGACAAAAATAAAGACAATGATGCACTGAGGCTACTCATAGCAACAGCAAAATCTAAACTCAGATTGACTCAATTGTCCATGTGGAAGGCCAGCAAGAGATAAGGAGTGTTTATTTCCTGGAACAAATAATATTTAACTCAGTCTCTACTATACTACCTAAGATGTCTCCATTTCAACCAAAAAACATGAGATGCACAAAGAAGCAAAAAATAAAACAAAATAAATGTGCTGTTAAGAGACAAAAAAATGTATAGGACCAGATATAGATAGGATATAGATGTTGAAACAATCAGAGAATTTTTTAAAAGATGATTAATATGTGGGAGGCCCAAACAGAAAACTTGGGCAGCATTCATACTCAGCTAAGTCATTTCAGCAGAGAGATGGAAGTTTTAAGAAAAAATGAAACACAAATGTTAGATATGGAAAGCATAGTAAGACAGATAAAGAATGTCTTTTCTGAAACAATTAGTAAATGTGATACAGCCAAAAACAGAATCAGTAAACTTGAAGACAGGTCAACAGAATTTACCCAAACTGAAAAGGAAATAGAAAAAAGAGTAAGACAGCAAAAAAGAACAGAATACCCAACAGCTATGTGACTACATAAAATGATCTAATGTATGTGTAATTGGAATCCTGGATAAAAGAAAAGAGAGAGAGAGAGAGAGAGAGAGAAGACAGCAGGAAAAAGTATTTATGAGATAATGGTCAGTCATGAGAATTTTCCAAAATTAAAAATTAATTACAGTCATAGATCACAGATGCATTAAGCTTAAAGAAGAAATAAGTAATAAATACAAAAACAAACAAATAAAATATAGACATAAATTGATTCACACAGCTAAAAACTAAATATAAATACAAAATCCTTAAGGCAGACAAATAAAAAATTACATTCAGAAGAATAGAGATGAGGACTATATTATACTTTTTATTAGAAACCATGCAACAGAAGAAAATGAAGAGAAAGCTTTAAAGTGATAAGAAGAAAAAAACCTGTCATCCTATACTTCTATATTCAGTGAAAATATATCTCAAAAATCTTGAGAAAACCCTTTTTCTTCATAGAAACCTAAGTGCAGAGAATTTATTACCACTACTCTTGCACTAAAGGAAACTCTTAAAAAATTTCTTCATGCAGAATCTGATACCAGACAGGAACTTGGAATTACATCAAGACATAAGGAATGCTAGAAAGGGCATAAATAAAAGAAAATATGAAATTTATTTTTTCTTATTTTTATTTTTTTATCTTATTTTTAACTAAGAGAAATGTGCTGATATCAAGTGTTAGAAAATGTTATTTGTTAGTTTCTTTACACTGCAGACAAAATGCTGGTCTTTGGAGGAGGATGACCACTAATCAGAATTTTGCCTGGCTTATTTTTCTGTAACGTGTTATATGCTATGGTTGAAAAGGTAATTTTGTATAATTTATTCAAACTTTCTATTATAGACCCCAAAATTATATTTTAAAATATGTTTATTATTGTTCTAACTTCGTATAATTCATTTTATCTTAGGCATTGATTAGTTTCCATAGAGAAATACATAATGTAATTTGAATTTCGCTGGAACTAACTTGATCTAATCTAAACGTTCATTGAATAAAATACAATACTGCAGAAAGACAATTTCTTCAATCACACATACCTTGATATAGTTAAATAGAATAGCATAATGATCTAACAATAATATCATTTCTAAGTATGAAACTCACTATACCAGTTTTTACACAAAAAGTGTTAGTTCAATAAAATAACATGGGTTATAATAGGATTTACTTTATAGTTTATCAATATATCTATAGAAAGCTACCATTGGGAAAAGATTTTCAGCCACAGACTATAAAATATCACTTTTGTATTTCTGAAAGCCATAGGTTTGTTTTTCACAATTGCCATTGATAGATAGCTAATCACAAGGACTTCAGAATATAAAGAACAGAAAGACTTTTTCCTACTTTGTTTCTATATATTCATAATTTTTATATAAAATATTTGCTTTAAACTCAATGTCTTGAATGTCTTCACTGATTATCCCACAGATTCCTCAAAGTCAACTTACTTTCTCCCTCCTCATCTCTATTCACTGCCACACATCTGTCTCAGTCAAATATGCTCATCCTCTGCATTCCATATGTCATAGAATGCACAACAACTCATCCAGCTGTCCACATAGGAAACTAGAAATTATCCTTATCTTCTCCTATTCCTGCCTCTAGGTAATCACAAGTCATATTAATTCTACCCCCATTTTATATTTTTGGATCTCTCCACCATTTATGTGATTGTGGCTGGTCGTTCTTCACCTAGACTGTTACAATAACCTCATTGCTCTCCTAGTTCTAGTTTTAACTTTTTTCAACCTAGTCTTATGAATGTAGCTCAAGTACCAATTTGACTATCCTACTCTGATGCTTTAAGTTCTTTGTTTTCCATGTGCTGGCACCTCCTCTTCCTTCCATCCTCATCTCTCAACACTTTCAGGCCCTTTATGTTCCAGCCACATTGTGTTCTCAGAACCTGACATTGACTTGCTCATCCCTGGATTTTTGCCCTGGTTGCTCTTTTCCTTCAACTGAGTAACTCCCACCTGTGCTTCAGGACTCAACTTAGGCTTCATTTCTCTGGAATCTAACCCTGACTCCTTAACCCCAAATTAGCGGAGGTTACTCAACTCTTCATATCTACTCCCATTGCTCTTTGCACTCTTCCCTTTCATATATACTCACATTGCATTCTATTTGCCTATTTACTTGTTCAACTCCACAACAATCTTTTAAACTTCCTGGAAGTAGGGACAAGATCATTTCCATTCTTAGATCCTCAGATACATGCCTCTTGAAAGAGTGTACTTGTGGGTAGGCATCCTGTGGCTATTTGTTGCTAATGGCTTGTGCTTGAATAACACCTAATGAAAGCAAAATATTATTCTTCATTTTAAATCACAACTTAAATCCAAGCTTCCCATCCTACTAGGATTCCTAATCTGTCAACTCTGTTTGTAAATGCAGATTAGTAAGGCTTGTGAAACTGAGGAGCTCCTTTATCCTGTACCTTCACAGCCAAGTTCTTATGATGACTTGCCAAGTGTTTGACTCTTGATCATTTCATTTTTCAGTTTCTAAAGTCAAAACCAGGTTCTCTTCTAATTAAAAACAGAGAGTGGAGTTTATTTGAGCTCTGACAAAGAACAGTGGTCTCCCTCTTCCTTTCTAGAAATATACTTCAGACATGAAGGAGGCGCTTTTGTAAAAAGGCATTCCTGACTTCAAAGAAAAAATGGGCACCCATCTGCCCTTTCATTCTCTTTCTGAAATAAGCATGCCATATCTAAGGACCAAGTTTTCAAAATCAGAATATAAAACCCTCTACACCTGTACATCTCTCTATCATTTGATTGATTGCTTTGGTTCTCAAAATAGAAATGTATTTTCATCTTGCTGTGATGTTTATTGCCATGGCATCTGCATGGCTTTTCACATACAAGCACTTACAGAAAGCAGAACATAAACAATAGTTAGTAAGCATCACAGGATGGGAGTCAGCAGGGATGATCTCAGACAGAAGGGATTTTTTTCTTCCATTCTCTTTATTTCTAATCTTAAAACGGTTGGTTGCAGTGGCAGAGAGGGGTTGGCCAAAACAAAAAAAAGAGGTTAAAATAAAATTCTGTGTATCTGAATTAAATGTAGCATAAATAAATTGGATGTTGTACATATTCTGCCAAAATGGAATAAATTAATGTCAACTTCTAAATAAAATTTCTCTCTAATGGTCCTTTTTTCATATTTAAAATCAATTACAAGACAAAACTGGCATTTGGTCTGCATTTTTGTTCCCCTTGTTTTGAGGTTAATGTCTGACACATTCAATTCTTGCATACCAACTTTTGATTTTATTGTAATAATTTGGTTTCATGCATGATTCATGTACTTATTCATTCATCCAAAAAATATTTACAGGGCATTAAACATGTGCTATGCATTGAGGTATACACTGGGCATGGAGTCTAGTTCGAAAACATGTGAGTGCAGACAGACCCTGTCCTAAGGGAGTCTACCAGGTGAAGATGAGCCCACGTAAAACTTCCATTGTGTGCAGGACTAAGACCAACCTTATTTTCATGGCACATGGAATTGTTCATAATTTTTCTGCAACCTAACCTTCGAGCCTCACTTTTGTCCATCCACTCCATGTACCGTATTTTATAGACAACATACTGTCCTATTTGCCTATCTCCTTGACATGTTATGTTCTTCTAAACTTTCTTGACTTTAAGAAAGCTGGTTTCTCTTGCAGGATATTTGCATACCCCCTCTATTATACATTAAGACCTAGTTCTTAACATAAACTCTTGTATGGTTCCTTCTTTGATACTCATATTTGGGTAGAGTTGACCTCTCACGGGTGAGTATTTCCATAGCTAAGAGTAGGGGCTTTCTACTTTTTGCTTTTACTGCATGTACTGTATTATAATTATTTTTAAATTTATTCCCCTTCTTTACCTTTTCCATCACAACATTTGGTAGCAAAAGTACAGTGCAAAGCTGATTTAAAATTTTATTTGAATCAATGAATTCTGTGGTAGGAGAGAACGGACTGATTCTAGATGAGGAAAAAGGAGAGATTTCTAGGAGTAAGGGTCCCACTTTACTTAAAATTGCACCACAACTTAAATATAAGTCCAAAATTAGTTGTATATACAGTAATCAAAACATTTGACTCATTTATACTACTACTAAAGGCCAAGAAAATGACACCACATTGTTCCTTTTCCTCAAGAGGTTTAACCAGCTTTCTTGACTTCTTTCTCCCCAGACCCTATATCCTAAAGAACAGGGATCCTCCTGAAGTAAAAGCAGTTTTGAAATCTGTCAGTCGTTTTAGGCTATTAGGTATAATTTTACAAATAACCAGTATACAATCAACATAATCCCATGTGAGTTATTATCCTCAAAATGTGATTAAACATTTCCTTAAGATTTCTTCTAGAAATATTTTTCTAGTTATTTGATTTTTATTGCACTTTAATTAGAAATAGGTCCCCATTCCTTGAAAATATAAAGCAAAATAGCATTCTTTTTAAACACCCCCTTAAGTCTTTTAAACCCCGAACATAATTTCAATATAAAAAATTAAGTAAATACACAATCTTTTTTTCTTTATTATATTCCTCCTTTGATAATCTCTGAATGTAGTTTCCAGAGTAAAATAGAATATAAATATTCTTAAACCAAATCATGTAGGCGAAATTACAACTAAATGCTTTTTCTGTAATCACTAAATAAGGCATTTAACTAAGAAGCTTGTTTACTGAAAAGGAGTGTTTGGTTGTTTTTTTTTAAGTGATTTTAATGCTCATTAAAGCAGAGCATTGACAACATTGTACGTCTCAGTTTTGAATACACTTGCAGAAGCATACACAATTCTGCTTTCATACTACAGTGCCTCTCTCTAAGTTTCCTGCTCTACAACTCACCAGCTCTACAGAGACTTTTCCCCAGGTGTGATGACTGAGAAGCATCATTTGCTTCTCTAGCATTTAAAGGATGAGCCTGGGCTTCTGAGAGCACCAGAAAATGAGCAATCCACTCACTCAAAAATGGTTATTAACATGTTTTAGCATAAGCTTTATTACTTGTATTTAGAAAGAGAATTATAATTTTAATGGTCATTATGAACTTCCTCCATTAGGCAGATATATTTATCTAGCTCAAGGAAAGAGACAGGAACAGAGTGATACCTTGCCTTTGGGGCATTCATAAGTTATGTGTGCCAGAGCTCAAAAATGGAGTAATGAAAAGTCCAACATAGTTCATATTTTGTCTTTGGAACAATGGAAATCATTCTATTCTCTACAGCAGTGATTCTCAGCTTTTCTTCTGTTTAATACATCTGAAGAATATAGTCAAACTCCTATTTCTCAGCTGATACAGTGACTCTTTGCCGTCTTGATGTGGGTATGTATGCCCTTGTTATTTGAGAAGCACTGCTCTGTAACTTATGTAAATGCTTGCTTTGTTTGTTCTTTGATAGAATTTTCAAACCCAAGAAAGAGATTCCTTACCATGGATGTATCTTCACAATCTTGCTACCTATATTGCCAAACGTGGAGGGGAGTACTGTATACTTTGTATTACCCTAGAAGTCAGAACAACTTGCGCTAATGAAGGGAAAATCATTGGAAATCAGATTTTTTGCCTTTAGTTAAGAGCTGTCTAAGAATAACATCTTTTCAATAATGGAATAAGATCTTCTAAAGTGTTCCTAAAGTGTTGAATTTTCTTTCAATGAAAATATACGAACAGCCACTAGGTGATATCTACTCGAGGTTATTATGGAATAAAAACATGGCTCATTAGCAAAACTCTGGATTGACATCACAATACTGGGCATCACAATATGGTACAATATCACAGTGTATCATCTTCCCCACCAACACTTCAGATTCTCAGACAATCATTTAACCTTAGGCAATTTATACTAGCCTGAGTCATAGTGAATATCAATTTTTACTCTTTACACACCTCTATGCTGTTGTCAGATCTATATGAGATAATGGATATTAATTAAAAATCTAGTCACACTGGATACTGTGAAATTTAAAACAACTACAGCTTTTTATTATAAATCAGTTTCAATACACTACCCTATCAGGACACTGATTTCCAAAAGTAATAATAATAACAAATAACATTTTGTAGAAACCCTAATTGGGGGGAAAAAAAACAGTTCCAAATGGCAGGTACCCCAAAGGTTTGGGGTTATTCCTCTGTGAGAATGACAAAGTTTCATGATAAAATGCCAACACAGTTATGAGCTCTTTAAACTAGGTACACTGAATCAATAACCCCCCAGAGTAAATGATACCCATATTGATTTGGGGTGGGGAAGGAAGACCTAACTCCAGGGAAGACTTGGAAAATTTTAATGAAGTTGAAATGAAAATAAAGAGAGAAGGAAGAAAGAAATTTGACTGAAAAACATGTGTGTGTGTGTGTGTGTGTGTGTGTGTGTGTGTGTGTTTGTACTAAAAACTACTTTCCAGGGAACCTTGATAGTTGTCAGTGATAGAGAAATTACTTATGGCCCTTGTGTTCAATGCACTTCAATTTAAGAAGAGGCTGTGGAAAGGCGGCATATATGCTGCTAAGTATATCCCAACTTGGCAAGGCCAAATGAGTGATTCAAAACAAGGTGCCAGTGGAAATTTTACAATCACAGATACTTGTAAACTGATGCTAAGTTTCTGAGAAATAAGCTTGAATACTCAGAGATCTTGAGTTAGAGAAAGGCTAATTGTGAGCCTAAGTAATCCAGGATAATCTATAAAATTACTGGCTTGTGTTGGGAGCTATATGCTGTTTTTAAGTGACTTATACCTAGGTCAGGTTGAATATAAATGTTATTATGACATCAATAAAAGAATAAACATCCAAGGTTAGTCTCCATTTTAATTCTCTTATCATATTCATTCATTTATTCACTTAATATGTATTAAGCACCTACTATGTGCCAAGCAATGTTCTAGGCACCAGAGAATCAGAAATAAATAAAACAGACAAAATTCTATGTGCTGGTTGGACTTACATTCTCATGGAGAGAGAAAGATAATGAACCATATAAATATGTAAAATAGATGTAAAATGGAAGAAGTGTTGTGACAGAAAAATGAGCAAGAAAATTGGATAGGAAGTACTGAGGACGGGAATGGGGGGTTTCAATTCCAATTCATTTGCAGTCACGGAAGATTCACTTGATTAGGTGTTATTGGAGCAAGGACCTAAAAGGCACAGAAGTGAATCCTGCAGCTCTCTGGAGAAAGTGATTTTTCCGTGTAGAGACACCAAGCACAGAGTCCTACAGCAGAAGCATGCCTGATGAGTTCTAGGAAGAGCAAGGTGGTCCCTGTGGCTGGAGCAGAGTGAGAAAGGAGCAGGAGATAATGTCTGAAAAAAATTAAGGGATAGGCCATGTTGGACCTTGGAGGCTATTAGGAAGATTTTCGGTTTTACTCTGAGAGAGGTAGGAAGGCACTTGAGTAGCTTCTTGCTTTTGAGTAGAAGAGAGACAGCATCTGATTTTTGTTTTAGGATCACTCTGGATGCTATTTTGAGACTGGAACGTAGGCAATCAAGGGCGGAAGAAAGTAGACCCAACTGTGGTAGTTTTCTACTGCTGCTATAACAAACCACCACACACTTAGTGGCTTAAAATGATACAATTTGGCTACCTTACAGTTGTGTGTGCGTTAGATGTCTCACTGGAGTAAAATCAAGGCCCGTGCAGGGCTGTGCTCCTTTCTGGATGGAGGCTCTAGGGGAGAATCTGTCTCTTGCCTTTTGTAGTCTCTAGTGACTGCCCACATTCCTCTGCTCATAGACCTTTCCTCCATCTTCACCATCTTCAAAGTTTGCAACATCACATCTCTGACTCTTCTTCCATTGTCACATATTCCCTGACTTCCTCTGACTCTGATCATTATTCCTTCTTACCACATCTGGGAAAAAGTCTTCATTTTTAACAACCCACTTGATTAGACTGTGCCTACCTGGATAATTCAGGATACTCTCCCCATCTCAAGGTCCTTAAATTAATCACACCTGCAAATTTCCTTTTGCCACATAAGGTAACATACTCACAGGTTCCGAGGATTAGGGCATGAACATCTCTGCAGGATGGGAGGCATTATTCTGCCTACCGAACCAGTTTACTGCAATCTACCGTCTATTTATATTACTGTTATTGGTACATTTGCCTCATTCTCTTTTTAAAACCACAAACACTTTGCAGGGATCGGCTTAGTTGGTGTATCTCACTTCAGTAGTCATGTCTTATTTCCAGGACTTTGTACTTCCTACTTTGGCCTGCCTCACTACCTACTTGGCTTGGCGTTTCCAATATAATCAGTGGGAAGGAAAAACAGTAATAATGGAATAGCAAAATACTTCTAGGACCTAAAAGCAATATAGGGTTTGGAAAGCTATATGTTCTCTCTGCATAGGAATTTTTATATTCACAGTGGTATGAGCACAAAAGGAGGAGATCACTGGAGATATATTAAAGTATGGAGACCACCATCTGTGTGAAGACAGAAGGACAAACCATATGGCATATGGAGGTACGTCTCCAACTCCACAACTCCATGACAAAAGTCCTTAAAATAGAAGGAAGATGGGATCAATAAAGAAGTGAGATACTTGTCATTATCCTACTCTGAGCACTTTATATTTGGAAAGATTTTGCATTGTTCCTCAAACATATGTTTAGTCTATTGGATGTTTTTAATGCCCAAGATAAAAGTTTAAATTAATATACAGTAATGATTCTCATTTAAATTCCAGGTAAAGACTACCGATGGCTTATGGATTATGCAAGTGATTGATATTTGAAATAAAAATCTACATTGAGTTATCAAAGATAATAGTCACTTCCATTGAAGAATAAGCAAAACTTCCAAAGACTTCATTAATATCCACATCAGTGATATTTCAAGAGAGACTAACTCAGCAGTGTCAGCTAATGAAAGTGAATGAAGAATGTGAAGATTAAAAGATCGTATGAATCAAGAATTAATTTGTGAATTTCATGAGTCATAAGTGCCCCTAGTGTTTTCCCAGGCCTCACCAAGGCTGTAGGTACAAATGGTAGAGTTGCCATCATGTTCCAGCCACTCTTGGTCCCCATCTGCATGTGCCGGGTAAGTTCCTACACATACACATGAACCAGGCTTCGCAGACGTAGCCATTATTTGCCAGGGACAGTACTTTTCCTCTCTTCTTGTTCTGGGCCTTTCTCCTTGGCACTGCAGTATCATTCACGTATTGCTGCACCCACAGACTACTGTTGCTCTTGCCAGGTTTTGCCATCTCTGAAAGGTGCCCCCAGTGCTTCTGCTTGGTCTGTCATGTTCCCTGGCAACTCTATTGCATTTGGGAAACTGGTGTTATGAGAGTTGCTTGGGGTTCTAGTAAAATGAGTAATTGCATTAATTCCTCATTTTTATGTAAAATCTGTTAAAGGGATTCAAAAGCATTGTGTCCTATGTCTTACTACATTTTAGTGAAATGACTTTTTAAAGTTTGCATGTAACAGTCCTATTCCTTACCAAATCTTCATTCAAATACTGTTCTGTCTCAGGAATATTTTTTTCTCTTTTCTGAGCCAGATTTTTCTGCCTGACATTTTGTTTTCTTTCTTCAGGTGTCTCCTCAAATTCTCTTTCAAGTTGAGTCCTAGCAGGTATACTTTACCAGTTCAACAGGCCCACTCAAGAAGATTCAATCCTAATAACAGATACAGCTTAAGCTAAAGCTTGGACACCTCAACTCTTGTATAAGACCTCAGTCTTTGTACCTGTTTTGTACTATTAATTAAACAGTAAAGTTTCTTTTTCTTTCTTTTTTTTTTTTTTACCTTTAAGTTCATGGGTACATGTGCAGGTTTGTTACATAGGTAAACGTGTGTCATGGGGGTTTATTGTACAGATTATTTCACCACCCAAGTATTAAGCCTAGCACACATCAGCTGTTTTTCCTGATCCTCTCTCACTTCCCACCCTCCACCCTCTGATAGGCCCCAGTGCATGTTGTTCCCCTCTATGTGTCCAGGTGTTCTCAACAGTAAATCTTAACACGTAAGAATTAACTTTTTGGGCTGGGTGCGGTGGCTTATGCCTGTAATCCCAGTACTTTGGGAGGCCGAGGCGGGTGGATCACAAGGTGAAGAGATCAAAACCATCCTGGCCAGCATGGTGAAACCCCATCTCTAGTGAAAATATAAAAATTAGCTGGGCTGGTGGTGGGCACCTGTAGTCCCAGCTACTTGGGAGGCTGAGGCAGAAGAATCGCTTGAACCTGGGAGGCAGAGGTTGCAGTGAGCTGACATCACGCCACTGCACTCCAGCCTGGGCGACAGAGCAAGACTCTGTCAAAAAAAAAAAAAAAAGAGAAAAAAGAAAAAGAAAAAATTAACTTTTTCCATCCTTACTTTCTTTCAAAACTATAGTTTAAAAACTTTTGTTCCCTACCGTTTTTTCCAATCATAGCCAAAGGAGCTTCCTTGGTTGAGGTAAGGCTAGAAGAGAAATATTTCCTGCTTGCCTGTTAGAACATCACTCCCTCCTTGCCATCCTCTTGCCCACACCGAGAGCCACTGGGAGAATGTTATGGAATACTAGGGGCTAATGAAAGGCAGTAGTGATCACTTTTCAATAGCTTCCTACTAAGGTAGAAATGGTGACAAATGTATAAAGCTGCTCCATTCATTGGGATAAGTCTATACAAAGAAAATTTTATATTAAAATCTTATTTATTACCAATAGGGAATTTTCGGATAATAAATGGCCTTTACATGTTACTCAACTTGTATCTTAAGAGAGATTTTGCCATAATAATTTGTGCACATTTGTGACGTTGCAGGTGCCTTATCAACTCTTAAATTTTCAATGCAAATATTAATAGGTACAAATTACTTTTCTCCCAAACTTCCTACTTAACACTTTTGATTAAGAACTTATTTTTGAGTCTTAGATTCCCTTGCTATTTCGATTAAGTAGTAACTGCAGACTGTGATAAGTAATATGAGATTTTTTTTGTTGTACGCAGAAAAATATGGTGGTACAAATAATTACTGACTACAACTTTGCAATATGCCACATTCTGGCAAATGGAAGTATCAAGGAGTCAAAACTAATGGACAAGCTTATGGTTTTGTTTTGGGGAGGAGGAGAATGAGCAGTATTTATTATAGAGAACATTGCTCATTGATTACCCAATAGATTAAGATATAATCTGAAAATAATATTAGAATAATGGACAGCCATAGCAAAATATAATAAATAAAAACGACAACTTTATCTTATGGAAGAAGCATTCCAAGAATATTCATATTTAATGGGGATTTTGGTTGAGGAACTGGTAAATCATAGAATTCGTTTCAGTGGTGGTTAGTCACACGCATCTAAAAATAATACAGGTCAATTAGAACACATTTCCTTCACACTAGGAAAAAGAAAGTATTCTTCAGTCTAATGGTATCCAAACATGAATCTTTTAGGGAAATTTTCTCCAGAAATTTCTGTATGTGAATTATCAATTAACTTAATAAAAGAGAACAATTTCCTGTAAAACCAAGTTGTGTGAGAAGTTATATGACAATGATAAGTATGTTACTCATCTCTTTTTGTATTTCTTAATCATTATTTGAAATAACACAGCAATGACTATAGTTATATTTTGCAGTAATGTCAGAAACTGGTATGCCGGCGGGACGCAGTGGCTCACACCTGTAATCCCAACACTCTGGGAGGCCGAAGCGGGTGAATCACGAGGTCAGGAGTTCAAGAGCAGCCTGGCCAAGATGGCGAAACCACATCTCTACTAAAAAACACAAAAAAATTAGCCAGGTGTGGTGGCGGGCACCTGTAATCCCAGCCACTCGGGAGGCTGAGGCAGAGAATTGCTTGAACCTGGGAGGTGGGGGTTGCAGTGAGCCAGTGAGCCAAGAGAGCGCCACTGCACTCCAACCTGGGCGACAGAGTGAGACTCTGTTTCAAAAAAAAAAAAAGAAAGAAACTGGATGCCAACTGATATCTGCAAAAGTGACCTCAGATTCACAAATTCCTTCTTTCCTTTATTTATTCATACAAAAAGTGTTTATTAAATTCCTAAGAGGTGCCAAGCCCTTTAGAATTCCTGGGAATTGGCGGGGTGCAGTGGCTGATGCCTGTAATCCCAGCACTTTGGGAGTCTGAGGTGGGCGGATCACCTTAAGTCAGGGGTTCGAGACGAGCCTGGCCAATGTGGTGAAACCCCACCTCTACTAAAAATATAAAAATTGTCCAGGCGTGGTGGTGTGTGCCTGTAATCCCAGCTATTTAGGAGGCTGAGACAGGAGAATCATTTGAACCAGGGAGGCCAAGGTTGCAGTGAGCCGAGATCATGCCATTGCACTCCAGCCTGGGCAGCAAGAGCAAAACTCGGTCTCAAAAAAAAAAAAAAAAAAAAAAAAGAAAGAAAGAAAGAAAGAAAGAAAAAGAAAAGAAATGAATTCTTGGGAATTATTGGTGAGCAAATGTAAATATAATGTAACCACACAAATTAATACATAATCACAGTAAGAAATGCTATAAAGAAAGGGGTTGTGAAAGATTAGGGGGAGATACTGACCCAGTCTGTGATCATGGGAAGTATCTTTGAAGAAGAAATATTTGAACAGAGATAGATGGAGTGTGATTTAACCAGGAAAAAGGAGAAAGGAAACACTGTGCAGAGAGAAGCAATTGTGTGTACGAAGACACTAACAGCGGGAGGTAGCTGGTGGAGGCCGGTGTGGTGGAGGGCAGAAAGCCAGGGCAGAGGCGTGGAGTGCCAGGAGGCTGTTGCAGGAGCCAGGGAAGAAGTTGAAATGCCTAGAAAGAATTCAGACTTTATCTTAAAATCCACTACAAGGCAGGGAAAATTGCAATCAGTGTATGCAGGTGGGTCCAGGATTGGGGGAGTGCAGATGAAATTTGCAGATTTGGTAATAAACTAGAAATGGGGAGGTGAGAGGAGAGCGCTTCTAAGCTGGAGCAACTTCTGGGGTGGCTTCTAGCTGGAGGAACAGAATGAATGGACAATTGTGACATTCACTGAGCCAAGGGGTTGCTTGCAGGGAAGAGTCACAAAAATGGTTCTTACTTTGGTCCTAAAATTTAGTGAGCGTTTTTAAATGGGCTGCTTTTCTGAGGAATTATTTCTGTTTTCTAACTCCTCAGTATATTTTACATATTTATAATTATGCTGTATACCATTATGTTTTGTTTTTTCATTTTGGAAAAATAAATCCTCTTAAAGCCAATATATCAGAAAATTTAAGAGAAGTTAAAAGTTAACATCTTGAATAAAAAATACAATATAATGGTAAATAAATATATATAT
Organism: Homo sapiens; assembly: GCF_000001405.40. Lineage (NCBI taxonomy): Eukaryota > Metazoa > Chordata > Mammalia > Primates > Hominidae > Homo > Homo sapiens. Next base: position 47,091,254 of record NC_000004.12, on the reverse strand, counting down.
TTTTCAGAAATAGTGATTTTACTGTTTCTCAACGGACTTTTTTGAGCAGGATAATTACTTGTTGTGGAGGGCTGTCCTGTGTACGATGTTTAGCAGTATCCTTGCCTCTACTCATTAGATGCTGGTAGCAAACAGCCCTCTTCTTAGATGCGACAACCAAAACTATCCCCAGACACTGGCCAGTGTTTGCTGGGGGTGGGGGAAGGGGTGGGATGGGGGAAGTTGCCCTGTGGAATAACATGAGCTGATGATATTATAATGTGAGTAGTACTATTGAATTACACAGAACAACACCAGAGTATAAGAAGTGTATATTCTTCGAGGAGATGATGGACATTGTATGGAAATGTCTCATAGAAGAAATGATATTTGAGGTGGCTCATGAAAGAAGAGTAGGGAAGTGCTAGGTAGAAAAAAGCTATCCCTGGCCAGGCATGTAGGCCTCAAATTGCATAGCATTTTAAGGACTGACAGGTCATTCTATGCTGCACTGGTCCATACTCTCTAGTCCATCGACACTCGCCTTTCTGATGTCCACACCTTTAATGTAGTAGGTTCTCTAACGTTTAGCTATTAAAGAGGTAAAGCTGTTTTTTATTTCCCTACTTCCCTAAGATCAATAGAAAGGATCAGATTAAGCCAAGATCCCTGGCTTTAATTCTTGAGAGAAAGAAAGATAATCACGGTGAGGGCATAATTGTTCTAAAAGATTCTAATACACTATTTCCAGTGCCCCAATGATTTATCCAATGTTGTGTCTGCCCAAGTCATCTGCTGAGGAGATCTCATTGCAGTGTTTAAATTTGAGTGATTTTCACTCAATTTCCTCACTTTCCCCTTTTATCCTACTATCAGATTCCAGTTTTACACAATTTTTGGTTTTGAACACTTCACAACCCTATAAAATGTCTTCGTATAACAATTTTTGAGTAATTTTGTAATCTGAAATAGATGGAATAGAATCCTATTGTAAGAAAAGCTGCTTACAATTGATTGCATTAGACATTTTCTATTTCATACAATTAATAGCATGTCATTCAAACCCCTTTGATAACAGGATATAAAAGTAAACAACTTATTTTCAATTTTCTAGCCCTTAGGCAGGTAATATAAGGCATTAATAACTTTCCTAATCATAACAGTAGTTGTTTTATATTCAACAAAAACGTCTGATAAGATTAGCAAGTTTCATCATGAGAAAATTTACTGAAGGAAGAACAGTCCCAAATGTGATAGAACTAAAATTACGTTAGCCAGAAATCACTTTCTAGTATTATAAAAGGAAAAGTATAATTTCTGCCCTAAATTTGTTACTTGCAGATAATGTGATGAGAACTGAGATCTTTTCAATGATTTTTATTATGGTTTAAAAGGCCTAGATTTATTTTTTAAATGTAATTACTAGTGAAGCTTTATTTTCTTAATAATATTCTATTTTCATTATAAGTCCTGTTATCCTCCCAAATTTTAATAGCATAAAAGATAACCATGGCATATATATTAATTATTTTATATCCACCAGACAAAACTAATCATAAATCTGATCATTTATTATCTGAATATTTTGATTATACTATTCGATTATAATATTTGAATCTGAATATTTGAATTCTTAAATTTATTTTTGTTTCTTCTTCATTTGGAAAATATGATGTGCTTCAGAACTCCTATTTAAATCCTCCTAATGTGGTTTTAAAACATGAATAGATAGAAAAATGCTAGAGAGAGGAGAGAGAGAGAGATGTGCTCTCGTTTATTCTCTACCTAAATTCTGTGATGCATATAAAGTAGAGATTTCAATGCTAATTTCCAAATGAGGAAATAGTCTCAAAATGTTGACACATAGACCACTTTAAACTGGCACTTTGAGGCAGAGCTGGACTAGAATACATTGCCTTTCGTTCCCTAGTCAAGGCCTCAATAGGTCCCGGTACTATTGCAAAACAGCAGATTATGGGGATTTACTGGGGCAAGAAGGGAGAATGGTGAACTCACCCTCGGTAGTAAAATCTAAGGACACAGTTCACTGAACCACCTCAGCACCTCAGTCAAAACAGACTGCAAACTAGAGATCCCCAAAACGAAAAACATTTAAGGTTTTGGAGGTTTTTCCCCTATCTCCTCTTCATCTTCATTGTAATGACAAGCAAACACATAAAAATTTATTTGTGCTTCAAATGGAAAAGCTGGAGTGATCAGATCATAGCCATTATGTAGGTTTGACAATAAACATTTTAAAAATCCTGGGAATTGGCAGCTAGAAGAAGAAAAGTCCAGCAGATGGAGTCCCTGATTTGCACACAAGACAAAGAAGTCAAAATAGGTCCAGGAAAGGTTAGCAATGATAATCATATGGCCTCTTCTTTCTCAAAATATAGTATTTATTGTTTTTCCAAGCAAAGGTGCGCCTTGTAAAGGTTGACTATAGCTAGAATAAACTACGGCTGACTGGTATTTTGGAAAATCAAGCAGTCTGATGGAGTGATGGACACAGCATGGTCTTTGGAAGAGAATATCAGCTGGTAGTAACGGGGATGATATATGATTTGTTAAATAGTGAATACAAGAAGAATTCCCTGCTTCGGAGCCCTTGTTATGTAAGCTGGCCTTCTCAATGACACGATTGTAAAGAAAAGAAACAACTTTTTCTCCTGGTACTAAGTACAGGCCTGGATAGGTCAGCCTGCTTCATGCTTCTCCAGACTCATTTGTAGCACTTTCTTCTTGTACTCTAAGCCTGACTGTGCAAACATGCCAAGCTGTCCTCCTGGTATTTTGCATTGGCTCTTCCCCCAGCCTAGCACCCACAGTCTTTATCTTGCTAGCTTTCTCATTCTTCAGGTCTCAGTGTAAATGTCACTTCCTTAGAGAGGCCTCCTGTATCTCCTGAATTAAAATTATTTTCTTTGACCCAGATGCTTGTATCTCAGTCTCCTATGTGCATTATTGCATTTGTTATTGTTTGCCTCCCTTCCACAAGGGCAGGGATTATGTGTGATTCCTCATCTCTGTCCCCAGCACCCAGCACTGTGAATCTTCCCTAATTAGTGTTCAATAAATGTTTGTCAAATGAATTCTAATGCCTCGTGTTTTTCTAAATGTAGGAAAGTACAGCGTTTTCTACTTTTGAAGTGTTTCCATGGAAGAGACATCTTAAACTAGTTCATATTTCTTGTCTTCCATGATTTCCTCTAAAAGCAATAATAAATAAGAATTAAAATAATACCAACTTAACATTTCCACATAATATCATGAAACGTAGAAATTGCCATTTTGCATAATCAAGAAAGGAACTATGTCTCTCAGGCCCCTAAGTAGGTTCCCAGGTTGCAAAACAACATGAGCTTCTTTGTATCAAAAGCCTGTTACTTCCTATCTAATGTGCTGGATGCTTTACACACATATACTCATTATTTCCTCAAATAATCCAACAGTTAGATTATATTATCCTCATTTTCCAGATAAGGAAAACAAGTCTTAAAACAGGATGCTAATTTCAGACAGTGCTAGGATTTGAATTCTGATTCATCTACATGCTATGCTGTTTCTCCAAAACACTTCTAAAATGTTTTTTCAAAGGAAAACTCCATAATATTAGGGGATGATGTGGGATTATTATTCACATTGTTTTAAACTAGATATTCTAGAATTTGACCTTCCTGTCTTGGAAACCCTGAAAAATAAAACTTAAAGTATAATAAAAAAAAAAAAAAGAAAGTGCTAACGGGGGATGCAGCGCCTCAGAGTTAGATACTGCCAAATAAGGCACCCTCCTCACTGTGTGAAGCCCTCTGGGTTAGTGGCTCTGCAGGCAAGGCGGCAGCAAGCGCCCAGGGCTGGGCTGTGACTGTCTCCCAGCCTGCCTATATAATGGAAAACTGTATCAATAATAATAGGTAATATTATATACAATGTTATATGTAATCATAATGGCACCAAATATAATTCACGGTTAACATTTCACAAAAAAAAAAATTAATGCTACCGTATTTTATTGTATCATACGCCTGGAGTCCTAGCTGAGCCTAATCTGAAGTTCAGGTATGTCTGGGCATGTCTCATTAGCTGGTGATGGAGTAACAGCCTGATTTAATTATTCTATGCCATCCTCATGGATTAAGTATAAACTCTCTGAGGAGAATTATGCAGGCAGAGATTGAAGGGACTTTGGAAATCCACGAAGCATTTTGTGAGACGTTGGTTATACCCAGGTGGAGCCCAAGTGGAAAAATGTGGCATGAAATGGGAAAAAGCAGTGTTTCCCCACTTCACCATGGAACACAGCATGGTTCTCCACACTGTGAGGATAAAAGGGAATACAGTAACATTGTGACACTTTGCAGCAGAATTAGGAGAATGAGTGTGACCACTCCCATGGAGGTATCAGAAGCAGTACTGAGGTACCACGCTCCAGCAGCCCTTAGCCACTGCACAGCAAGCAGTAAGAGGGCTGTCTTGGAAGAAATGAGAGCTCTATGTGAGAAATCAAGTGAGACATGCTTTTGGGCTCCAAGCCATTCTCTGACACAGGTGGAGAGGGTGAGCCAATGAAATAAGAGTGATATAATCTGACAGGCACAGGAGCATTTTTATTCCTTCCATAAACCTGCACTATGAGTTTTTGTTTAAGTTTCGACTTGACTTAGCATGCCTACTATTGATACTTTAATGCCTGCCAACCTCTTTGTTAATAAAGTTCTAAGTTCAGATTAATTGAAGTACTCATAATTTCCATTTGTACATCAATAATTTGCAATAATACTGCCCTTTCTCTAGTGTTCACGTTTTTCAGTTAATTTATTTTTAAAAAGTCTAATATAAAAGAATATGTAAAAGATTTGGTCTTTTTTAAAGGGGGGTTGATTTTGATAAGGTATCTTAAGAATTTTATAATCAATTATTATCTTGAAGGAAAATAAAAAACTCTTAAATAAGAAATTTCCATTGTAAATACAAGAGAACCGTTAACTAATTCCTGTTGACCATGTATTTATCTTTGAAGAGCTGAATATTTAACGAAGAACCCGCAAACATGTGTAAAGCAGTTACCTTTCAAAAACTCTCCATACTATTTTCTGAATATTTTGAATTAGCTAATTAAAAGAACTCTCCCTCTTTTAACATGGTATTTAAAATCAGGGATGTTAAACCCATGAGGATAAAAGAGTTTTCCCTAAATTGTCTTTATGGAAACAATATATTGACATGGCAGCTTGTTATAATAAATCACTCTGTGCCTTTTTGCAATGTGAATTTGCTTCTTCTGCCATTAAGAGGTGGGAGTCTATTTCTTCACCTTCGCAAGTCTGGGATGGTCTTCTGACTGTAAATTCCACCTAGGCCTTCAGAGGCCTGGCAGCTTCTGGTCTTGCCCTCTTGGGACCTTGGATTACCTTACAGTGGAGGGGAAAGAGCATCTGGAGGTGACAGGGCACAGCCGGCACAAATTGTCAAATGTGAACAAAGCTTTTCCCAGTTGAGTTGTCACATGAATGCAGCCATATGAGTGACTTCAGATGAGACCAGCAAAAGCATTGTCAATCCAGAGAATGTTAAAAATCATCATTGTTTTAAGACACTTAGGTTTTAGGCTGTTTTATCATGAAGCAATAATAAATTCAATATGTTCTTTCCTTTCCTTGAAAAACAAGCTCTGTTGAGAAGTGAGATTTTTTTTTTAGAACTTGCTGTTCTAAATTTGTTGTTTACACTAGTTCCGTATACTGTTTCAATCCGTGTCAAATGCCAATATGGAAAGTATTTCTATTGTCATAGGCAATTTGTAAGTTGATGAGCGCAGAAATTAAGTGTTGCTTCAATACAAAGTGAATGTTGTTTACTTACAAATCTTGTTTCCACTTGTTTTGGAAGCAAATAAAATGTCTTGAAAATTAAATATAGATAAAAGCCACAAAATCTAAAGTAGAATAACACATGTACTATAGATTCTTTTTACTAAACTTCTGATGTCATAAGGGGAAAAATATTGTATATTTGGTGACAAACTTTTCTCAAAGGTGTGCTCTTTTTCTTTTAAATAAACATCTGGCAATAAACAAAAAGTTTAGTTCTAGAGGAATTTTGAATATTATCTATCAATGTCAAGTCCATCAACTTCATTTTGGATATGAGGAAACAGGGTGAGTTAAGTGTTTTACTCATAATCATATAATGAGTTAGTGATAGACTTCTAAGATGATGAGAGTCAGAGATGGGTTAAATAACTTGCTCATGGTCCCACAGCTGGTGAGTGGCAGTTCCAGCTGCACCTTTTTTGGCTTTAGCTTAATAACTCCCAAGGGTTGAACAAAACTAAAGTAAAAAGAAAAAAAAGTGAGTCATATAGATGCTGGTAAAGAGAGAACCAAGAAATTGGTTTTGCTGATGTAAACCCAGTGCATGGGCCAACTCAAAGTGGGTAACAGAGGGTTTCTATCCTTGCCTCATCTTTAAGGGTCCTGTTCCTGGCTCTGATGAGGAACACTATGGGTACCTGGGCTACCCTGTTTATGACTTACAAATAACTTGTAAGTCTTACAAAGACTTTGTTTATGACTTACAAATACAACCTGAGAGATGGGAAGCTCAGAATCAGGTAGGTAAGGGAAACCCCAAAGTAATTATATCTGCCATTACAAAAACTATTTTGTGCCAAGTGCTATGTTAAGTGCTTCTAGGTATTATAGAAACTGAAGAGGAAAGAACTATTGATGTCTGAGCTGATTATTCAGAGCTTCCAGACTTCTAGATACACAAAGTTTGAGAGAGAGGGCAGAGATATCCTGCACCAAAGATGCTTTGGCACCTTGCATTCACTTTTATTTGGTATATATTTTTGAAATGCATGTATGAGCAATCCTGGTTTGAGGGTATTTGTGAGGGTAGACAATAACCAGGCTTAACCCATTCTGTGGTGATAAGTTATACTGATTACCAGTTGATGGCTTAGAAGACAATAAATGGCTTAGCCTATGTTTGCCTTGCAAAGCTCAAACCACATATTGGCAGAAGCTCTCCCACAGAAGGCTGAAATAGAAATGGAGTGACATTTCAGCCCAACACATTCTGTTTATTTAAGCTGTTATTGATGTTTGACCTTGAGACTTTCAATTTAATTTATCCTCCATGAAAGAAACCATAGCTGGTTTACATTCATATTGATGACTTACTCTAATAACTCCCTTTGATTAAAAATATGATCAGTTTTAATTTCAGGGAAGCAAGCTATATTTCTTTTCTTATTTTTGTTTTCTTTTACAGATATTTTTTCCTTTGGGGTAATATATAGTTACAGACTATCCCAGGGGATAGAAGACTGGAGTTAGGAGACAGAATGAGCAGCTGGGAGCCTAAAGCAGGTGGCCAATTATTCTGACCCCTTAGACATAGGGGTGTGTCTTTGATCTGAAAATGATAATAGATGAGTAGAGATCTGGGGGAAAATCCAGAACAATTATTGAGTTGGACTAGTAAATGTAAATAGGGGTAACATTCATTAACATATCCAAGGTTCCAAAGATAGGAGCCATAATTCCAAAGGAGAGGCAAGCTAGGTATTAGTAGGCATTGGTGTGGGAGGAGATAAAGAGTCTTGGAATGGGGATGGATGCTTAGCAATGTGACAGACCCAGGAAATAGCTCAGGGAATATTACCCCAGTTTAGTTACTGATCAGTTTCCCTAAGCAAGTCTCTAACCCCTGGTCTTAAATGCAAAGGTTTTGATGCACATTCACTAGCTTTTATGATAAGCAATGAAAAAATTGGAAGAATATATACTCTTGGGCTTTATAAGAACATATATTTCATAAAATTGGACATGAAAATCTGTAAGTCGCCATAAATGAAAAGAATTTCAGATAAGCTTTGCCTACCTTGTGCTAATATAAAATATGTGTGTGTGCATGCACATGTGTAATGGTTGTCTCAAGAAAGGTAAAGTCTAAAATATGTAATAAGAAGCATAGGTCAGTATAACCCACAAACTTAAATGACCTGCTTGACAGAGTGGAGGACATTATCAAGGCTTGAGTTTCAAGTCATCATTAAATCACTGAGAACCCATCAATTACAAGACTAAAGGTCTCCTAAATTTATCCAATGTTGTGTTTATTCTGGTGTGCTTGCAAAAAGCTTGTTAGAAGTAGAGTACAGTAATCTATCCTTTTCTTCTTTTCCTTTGTAAAAACATACAATCAATCAAGACATTTCTGTAGCACTTTAGCAGAGGAGGTCAGGGTAGCCTATTACTCATGAATGGCTGATAATTTCACATACTCTATTGCATATAATCTCCTATTACAGATACTATTAAGGTAAATTCCTGATTTCCCCATAAGCCTGGATGTCTCCTGAATTGGCGACTTCAATAGAAGTTCAGAATGACTTTATTTATAAGACAGAACATTGTGATAAGGAAGACAGTTTCTCCAGACATGCGAATCTAGATATTCTCAGTTATTTACTAAATTAGATGCATCTATTCTGCATATATAAATGAAATATATTGCAGAGCATTTCAGGGAGGAGGGACTTTAGAAACAGTATACCCCAGTATCCCTACTTTAAAGTAAGAAACTAAGGTTCTTAGACTTTAGTGACATTCCAAGGTTTGGGAGATTTGTGAGACCATAGATTTCCAGCCCATTACACTTCCTGCTGTACCAATTTTCCTCTAAATGGCAGACATGTCTAACAGATGGTAGGCAAGATAATTTTAAGTAATTAAAGAAATAGCAGAGAATGACATAGTGAGAAAGTTGTTCTCTTTTAAAATATACTTCAATACTTCTGATTTACATCTAGTACAAAGCTTTAGTGTGAAGCTAGTACAATTTTTAGGGCCTTTATAACATCTATTCATTTCTGATTTTCTCAAAGAGAGCAGGTCAGAGGCATCATAGGCAGCAGTATTTAGCTAGAATTTAATGGCATCTTTTTTATGGAATTCATTTTTAAAATTATCTTTTATTTTTCAAAGTTATATTTGTTTTCCATTTATAACAGTGATATAAAGTTTCTTTTAAAAATAAGTTAATTTTGGTTGTAAAATAGAGCTGATATAAAAGTATCATGTAAATAATAGCTCAGGGGACCCTCAACTCTTACAGAAATCATAGAGTTGGTATTATATGACAAAAGTTTAATGAAGCCAAACATAGCAATATTATCTATATCACTACCTTTCAGTTTATAAATTTTTATATTTGTATAACTTTATACATTAGCTAAAGTTATTTACAGCTACTTAATAATTTTGTGAAATAAGCAACTATTTAATGATTTTGTGAAAGAAGCAAGAAAACATTCCATCTCTGTTTTATGAAAGAAAATGGAGCCCAGAGAAATAAAACCACTTACATGATCACAGTACAAATGATAGAATACCAAGAAAAGCTTAATTCATTTTTCCCCAAAGGGTATTCTGCCTTGTTACACAGCCCCTTATTTTAACCAGATATATATTGCCCTACTAATGAAAATGGGAAGTTTGCTATGCAAAAAAGCCAGTAGACGTTAATTATATTTTCATGGGTTCTAATATCCGGTACTAAAGAAAGGCCATTATAGTATGTCCTCTCTAAAACATAAAAACATATTAAACTTGGGCACATTAAGATGAACCAACCATTGAATATGAGGGAGATAAAGAAGGAGGTATATTTAAAAAGTATAAGACCATGATCCTTGAATGCAAAAATTGTACACCATATCTGAATATTTGAAAGATAGCAGAGAAAGGATATATTGCACAAAATTCAGAGAACAAAAAGAAGTTGTAATACTAAATGTATGCATTTGATATTTGGTGCCTTGGCAATTCAGAGACTATTGTCTGCATTTGTGTCAAGTTTATGTAAGCTACTTTAATATAAATTTTCTTATTCAAGCTTTGAAACAACCAAGTGGTTGAGGTTACCATAATTCTGCAAATAAAGAAACTGAGGCTCTGGGATGTTAAATATCAAACATGAAGACTCTTGAATAATGCCTCAATATTTGCATAAACGTGCTTCCACTGCTATACCCCATAATTATTTGGGAATGGGAAAATCAGATTTTGTGGCTATGGTTGATCCATTAGGTTCTTTGTGTCTTAGTTTTTCAGAGTTATCAAAGGCTTCGTTATGTCATCTTAAGGAGGTATTATTTTTAATTCACAACATGCCATTCCTCAGAATCGTTATTCATTGTTAAACATAATCATATAGGATTAAAGCTAAACCCTCTTCTTTTTTATCCCAGATTCTGGATTCAAAATATAAAGATCTCTCCACCTGATTCACTGGCCTTGCATATTGAGTAGTTTTCACAATATTGTTAAGTATAGCTAGACCAGTTTTATCCAAAAAGACATAAATCCAAGCAAAGCCCATTTGTGTTTACCCAAAAATCTGTGCATTTAAATACAACTAGAGATGGGCCATAAAGCTCCTCTCTTAGCCTAAACATCTTCCCCACAGAACTGGCAGACCTAAAGGATCATTGTTTTTGATTAATCAATTTGTCTATTGACGACCTTATTAAAAAGAACATGAAGCCAGGCACACTGGGCATGGCTGTAGTGCCAGCTACTCAGCAGGTTTGTAAAGCATGAGGATCCCTTGAGCCCAAGAATTTGAATCCAGCCTAGGCAAAATAGCAAGACCTTGTCTCCAAAACAAAATAGACATAATAAAGTAATTTTTTTTAAAAAAAAAGAACTTGAGTTACTTAGGACAGATTACATGGACGACCATGCTAATGTGTTCATTTGTCAAAATATACTGCATTTTCATGACACTTAATACTTCATAATTACTCTTTGCTCTCACTGTCCTAACACCTACATTAAAAACTGACAATAGTATTATTAATTCCATTTCATGCACAAGGAAAAGGAAATGTACACCACGTGCCATGTTTGCAAAGCTAATTAATGACATTCAAGACAGGACCCTACTTCTTTTTTTTTTTTTCTTCATTCTTTGGGATCTGCCACAGAAAGGATGGAGTTTTATTCTAAACAAGGCATGCGTCACAGTTTTTCTCACTGCCTTGACAAAGCCTTATCCCAGAATGCTTTGCCTTTGAGCTCTCCACTGCCCTGGCCTTGATGGTATGAGGATTTCTGGATTGATATTAGAGATATTTACATCAATATCTAGGTTAATGTCTAGTTGAAGCCAGTTGGGTTTCATTCTGTATTGCTTGAAATAAGCTCTTTCTGACAACACTCTTTGGCAGTTTGGCAGTTTTTTTTATATTTCTTTTTTTTTATTATTCTTTAAGTTTTAGGGTACATGTGCACAACGTGCAGGTTAATTACATATGTATACATGTGCCATGTTGGTGTGCTGCACCCATTAACTCGTCATTTAAAATTAGATATATCTCCTAATGCTATCCCTCCCCCCTCCCCCCACCCCACAACAGGCCCCAGTGTGTGATGTTCCCCTTCCTGTGTCCATGTGTTCTCATTGTTCAGTTCCCACCTATGAGTGAGAACATGTGGTGTTTGGTTTTTTGTCCTTGCGATAGTTTGCTGAGAATGATGGTTTCCAACTTCATCCATGTCCCTACAAAGGACATGAACTCATCATTTTTCATGGCTGCATAGTATTCCATGGTGTATATGTGCCACATTTTCTTAATCCAGCCTATTGTTGTTGGACATTTGGCTTGATTCCAAGTCTTTGCTATTGTGAACAGTGCCGCAATAAACATATGTGTGCATGTGTCTTTATAGCAGCATGTTTTATAATCCTTTGGGTATATACCCAGTAATGAGATGGGTCAAAAAAAAATGATAAAGGGGATATCACCACCAATCCCACAGAAATACAAACTACCATCAGAGAATACTATAAACACCTCTATGCAAATAAACTAGAAAATCTAGTAGAAATGGAGAAATTCCTTGACACATACACCCTCCCAAGATTAAACCAGGAAGAAATTGAATCTCTGAATAGACCAATAACAGGCTCTGAAATTGAGGCAATAATTAATAGCTTACCAACCAAAAAAAGTCCAGGACCAGATGGATTCACATCCGAATTCTACCAGAGGTACAAGAAGGAGCTGGTACCATTCCTTCTGAAACTATTCCAATCAATAGAAAAAGAGGGAATCCTCCCTAACTCATTTTATGAGGCCAGCATCATCCTGATACCAAAGCCTGGCAGAAACACAACAAAAAAAGAGAATTTTAGACCAATATCCCTGATGAACATCGACACAAGAATCCTCAAGAAAATACTGGCAAACCGAATCCAGCAGCACATCAAAAAGCTTATCCACCATGATCAAGTGGGCTTCATCCCTGGGATGCAATGACCCTACTTCTTTATTGAATGGCCAAGCCTCTTTCTAAGCTGATTTTTCTTAGCAGAGAGCAGAACCCTGAAAGAAATGGACTCTGGAGACTTAGGATGGAAAAGAGGAATTGGAGGATAAAAAAAATCGAGGGAGTAGATCTTTAACCAGGGGCAGTGCCCAATAGTAAGTAATTGCTATAAGAAAAGTTGGAATTAAATGGCAAGAACCAGGACCCAGAGATGAAATTGTAGCATTATAGGATGTTAGAGCTGAAAAAGGTATCCTCAGGCTCACTGTTCTCACATTCTCATTTTACAGATGATCAAAGTAATCTCGTAAGAAAGACTAAGAAGCAGACTAAATGACACATAGGAAGGAAAAGACAAAGCTGACATAAAAGTCAGGTCTCTAAATTTTATATGCTGTGCTGTGCCACTCACCTTACAACCTTGCTTAGGGATGATGTTTTAGAAATAATTTAAATTAAGCTAAGATTACTTTGAATAAAAATGGTGAAAAGTTATGGTGTGGAGGTGACATTTTGGATGGAAAGGACGTGGGGTTAAGTGAAACATATAAAGGAGAAAAGAAGAGGTTAAGAACAGCCTATAACTGTGCTTAGTCAGGCATCTGTTAAATTTTTCCAATGACTGATAAATATTTCTAATTATAGGCCGGGCGCGATGGCTCATGCCTGTAGTCCCAGCACTTTGGGAGGCTGAGGCAGATCATCTGAGGTTGGGAGTTCGAGACCAGCCTGACCAACAGGGAGAAACCCCATCTCTACTAAAAATATAAAATTAGCCAGGCATGGTGGTGCATGCCTGTAATCCCAACTTCTCAGGAGGCTGAGGCAGGAGAATTGCTTGAACCCGGAAGGTAGAGGTTGCGGTGAGCCAAGGTCATGCCATTGCACTCCAGCCTGGCCAATAAGAGCAAAACTCCTTCCCAATATATATATATTATATATTATATATTATATATAAAATATATATATAAAATATATAATATATATAAAATATATAATATATATAAAATATATAATATATATAAAATACATATAATATATATAAAAATACATATAATATATATAAAATATATAAAAATATATATAAAATATATAATATATATTATATTTTTTTATATGTTTCTAATTATTAATCAAAACACAAGCTAATGAGGCTTTTAAAAGACTACTCTGCAGGTCTCTGATAAGCTAATTTTTAGCAAACAGGAAAAGTGGAACAAAGTATCTCATATGGTTTCCCTAAAACTTTATTTAGAAGGGTGTGATATTCCGTAGGCAAACTCTTCATTGAGTGATTGTGTTTTTCTTAGCATGATTGAGAGAATGTGCAGTATTTTTAGTGAGTGTTTTGACAGGATATACTTAGCAATTTGTAAATAATGGAAAACTTGCTGATTGTACATTCTACTCAAAATATATTTGTCTCAAAGGCATATTTAAGGAGCATAAGACAGATTACATGAAATAAGAAAAAAACCCAACTATTTCGTTTTTATTTTTCTACTATGCTGCAGGTAGATGATAAGGCCATCCTTGCTATCTAGGTGGCTTAATGACTATTTTGTACAAAACTCCTTTGAATATTTTGTGACCTAAAGTCTTTAAAGAACTGCTCTATTCAAAAAGAAATCTAGCTCCCAACAAGCTAAGGAATAAGGGTGTGTAAATACTCACCTTTTCTGGGAACTCAGCTCCTTAAATCAGATCTGGTAATACCCATGGTAACATATACTGAGTTTTGGGACTCCGGTACATTTCGATAGAGCCCTATTTCACTTTCAGATGTGTGGAACAAATCTTTTGTCATGTAAAGTTTGCTGGGGGCATGCAGTAAAGAAGAGGTGGCACTTAGTGACTGGCTGTGGGGATTAGAAAGAAGAGAGGATGAAAACAGGTTTTGTTGACTTGGCAGATGGTATTGCCACTGATGTGATTTTATAGCCTAGCCTATGACATGAGAGGTTGTTAACCCATGATTTGGTTTCAAGTCTACAATCTCAGCAGTGGGCCAAGGAGAAAAGAAAGTTTTCTTCAATGAGCTTCTTTAGAAGCAAAGCCTAAAATGGGGCCCCTCGTGGAAGTGATTTATTATGGGAGTGTGCTCGGAAGGGAAGCAAGAGACACAGAGATCTGTTGGGGAAAATGGCTAATCAAGTATGTTGTCTCTGGGAGAGAAGAGATTTAGTCTGTCCTACAGGGTAACCCTGAAATACAAATTGCACCACAGAGTTAGGCCTATCAGGTTGCTGTTTTTTTGTTTTGTTTTGTTTTGTTTTGTTTTTCCATGTAATCGGCTGCTGGCTGTCAGAGGGGCGGTGGGTAACCTCTCAGGCAAGACTTTCATTAAACCGAAGACAATAGAGAAAGAAGCTTCTGGGAGCCTCCACAGCAACAACTCAGAGCCGCTTTGGGATGAGTTTTCCTGTGCTCTGAAGGAGATCTGGTCTGGCCACCAAGAGCCTGGACTGGGGCTGGTTAACAAATCCAACTGCAGGGATCACTCACAAAGGGAGCAGTCAGCATTCTGTATTTGAAAGAACATAGAGAATTCTTGCTTAGTCTGAGCTGCTGTATATCCAAAGGACATCTGGCTGGTCTAGTTATGAGACAAAGCAGTGGGAACCCCCATGCAAGTCAGTTATTGGATCAAGAGCTTTTTGAGAGCAAGATTTCCACCAGGGGCTGAAGGAACAAGCACAGAGACCAGCCTCTTAGGAGAAAAGGGCTGACCAGGCCTAGCAGGTGGTCAGGGTCCTAGCCAATGCTGCTGGAATTGAACAAAGAAATCAGTCAGTCTCACCTGGGAAACTGGAATGTAAACCAGGAAACAAGACAAAAGCTGCATCTCATTGGGAAAACAGAGTGCAGATTAGGGCAAGTTTATGGCTTGGTGAATACTCAGGGACATGAGGTAACCTCATCTGCACAAGGATTACAGAAATCATACTAATTATAGGCCCCACCAGCTGGTGGATTCTCATCTACAGCTATACTTGATACCTATTTCTGGATTGACCCAGGCAGGCTCCAAAGGGGTCTAGGTAGCCAGGCTTTCATGACTCCTGCATTTTTTGAAAAAGGAGATAGCAATTAAACCCTTAGAACTCCTAATCTCGATATCCTTAAATATCCACTGCCAGCCTCCATAAATGTGCCGAATCTCTTATTTTCCCTCTGTTTTTACTTATACTATTTTCACATTTTTTCTAATATTTTGTATGATTCCATACTGGTGTGGCAAGTAGTAATTTCTGTGAAGAACAAAAACCTTAAAGATTTCTGAACAAGGATGAGCTCCCTTGTTACTGCAATAGGCATTAAAAACCTAACACCTAATTCAAAGTTTTATTAATTATTGATACACCATAAGCAGACTGGCTGGAGGCTTGGTTGCAACTGTTATTCCTTCCTGTATTATTTTTGGAAAGTCAGTTTAACATTTGATTCACTTGTTTGAGTCACCCATTGTGACAGACAGAAAGACCCAGCATAGATTGCCTATTAATCATAGCCTTTATGAAAACAGCCCTGCTTGCACTGCAGGTTTAATTTCTATATGAACAACTGAATTAATTACTGTAACGGCATCCGGTATGTCTCCTGATTTGTATATATAATATTTCAAAGTTGGTTTACATTTATACAATATTTGCAAAAGCTGGTTCAGCTGGTACCTATGGCATTGTCCATGTGCTACTTTTGTTGGGTCAGAGACTGCAGGCAAAAATAAAAAAAAAAATCACACAATGCTTCTGATTTGCTGCTGCAACAGGAACATTTCCAGCAGCTTTTCTGCTCTCTCTGATTTCAACTGAATTAATTCTGAGTGCTAGTAGCTCTTCAGTGAAACAGAAATGACTTATACAGCCTCACATTGGCAGTGAAAATCCTCATGGGAGCCATTTTTAATTTTGGAAGAAACTTGCTCTAAAAGCAGCTCTTCCTCATCATACCTTGGCAAGAGAGGAAGGAAATTCCTCCATTTCAGTAACAGATATTTTAAGTGATTTGCCCTTAAATACTGAGATAATCTTGAGATTTGCCTAGTACCCCATCTGCCACTTAGTTACTTTTGGTACTGTGCAGAGAAAAGATAAGTGGTTTCAAATTCAATGAACAATTGCAACCTTATCGGTAATTGTAATTCTTTTAGCTTTAGCTCCTTTCCATCTTTTTATGACAACTATATATTCGCATGCTAGGTAAGGCTCAAAAGTCATCTCTTCTGAAGTCTTCTCTGTGTTTGTCACTCCTGCCTCTGAACCCTTTTAGCATGTTGTGCATGTCCTAGTCATAATAGCAATAATATTATAACGGAGCTAATGATCATTGAGCACATCCCATATACCAAGCAACATGCTAAGCACTTTATATCCATGATGTATTTTCCTTTTTGTAAGAATTATGTAAGAAATGTGATATTGGTATTTTATACCCATTTTATAGATTAAAATGTCCTGCCTCCCACTTCTGTGCCAGGCAATTCCATGCCTTTGTATGCAAGGCATTTCAGAAAATATTTTGTAAAGTTTAATGCAAGGAAATCAAACATTAGCCTTACATGTTACCAGGAAGGATCTATTTTCAAAAAGCTACAAAATACTTTAAGCTCTTAAACTGTACGTCACTCTTAGATACGAGCTTCAATGATACGTTTGAGCATATTACATATGTTCTTTAATTTGGTTCCTTTTTGTACAGGCATTTTTAATATACTATCTTTTAGTGTATTTGCTTGTAGGGATGTTTTTTCTATATGAAAAGCATTCACTGTTCCGTTTGTGAGAAAAACATTGGTTAAGATACCATTTAAAATATTTGGAAATAGCAATGTTTTTAATACAATCATATTTGAGAAAAATTGTATTTATCTTACACATATTTAAATTACATATTGTAACTTATAAATAATCCAATGATGGCTTGATATTAATATTTCCAAAGAGAAAATACAGGTGTCAGAGATGCCTATTAGTCAGTGTCTTTTCTATTAATCCAGAACAAGCTCTTATCGCATGACATTCTGTGACATCTCTGTTTGTATTTTGGCTGCTTGCTCACCTCATATCAGATAAATAGCCTGCTTATGTCATGTCTTTTCAAGTAATGAAAAGAGGTTTCCCATCTCTGTGGCATAGGGCCTCCAGGTCACTACAAAGGCACTCTAGGTGGTGCATGAGTGCCAGAAGAGATTAATGCATTCTTCCTCTGAGCAGCAAACTTTCAGATTTATAATTATTAGCAGCTTAAAGGCAGGAGATTACGGCTCAAGAGAAAGGCAAAAGTAACTTCTAGAAACAAAGAGGTTCTTCAAAGTATAGACAAAAGGCCAATATTTCCAACTTTTCCATTGGTTTGAGTCATCCTGAAGTGTTCCTTTTACTTGTGTGACTTTCTCTTACTGGGCTTACATCTACCACTCTACTCACTTTTCCATGTATACCTGAGTTTTATGCCTCTTAGAACACTGGACAATCTATATGTTTGAATATTTATTATAGCATTAGGAAGTGGCTAAGGATGCTTATTAAAGATGATTAACTGAGAGTATTTTCTCAAGTAAATAGAATAA
The DNA here is from genome assembly GCF_000001405.40 of Homo sapiens. Classification (NCBI taxonomy): domain Eukaryota; kingdom Metazoa; phylum Chordata; class Mammalia; order Primates; family Hominidae; genus Homo; species Homo sapiens. The sequence goes on along the minus strand of NC_000004.12, from coordinate 47,073,356 downwards.
GCAAGAAAGAACTGTTTCTAATTAAGGAAAACAAACAGTTTGTCTTAATATGCCTGTTACAAGAATATATCCAACTTTTATTAGGAGAGCTCTAAATATGTCCAGACATTCGGATGGTAACAAAGGGGCTATGCTGTTTTCCTTCTTTCCAGCAACGTCATTGATGAGCTTACTTCCTTATGCCTCCACAATTTTCAAAGAAGATAAGAGGAAGAGAAGCACCCTAGACAGTGGAAAACAGCTATTGCCATCAAGGAGTCTGTATTTAATCCAATTGTAGACACACTTTGAGGTTAACTGTAAGTATTTGTGTTTTAATAGGTTTTCTGATAGGTGATAGTCTATAGGTCTATAATAAGAATTGTCTAAATTAAAGAAATGAACTATTCTAAGTGTGCTGCACAACAGAAATATTAAGTAAATACTAAATAATGGTGACATTGTCAATGCTTAAAGTCACATTAACAATGCTGATTAAATAGCAGCATTAATTTAAGTGTTGCCAAATTGGCTGTGTAATTTCTGAATGTTAATTTAATTAAATTAGTACCAACATAAATAACATAGTTTTCAAGAAAACCATCGCAACTCAAAACAGAATTTAGCTTACTAAATTCATCTATATTTTGTCACATGATACAATACATAATCACTGCTGCAGAAATATCATTCTTAGGAACCAAGAATATATATGTAGATTAAAATTCACAGCATTGCCTTATGCAAACTTAAATTTCCAGATAGATATTAGAGAGGCATTATCAAACATGATACCACATAGTAAAAGTAGTAGTTAGCCAAATATTATAGGAAAAAAATAGCAGATTCCTTTATAATGCTTCTTATATGATACAGACTCTGCTGGGAACCACAGTAGCAAACTAACCTTTCCTTTTTCTCTGGTAGCAACAGCCTTTGGTAGCTTGAAGAATTACTACTAAAACATGTTTGGCTTGAATATATAACCTGCTGCGAGTTATAAAATATTAAACTCTAACTCCTTCCCTTAGACTGTGATATCAAAAGAAACCCTCAACAATGTACATTCCAGAATTGTAATCCATGTGTAATCTCTATGGTAAATGTCATCAGTTGCTTAAAATGGTAAAGCCACAGGAAGCCACTACACCTAAGCACTGCAGTGTAATAATAATCTTGATTGAATAAATATACTTGAGAGTCAAAGTTTACTTTAGAGGGCACAACTTAAAAAGAAATTTGAAACTTTTTCAAGCCAGGAAAATATGTTCTTTTTCTATCCAGTCAAGATGACTTTTTGCATTGTATCACTTCTACTTGTTTTTTTTTTTTTTCCCTTAACTGATGACTAAGAGATTACAATGACTTCATTTCCTCTGTAAATCATAGAGTTGTTTAAGGAAATTTACAATCACATAATGGTTCTCAAAATATTCTAACCTCAGTTTCATCACCCCTGTCGCCCTCATCACTCAATTAAAATAGAACATGCTTTCTATGCTTTGCTAAAAAATAGGTTACATATGTATTATATTTTCATTAGCTGGCTTGAGAGTTAAGAATTATAAACAATGGAAAAGAGTTCATTTAACAGATACCTTTTGAATGCCCTTCATATGCACGGTGCTGTTCTAGACACTGGGAATAAATTAGAGAACCAAATAGATAAATGTCCCAGCCTTATGCAAGCTAGTATTTCCTATTGAGGAGAGACGGAAAAAAAAAAAAAAGAAAAAAAAATAAGTACATGTGGATATATGTAGTATTTCAGGTATTGGTAAGTTCTATTGAGAAAATTAAAATAAAGTAATGAAGATAGGAACTGCTGGCTTGAGAGGGGAGCAGGGGTTGGTTGGAGGTGTGTGCCATTTTATACCTTGTGAAGGGAATGCTGGGAACAGAAAGGAGGCAGGCATGGCTGGGGAGAGTGAGGAATCAGGAAAGTAGGGAGGACTAGAAAGATTGTGTAGGCCAAACTAATGCTTGTAATTTTCTTTTGAGTAAGAAAGGAAGTCATTGACATGTGGGAGCAAAGGAGGAACATGATCTGACTTGGTGCTTAAGAGGATCACTCTGGCTGCTCTGTTGTGCATAGATGGTGAAGGTTTGGTACTGAAACACAGAAATTAGTTCAGAAGCTTTTGCTATCATTCAGAATTTAGACAATAGCAATAGCAATGTGGGGAGAAGTAATTAGACTCTGAATATAGTAAGAAGGCAAAGCGTTTAGAAGTTCCTGATGGGTCTGGCACAGGATATGGAAGAAAGAGAGACATCAAAGTTGACCCCATTAAATGGACGATCTGAGCAATTAGAAGAATGGTGTTGCTTCTTGCTGAGATAAGAAAAATTGTAGGACGAGAAGTCTAGGTCACAGTAGCGGCTGGGAATAAGGATTTTGTTTGGATATGTTAAATTTGAGATGCGTATTAGACAAATAAATGGAGATGGCAAGTAGATAGTTATATGAAGAGTCTGGAATTCATGCTGGAGATCTCAGATTTAGAAAGTCCTTAGAGTGAAGTTGGTATTTAAAGCCATTAGACTGGATGAACTCATTCATGGAGTAGGTGGAAAACAGAAAAGGTCTAAAGAATGAAACCTGGGATAGCTCAAAGTTTAGACATTAGGAGATAATCAGTAAGCAGCAAAGGAAGCTGAGAAGGAGTGGCTGACAAGGGAGAAACCTAGATGTAGTAGTATTTTGGATAACAAATAGACAAAAGTTTCAAGAAGGGCAAGTGCAGGCCGGGCGCGGTGGCTCATGGCTGTAATCCCAGCACTTTGGGAGGTCGAGGCAGTTGGATCACCTGAGGTCAGGAGTTCGAGAACAGCCTAGCCAACATGGTGAAACCCTGTCTGTACTAAAAATACAAAAACTAGCCGGGCATGGTAGCTGGCGCCTGTAATCCCAGCTACTTGGGAGACTGAGGCAGGAGAATCGCTTGAACTCGGCAGGTGGAGGTTGCAGTCAGGTGAGACCACACCATTGCACTCTAGCCTGGGCAAAAAGAGTGAAAACTCTGTCTCAAAAAAAAAGAAGGCTGGGCACGGTGGCTTACGCCTGTAATCCCAGCACTTTGGGAGGCCAAGGCAGGTGGATCTCACGAGGTCAGGAGTTTGAGACCAGGCTAACCAATATGGTGAAACCACATCTCTACTAAAAATACAAAAATTAGCTGGGCATGGTGGTGCTTGCCTGTAGTCCCAGCTACTTGGGAGGCTGAGGCAGGAGAATGGCTTGAGCTCAGAAGGCGGAGGTTGCAGTGAGCCGAGATCATGCCACTGCACTCTAGCCTGGGTGACAGAGCGATACTTGGTCTCAAAAAGAAAAGAAAAGAAAAAAAAAAACAGCAACAACGAAAAAGAAGGGCAAGTGCAATATTTTCACTGAATAAGATGACTGAGAATGACCATTAGGGGTAGCAACATGGGGGTCTTTATTGATCCTGACATGAGGTGTTCTGGTGGAGTACCGGAAACGGAGGCTAATTTCAGTGGGCTTGAAAGGAAATGCATGGAAAGAAATTGGAGATTGTGAGTATAGTCAACACTTTAAAAAATGTTTGTTATAAAGAAATAAAGAGAAATAGGACTATATTTGAGATAAAAATGCACCATGGCAAATGAGAAAAGAAAAGGAGAGATTTCCACTTAACCTATCAGAAAAGTTGTTAATGTAGAGGATTTTGATGGACAGGAATGAGAGGAAGGCCTTTCTAATCAGGAGAACATATTTAAAGTACAAAAGTGTTTTAGGAGTAGCACTGAGAGGTGTGGCTGGAGAGAGTGTGGTTCCTGAGGGTATAAGCTGGAATGAAGAAAAAAATGCAATCAGAAAATTAGGTGAGAGTCAAACTGTAGAAACTACAGAATATTGGCTGAGCAGCTTAGACTTTAAGTGATGTAACAGAAAATTAGCAGTCATTTTTCAACATAAATATTTTTAATGAAACTCTGGCAAAATATTTGGATTACAGGGTTCATTGGAGGACTGAACAGAATGGCAAAAGGAGATAATCAGAAAATAATTTCATTTTTGAAGGGGGAGGAATAAAAGTCTCAACTAGAAAGTAGAATAGGACAGATTTGAGGAATATTTCAAAATATATAATCAGTTATCTGTAGTGACTCAGGGAAGAAAGAGTTTATGACAACACGGGTTTAGGCAGACTGGTGATATATTTAACATGGTAACAGAAGAGGAAAACATTGGTTTGTGGGTAGTGGTTTTCTATCTCATGCCAAGCATCCTGGTTCAGTGCTGATCTAACTTAATCTCACATGGGGAGGTTCTATGGGTGCTCCAAAAATGGAAATGGAGGAAAGAAGGCAAAATTTAGAGATGAGATGAGATTAGTTTGGAATAAATGCCCAGAGTGATAAAAAGGCAAACTTGGAGAAGTCATCAGTCTTTGGAGAAAGCCAGGGGTTGGCATCTCTCCCTGTTTTTACAGCCATACCTCATTTTATTGTGCTCCACAGATATTGCATATTTTACAAATTGAAGGTTTGTAGCAAGCCTGCATCGAGCAAGTTATTGGTGCCATTTTTTTTAAACAGCATGTGCTCACTTCATGCCTCTGTATTACATTCTGGCAATTCTCATAATATTTTAAATGTTTTCATGATTATTATATCTGTTATGTGATCTGTGATCAGTGATCTTTGATGTTACTATTGTAATTGTTTGAGGGTGCCATGAATCATGCCCATATAAGAGAGCAAACAATTGATAAATGTTTTGTGTGTTCTGATTGCTCCACCAACAAGCTGTTTCCTCATCTTGCCCTCACTCTTTGAGCCTTCCTATTCTTTGAGACACAAAAATACTGAAATTAGGCCAGTTAATAACCCTACAATGACTTCTAAGTATTCAAGTAAAAGAAAGAGTTGAATGTCTCTCACTTTCAATCAAAAGTTAGAAATGATTAAGCTTAGCCAGGAAGGCATGTTGAAAGCCCAGATAGGCTGAAAATTGGTCTCTTGCACCAAAGAGTTAGCCAAGATGTGAATGCACAAGAAAAGTTCTTGAAGCAAATTTAAATGCTACTCCAGTGAACACACAAATGATAAGAAAGTGAAATAGCTTTATTACAGACGTGGAGAAAGTTTTAGTGATCTGGATAAATGATCAAATCAGCCACAACATTACTTTAAGCCAAAACCTAATCCAGAGCAAGACCCTAACTATCTTCAATTCTTTCAAAGTTAAAAGAGGTGAGGAAGTTGCAGAAGAAAAGTTTGAAGCTAGCAAAGGTTGGTTCATGAGGTTCAAGAAAGGAAGCTGTCAGAATACTATACAGCCATAAAAAGGAATGACATTTCCTTTTCAGAGACACGGATGAAGCTAGAAGCCATTATCCTCAGCAAACTAATGCAGGAACAGAAAACAAAACACCACATGTTCTCACTTAGGAGTGGGAGCTGAACAATGAGAATACATGGACACATAGGGGTAAACAACACACACTGGGGCCTGTTGGGAGTGGGGTTAAGGGGAGGGAGAGCATCAGGAAGAAGAGCTAATGGATGCTGGGCTTAGTACCTAGGTGATGGGTTGATCTGCGCAGCAAACCATTTACCTATGTAACAAACCTGCATATCCTGCACATGTACCCCAGAACTTAAATAAAAGTTGAAAGGAAAAAATAAATAAATAAAAATAAAATAAAACGTACTCGTGTTCCACTCCAGCCTGGGCGACAGAGCGAGACTCAAATAATAACAATAACAATAATAGTAATAATAATAATAATAAAATATACTCATGCTCAGAAAAAAAGGAAGGAAGCCACCACTATAACATAAAAGTCCAAAGTAAAGCAGCAAGCATTAATGTAGAAGCTGCTACAAGTCATCCAGAAGATTCAGCTAAGATAATTGATGAAGTTGGCTACACTAAACAATAAATTCTAAATGTAGATGAAACAGCCTTCTATTGGAAGAAGATGACATCTAGAACTCTCATAGCTAGAGAGGATATGTCAATATCTGCCTTCCCTTCACAGCTTCAAAGGACAGGCTGACCCTCTTGTTAGGGGCAAATGCAGCTGGTGACTTTAAGTTGAAGCCAATGCTTATTTACCATTCTGAAAATCCTAGGACTCTTAAGAGTTACGGTAAATCTACTCTTCCTGTGCTCTATAAATGAAATAACAAAGCCAAGATGACAACATGTCTGTTTGCAGCACAGTTTACTGAATATAGTAAGCACATTGTTAAGATCTACTTCTCAGAAAAAAAAGAATCCTTTCAAGATAGCACTGTTCATTAACAATGTACCTGGTCACCCAAGAGTTCTGATGGAGATGTAAGAGGAAACTGATGCTGTTTTCCAGCCCTCTAACACAACATTCATTCTGCATTCATTCGTTCATTCGAGGAGTAATTCCAGGTTTCAAGTCCTATTATCTAAGAAAACATTTTGTAATATTATAGCTACCAGAGATAATGATTCTTCTGATTTATCTGGGAAAAGTAAATTGAAAACCTTCTGGAAAGGATTCACCATTCTAGATGTCATTAAGAACATTTGTGATTCATGAGAGGAGGTGAAAATATCAACAGTAACAGGAGTTTAGAAGAAGTTGATTCCAACCCTCATGGATGATTTTGAGGGGTTCAAGACTTCAGTGGAGGAATTGACTACAGATGTATAGAAATAGCAGGAGAACTAGAATTGGAAGTGCAGCCTGAAAATGTGACTGAATTGTTGCAATCTCATGATAAAACTTGGATGGATGAGGAGTTATTTCCTATAGATGAACAAATAAAGTGTTTTGTTTTAGATGGAATTTATGCCAAATGAAAACGCTGTGACCATTGTGGAAATCACAACAAAGGATTTAGAATATTCCATAAACTTAGTTGATAAAGAAGCAGTAGGGTTTGAAAATATTAACTCCAATTTTGAAAGAAGTTCTACTATGAATAAAATGCTATAGAACAACATCACATGCTATAGAGAAGTCTTTCATGAAAGAAAGTGTCAATCTCTGCAGCAAACACCATTGTCTTATTTTAAGAAACTGTCACATCAACTTCAGCCTCAGCAACCACCACCCTGATCAGTCAGCAGACATCAACATCAAGGCAAGATGATCATTAGCATATTTTAGTAATAAAGTATTTTAAATTAAGGTACATGCATTGTTTTATAGACATAATGCTATTGCACACTTAATAGACTGTAATATAGTGTAAACATAATTTTATATACACTGGGAAACCAAAAATTGTGTGTGACTCACTTTATTGCAGTATTTGCTTTATCATGGTATTTCTGGGCACCTAAGCAATTGTTCGTATGGCTTTGACAGCCCTGGCCCATACATCTTATAGTTGATTAATTAAGTTGGTTTTTTCAAAGGAAAGGACATTTTTCTGAGATACAAGTCTCAGTGGCTTACCATAATTAGCCTGACACACAGTACAGACACCTAACTAATCATATAATTTTGAACAAACTATGCTAATAAATATAAATAAATAAATTCTGCTTTTTCAAAATCAATTTTTATTAAAGTTAACCTAATTTTTCCAGGCCTAGGAAACTGTCATCCTATGTTTATCAATGGCTTCATTCCTTTATGGATTTAGGATAGCGCCTTTCCTTTCATCCCTATTTTTTTAGCCTTAAGGACATGAAAACATAACAGCCATCAGTTGTTCAATTTGCAGGAGTTATTTACAGTGTTTGGCTAATTTGAAGACTGGCAAGTTTATATTACACCCAGTGATTTGGAGTTCTCATATTAAGAAGAATTTAAAACAGAGAAATTTCAAGACATTGCCATTCATGGCATATTGGAATTCAATTCTGAAGTATCTAAAGGGTTTATTTTTCTCTTGGCTTAAAGTTCTTTGCACAATACTTTCTTTATCTTCCTTCATGTTTTTATGATGTCAGTTTGTGAATGGAGCTATCATTGTGAGTGATGAGCTGCCTAGCTATCCTGAGAGAACTGAGAAATTGCACAGCCTCAACAAGGAGGCAGTTTTCCAACTTTTGCTAAAGGGGAAAAATATCACATGTCTGCATGAAATAGACAATGCCCATTTGGGTTCAAGGGAAGAAATCTTTATTATGCAAGAGATGAAACATTGTTTTTATTAAGAAGGGTTGTTATTGGTTTGAGGCAGCATTGCACACTGGTGTGTGGGTTTTAATATGCCATTTGTCTTTCCAACATCTACTGCCATTTAAAATGTCGCCAGTTTTTCCCAATGGTGAGGTAAAACCATGGGAACGGCATTCAAACCACTTCACAGAGTACAAGCCAATTTTAACAAATTCATAATTAAAACCCAGCCAAATCTCTCCTTGTACTGCCAAAGTCCTTCCTGTGTATTTTCCAATTAAATATCCTTTCTCTGAGGAAGCAGGCTTCTAGAGAGGCCAAAACTGAATCACTAATGCCTTTATAACAATGAGACCTCTCTGTTCTCATATCACTTTTAAGTACCTTAATCCTATTGGCTTTCACAAACATTTGTAGAAATAATGCATCCATTCGTTCATTTGATGGATATTTATTGAACACCCTCTACACACTAAAAACTGTTCTAGACTTTGAGGATGCATCAATGAACAAAACAATGTCTTTTCAGTCATGGTGCTGTCATCCTAGCAGTTAAAGCAAATAAGCAAATACAAAAGTACACAGCTAATATAAATATTAGGTTGATAACTGCTTTTCTTTTCTTTTCTCTTTTTTTTTTTTTTTTTTTTTTGAGATGGAGTCTCCTCGCTCTTATTTCCCAGGCTGGAGTGCAATGGCGCGATCTTGACTCACTGCAACCTCCTCCTCCCTGGTTCAAGCGATTCTGCAGCCTCAGCCTCCCGAGTAGCTGGGATTACAGGCATGTGCCACCACTCCTGGCTAATTTTTTTTGTATTTGTAGTAGAGACGGAGTTTCACCATGTTGGCCAGGCTGGTCTCGAACTCCTGACCTCAGGTGATCCATCGGCCTCAGCATCCCAAAGTACTGGGATTACAGGCGTGAGCCACCGCACCTGGCCTGATAACTTCTTTGAAGAAAAATAAGGTAAAGAAGAGAAGAATGACAAAGTATCCTACTTTAGTTAAAATAGGCAAGAAAGACCTCACTGGAGAAGGACTTTTTAGAGATCTGAGTCAGAGCAGGACATTCCAGGAAGGGACAAAGCAAGTGCACAGGGCAGAGGCAAACTCACCTTGAAACTAAAGAAGCTCAAGCTTCAAGGCTGCTCACTTGATCAAACTCTTGCAAAGGCCCTGGGAAGGGTTCTAGGCTTGAATTCACATGCTCATGTATTATTTTTTTAATTTAATTTAATTTTAGTTTTAAGTTCTGGGATACATGGGTATGTGTGCAGGATGCGCAGTTTTGTTACATAGGCAAACGTGTGCCATGGTGGTTTGCTGCACCTCACAACCCAGTACCTAGGTATTAAGCCCAGCATGCATTAGCTCTTTTCTCTAATGCTCTCCCCCAGCCCTGCCCTCCCCTGACAGGCCCCAGTGTGTGTTGTTCCCCCGCCATGTCCATGTGTTCTCATTGTTCGGCTCCCACTTATAAGTGAGGGCACGTGGTGTTTGGTTTTCTGTTCCCGTGTTAGTTTGCTGAGGATAATGGCTTCCAGCTTCATATCCCTGCAAAGAACATGATCTCGTTCCTTTTTATGGCTGCATAGTATGCAGCTCATGTATTTCTTGTAAAATTTGCAAAATCATGAATTTTAACCACAATTGGTTATTTTCTGCTGTTTTTCACTCCTCTTTCTACCTTCATCATGCTCTCCTCACTCCTGTCAGATAGAGTTGGAGTGGTCAGTGTCCTTGTTGGCATCATGTGGAGACTCGTTTTGTTTGTGTAGTGGGATATATTTATGTGGTTTGCAATTACTTTTTACTTAAGCTTTGTTGGCTTCCCAGTGTAGGAATCCAAGGACACAGCTACCATCCATTGTGCCGACATGTAGCAGACAGTTATTTAATGTAAAAATATTATGTTATGGTGATTTTCAGCTTATTTAAATTTATAAATTTGCTGTGTTTTTTTATCTTAAATAAATATTCACTTTCATATCCAATGTTTGTATTCACTTACCTAAAAAAGGTTCCTCAAATGGCATAAGCTTCAAGTTCATGGCCCTTGTTAGGTTCTGACCTGGGAGCCTGCTTGGCACGTTCAAGGCCTGCATCGGTCGTGGTTAATCTCATTCCAGCCAAGTGAACACCGGAAAGAAAGGTGAGAGACGAGCTTGGGGAGTGGCCACAGAGGGATTGCTTAGGGCCTTAGAGCTATATAAAATCTTTGGATTTTATTTTAAGAGAGAAAGCCATAAACGGTTTTGAGTAAGAAGTGATATAATCCAAAAGGCATTTAGAAACATCCCTATGGCTTCCATATGGAGAATGGATTTGAGTGTAGCAGAACTGGAAACTCAGAGGCTAGTTAGATGTTATGATTCAGGGAAGGGATAGTATGGCTTGGTTTTGGGTGGTGGTTTTGAATGTAATCGAATTTGGGATATATTTGAAGGTATGTCTGACACAATTTGTTGATGAATTGGAAGTGAGAGGTGAGAGAGTTGGGACTTGATAAGGTAACCAGCAGGTAAAAGAATCAAAACAGAGAGTTTAAGAGACATGCTTAAGGACGCCTTGTTTATTACAAGAGCACCAAATTTCCTGACTTTGAGAACAGTTTTCTTTCCACTATTAAGATTTTGATGAGAATTAGAAGGCTATAGAAAAATCTTTTGAATGTATTGGAAAGAGTTAAATAAATATTGCTTTTGAAGAAGAAGAGCAAAATATTATATTCTCCTAGGATATACGACAATATTTACATCAAATCATGTTACATAACTACTTTAAAATAAATTGCCTAATCTGTTTTACTGAATTGTTACAAGTTAACATTTAAATATATATATATATATGAAAATATATAACCAAAGAACATTGTAGATAAGCCAAATTATCTAGAGAAAGGCATAACATTTTCTGATGTAAACAGGTTTCCATTATATCAGCAAAACAACCAAGCAACAACAAATCTCTTGCTTGTCAAAAAAAAAAAAAAAGACATTGCTTCCGACTTGACCTGAAGGAGTCACTGGAAATCTGATGGGAATAGCTTGGGACTAAAAAAATCCTTTTGAGAAAATGACCCTGTCTGATTTCAGCTCTGTTCTTCGTGGAATTTGGTATAAATGGCTTACAAGTGCCTCTTAAGGTGATGCAGTTCAAATCCTATCAGCTGTGTCACATCAGATTGTAAGTGGGCTCGCCAGGACTTCAGGACCCAGTAAGGTGCAAAGCAGCATAAATGAAAAGGCCTCATAATACTAAATAATGCAATAAGCTTTGCAAGGTGAAGATAAATATGACACTGATCTATCTTGGCAGCATCATGTCAGTCATTATTATAGAATGCAGAATTCAACGTGGGAATGAAAAATAAGAATGAATATTACCATTTAAGAGGCGCTAAACTGAAACAAGTCTCATATAAAAAATTCACCTGAGGAAAAACAGCTCACATCACAAGATGACCAAAAGAAAGTATTTACAAGACAGTCACACAGTGATGAGCATTTTGAGGAGAAATCATAGGTTGATAAAATTAGATTCTAAGAAGACCACCCCCCACAGAGGAATTACTTTGAAGACGAGACGTTTGCTTGCACTGTCTTAGATGCTTTCAATATAGCTTCTGCATGAAGCAAAGGCTTTTTGAACTTTGCGTTGCTCACTGACATGACTCATTTCTTTTAGTTTAGTTTATTCCTTAAAACATTGTTAACCACAGAGAATCTGCTAAGTTAATAGCAGAAAAGCAAAGTTATTTTCCTAGTAGGATTTACTAGGGAAGCCAAAATACTTCAGAATCTCTGAATTTAAATTTAAATTTATAAATTTGCTGTGATTTGTTTTCTTGTCTTAAATAAATATTCTCAACCAGCCCTCTTTTCCCTCACTGTCCGAATCTACCAAACCAAAAGTAACCATTTAATCAAATCTTCACTTTGCCAACATCACTTCTCAAAGCTTTTAATTCTTTCCATGAAAAGACCAATGATCCAATTTTTTTAAAAAGCACAATAGCTGTAGTTCACCTTTGTTAGTTTCCATAGAATGGATGGGGGAAAAAAAAGAAAAAAGTCACTTTTTACAGAATCAAATTTTACCTGGGAAACCTGACAGTTCAATTACAGATGTCCAGATTTCCAAACCAAAGAGAAATTTAAATCACATGTCAAAGCCTTTAGAAAAATAGAATTATGTGAAGCATTATTATTTTCCTAGCAAAATATTTTTAAATAAATGGATCTGATAGTTATTTTTTAGTAACTTTGTGTTTCATAATGATAGAATAGAAGATTAAATATGTTTATTGTAGAGTAACCATGGGATATTAATTCTTCGATTTGAAACCATAAAATCCTGGAATTGGACACTTAACATTTAGCAGAAAAATGCTTAAAATGAATAATAGTATAATTTATCCAACCAATTATGAATAATGTAATGAAGAAATGAAGAAATGGTGAAGGTCAACACCGTACATTCATCTTAAAGTGCCATCTTTCTTGTGTGGCTTTCATGACTCATTTTAAGGCTATTTTCATACTGGAAATTAATCGAGGCTGCTGAATTCATTAATATTAGCCTGCCAACACTCATCCCCTAACAGGAACGAGTATTGAAGTGGAATATTCACAAGGAGACAAAGCATGCCACTGACTGCAGGAGAGACCCTGTTGGATTTTTAAACTAAGTATAAAGTCATAAGAGTTGATTTCCTAGTATGCTTTCTATCATACTGCAAACTATCTTTATAATTATTTGCTTGTATTTACTATGACTGAAAACAACATGTGGAAGTTAATCCCACCAAGAGAAACAAATAGTCTTACCAATGCAAGTACAGAAATGTTTACAGGGTTGTTTTATTCTGCGGTTATGGGGCAATACCCTGGAAAGCTGAGATATTTCTGTGGGTTTTATTTATCCCACTTGCATATGACACCTCTTTACTTACTATGTCATTCAGGATATGATGGTAAACTTAAGAGTAGTCTGGTATTCAGGTATGACAGGACTGTCATTCCAGTTCCCTTACTTTCTGTGTGATTCTGTATAAGGTTTATAGATTGTCACCTATATAAAGCACATGTCAGAAAGTTCACTATTGGAGATCATCTTTATTCCTTGATGTTTTTTCTGGCAAATAAAATTCATGAATTATAAAGCATGGGAACACTTTGTCATCCATTTCCTAAGGTGTGTGCCCCAGAGAATTGTCATTCAAGTGTATTTATTTGGTGACACCATAAAATAATAGAAATGACATGAGTGATTGATGAGTCAAAAATGATTCCATATCTTGGTACTTGCATAGTACCACTGACAGAAATTAGAAATAATGGCAATGATGATTTGGACTGTAAGGTTCTAAGTCCAGTTTTGGAATACTGTGTTTGACAGCGGGTAGATTTTACAATTGGAAATGACCAGCAAGCGGTTGAATAAGAGGCTTACTATCTGGAGGATGTGTCAGGGCTAGAGGTAGGTATTTGGAAGTTACCAGCAGAGAAGTTATAGTTAAAGTCATAAAATTGGATAAGCTCTATAAAATTCATGTTTTAGAGGGGAGGCATGGCCTTCCACAACCCATCTTTGACCACCAGAGGCAGAACACCTGCTTCGCATACTGCAGATTTTACTTAGCATAGAATTTCTTACATTTTTTTCTTTAGGCTTTAATGTTGCAGCAAGAAAATATCTTTACAACTACATAAAAATATTAAAAAGTCTTTAGGTACAAGATATTCATTAATCCTCAGACACCATAAAATGACATTAATAGAAGCTACATCTATGAATTTGTCACATAAAATAGAGAAATCAGCCAGGTGCCGTGTTGCATGCCTGTAGTCCCAGTTACTCAGTAGGGTGAAATGGAAGGACTGCTTGAGCCCAGGAATTTAAGACTAGCCTAGGCAATGTAACAAGACTCCTTCTCAAAAAAATTACATTAAAATTAAAACTAGACAAGTTAAAGGGCTTAGTTATACCATAAGAAATCAGATACCACAAAACAAACCTAGGGGTAAACAGCATGCTCCCTCATCCCAGCAACACATAGGTAAGTAAAACTGGGCTGTGGAATGATCAGAAAGTTATTCTTATTTGTAGTAGTCTTGAAGAATCCATAGTATAGAGAAGTTTCTCTAAGACTGAATTAGCTCATAGCACTCCTCCTCAATTTTGCCTCACATGAAGATTAAAGTGGTATTTGTACCAACCGAATTGAAGTTTTCTCCATGATAAATTAGATGCAAAATTTGACATTGAAATCTTCTCATTGACTATCAGTTAATTAGTTAATCAACTAATAAGATGGACTTCAGCATTGATTATTAGTATAAACCACCATTTTACTTATTTACTAACTAGAAAATGTGCCATTTAGCCTATGCTTTGTTTCTTACTTTGAATCCAGTTTTTTGTTTCAAAAGATTATTCCAATTTCTTAGTGATTAAAACTTTATATCTACTGGGGTGGACAAGAATGTCAATGACAGACTCTTCATAAAAATAAAAGGCATTACAAAGGCAATCTATTAGAGTTGTCTCCAAACCTTCCAATGAAACCTTACTGGGAACTGCAATATGTAAAACATATTGCAGATAAAATATCCCCTATGGAAGCAAGGTCCACCAACAGCTCCCTCAGCCTGCATTACCCCCAGGGCACCTCTGCGGAAATCCAAGGGGGCACGGTTTAAACATTCCTGGGTAATCTAATATCCCACCTGCCATGTGAATCATATCCCCAAAAGCCCGGATGCATGGATATCCAGTGTTTTGAGAGTCCCTCTAGTGACATACCTCATGAGGCCCTACCTTGTTCAAGGCTTTCTGCATGTCTAATTAAATTACTTCCACTGGTAGTTCCTTGTCTATAAGGCATTTGTTTATTCTTTTAAAAGATCTGTTTATGCCTGAGAGAATTCAGGTTGTTTAATCAGGCATGATTTCCATTTATAGAAACCATATAGACTTTTTCCCAATCTATTTGCTATTTGTTCAATGAACCTGCCTCTTTCTACAGGTCAGTGATTACTAAGAGCTTTTTGAATGATGATGGACCGACCCTTCTGCACAGAAATGAATGCTTTGTTCTCTAAATAGAAACTCTAGGTATTATCAGCATCTCGTGAATCCTTGACCTTCTTTAACCTCACAGGCTATATAAAATTATGTTTTGAATGAATCACCTGCCTCTCACAACTCTGTGCAGCCTCTTCAGGTGGTAGATTTTACTATTGCTTATTCTCATGAAAAATCTGTGCTATGCATTTTGTGGTCTCCAGACTTCAGTCTCTTGCTCAGAGTTTGGCTGTTTACTGCTATGTTGTCACTTTCCTACCATAGCTAAAGTCATTCCCTATCAGGAACATACTTTACCACACTTCTGTCCATTCTATCCTGTATAATATCTTTGTGAGGTGGTATACTTGTGTAAAAATTCATGCATGCTTCAACACTAGTGACTATTCCATGTCGGTGATTGGATTTTGCTGGGTTAGGCCATTACCAGATTGCAGTCCGTATTTTCACAAAGTTTACACTCTCCTCTTACATCCAGGTTTAGACACACTTGCAGCTAATCCTAAGAGATGAGGAGAAAATGTGAATCTATTCTGGAAAGTTCACTGCTATGTAGTTAGCCAGGGTGGGAGTAGGAGATACTGACAGATCTCAATAACTAAGCTTACTGTTCATTGGGCTTCAGTGGTACTGCATGTGCACAGGATACGCTACTTAAAATATCCAATTTGTTCCTGTGTAAAGGAACTCATCTTTAGCCTAAGCACTAAATGTGCTAGAATTGTCCTATTCAGGTTCTCTTCTGATGGTTTCTAATTTTGTGTGACATTTTTATATTTAATTCTTTGTTTTGCATCTAACTTCAATTCCCTAGGGAAATTCTTTTTAAATAATAATATTAATCAAAATTCAATGAATCACATTGTATAAAAACTCACAAATGTCTGCTATTTAATAGAACACTTTGTGTGCCAAGATTATTAAAGGTACCATGTCCTTTTTTACAAGATTGAAGGCTCAGCAGAGACACAATGAGAGAGGTCTAGATTCCTCAGATCATTTACTCTCTTCCTTATTGTGAGTGGTAAATGTAAATGTAGACCAGAGAACTGCATTTGAGACCATGCCTTATGGTTTGTTTGTTTGTTTGTTTGTTTTTTGAGACAGAGTCTTGCTCTGTCGCCCAGGCTGGAGTGCAGCGGCGTGATCTCGGCTCACTGCAACCTCGTCTCCCAGGGTCAGGCGATTCTCCTGCCTCAGCCTCCTGAGTAGCTGGGATTACAGGGGCATGCCACCATGCCCAGCAAATTTTTGTTTTTTCAGTAGAGACAGGGTTTCACCATGTTGGGCAGGCTGGTCTCAAACTCCTGACCTCATGATCTGCCTGCCTTGGCCTCCCAAAGTGCTGGGAGTACAGGCGTGAGCCACTGCTGCCAGCCACCTTATGATCTTATAGATGATTTCTCAATAACGATCTCTTTCTGTCTCTTTCGCTCATTTCTCCTTTCCCTGTTTGTTTCATCCAGTGAAGATTTGGTAAAGATCATATCATCATGTCAGCTCACATCCTTTCCTTTTTTTTGTAGCCCTTCTGTGAGTTAATTTTTGACCAGCAACGTTCCCAGCAATTTAGGCCCAGGCTTGAGTCTTTCAGGGCATGGATTCCCAACCAGTTTGTCCATTTGTATGTGTATTTCTCTGGTTTTGCTTCTCACTCATGTTTGACTTTTGATGATTAAGGTAGAGAAAAAAACGATTGCCTAGCATGCTACCTTTATATGTGACCTGAGCCACCACCCTATCTCATTTAATCCTTGACATGTTAAGACCTGAGAAGTCCTACCACAAACCTTGGTATGAAAGGTTGGGAAATACAGTATCTATTAGTCCAGGCAAACTCAAGAGTGAAACAAAAGCAGTGATATTGAACAAATGCCTTCTAAGCTGGGTCGGAGAGGGTGGCTTCCTAAAAGAAGAAAGAAGGTGAAAATATTGATTTTAAATTTTCTCTACCAGAAAAAAATGAGACATATTAAAAGACCTCTGAAAGGACAGTTTTTGCTCTTATTCTGTAACATTCCTATTCGGCTTAAGGTCTATTTTTCAATGAGGGCAGGACGTACATGGAATAGAAAGGATGCTGCAATTTTTTCCCAGCCTGAGTCATTAATAGAACAAGAGTTGAAATTTGGATGTATCAGCAAGGTGTAATAGAAACCATTTCCATAGAAGATACTTAAGATGTGTTCATGGATGATTTAACCTTGGTTTAGGACTTACTAATGCTAAAAGTTCACTATTAAAAACACATTATTGTACATAAGCCTTTGCATTTTGTAAGAGCCAACATTCCCTAAGAAGAGTCACAGAATAAGCCTTATCAGTGGACTAAATATGATTAAAAAATAGGTTTCATGTCCAGTCTTGAAAGCAGGCTTTTAATTTTTCTTTAATTAGGAAGTAGCTATAAAGACCATGAACACGCAAGGTGCCCAAAGGATGGGAAGGGCGAAGTCTAAACATGAGAGAGTAGAAGTGGAAGGACAACTTTGCTCAAGGTTTCCTGATCTCTAGCTGAGAATTTTCCTAACTCATGGCAAATGGGTCCATTTGGGCCCTAGAAATAAAGCCCAGGTGTCAAGTGAGACATCTTCCCTCTCACCTGGTGGCTCCATCTCTGCTATGGTGGGATCTGTTTAACTTCAGACTAGCAGAAAATAAGTCATTCTGTTCGGGGAATGTAATTAACATTCTGAACAATATTTCGACAAAGTGCATGCTCGTGTAAATGGTGTCCGCTCGGTTACCACTTGAGTGCCTTCTACACTAAAACAGGTAATTAAAAAGCCCACTACTGAGCTCCTTCAATCTCAACTCAACAAATAACTGCATTAATGGAGAACATTTAATTCCAACCCATAATTAAGTTTGGCAGTCTAAAATTATTCATTTTTTGTTTGAGGTTAACCTTTCTTCCCTGAACATTTTGAAATTCTTCCAAACCATCTCTATTCAAGATTCTATGCTACACATGCATCTAGAATACCTTTCTTTCGACAAACAATTAAATTACTTTGTTAAAGAGACATAAGAAGTAGCAATGTCTTATTTTCCCTGGTTGATAGGAATGTTGGTTTGAAAGATAAATGTTTATGAGTTTTAGAAACTGAATATATATGAGATCATCTTACTTACCCTACCTCCAACTGTAAGAATAAATAATCTAGAAGCCAATGTAACAGTTCAGGTTCTGCCATGATGGAAGAAGTCTATGTCTTCTATTGTGGTTAGGAGTTTTAAAAATAACTAAGTCACCTTTATATTACCAAATCCAATAGGACTTATGAAATGACAACTTTAAAAAATGTTGTCCATAAAGTGTCCGGGTGCAGTGGCTCACGCCTGTAATCCCAGCACTTTGGGAGGCTGAGGTGGATGGATTACCTGAGGTCAGGAGTTGGAGACCAGCCTGGCCAACTTGGTGAAATCCCATCTCTACTAAAAATACAAAAAAATTAGCTGGGCATGGTGGCAGGCACCTGTAATTCTAGCTACTCAGGAGGCTGAGGCAGGAGAATTGCTTGAATGTGGGGAGGTGGAGATTGCAGTGAGCCGAGACCATGCCACTGCACTCCAGCCTGGGCAACAAAGCAAGACTCCATCTCAAAAAAAAAAATGTTGCCCATAAAGTAATAATAATAGTAACAATGCAACTACTCTTTTGAATATTTCTGTAGACCTCAAAAATATCAGGCAGGCATTACCCATTGATCTTCATCGCAGTCCTTCAGTCCAACACCTGCTGCTATTCATGAAGGTAAAGCAGACATC
Organism: Homo sapiens; assembly: GCF_000001405.40. Taxonomy (NCBI): domain Eukaryota; kingdom Metazoa; phylum Chordata; class Mammalia; order Primates; family Hominidae; genus Homo; species Homo sapiens. The sequence continues at coordinate 47,054,433 of NC_000004.12, read as the reverse complement.
ATTATCCCTAATTACATGAAAAAAAGAAGTGAGTCTAAGAGAGTTCAAGTGACTTTTAGAAGATCACGTGGCAAGCACCAGTATAGCAAGAAACAGAAGCCGACCTTCAGACTGTGGTTGAGGGCTCTTTCCACTGAAGTACCTAGACTCTCACTTTCACACATTCTCCTGGTCTCCCTTCTCTCTTTTTGAGTGTTCAAGGTTCTGCCTGTAACTGTTCAAGGTCATCAGTATCAGACCACTCAGGAGCCTTTTATATGCAGATATGACAGAAAAAAAAAACTTGGTAAATGAGTGGTTACTTACATCTTCTTAAAATATGGAAAAAAGACTCTTTTTATAGTATCATATTACACAGGTAATGAGCTTTTTTTTTTTAAAAAAGTCAATTTTACATTTAGGCAGCTACTCATCTAAAGAAATTATTAAAGGATAGGAAAAGTATATAAAATGTGATCCTGGTATTTAAAGAGTTTAGACTTTAGGTAAAGGACAAAAGCAATGCACGTGCAACAATCAGTGAATAGTATGAGACAAAACTACCCAGAGCTCTGAGGGAGAGTCTCTTCAGGCCAGTCATTTTAGCTGTGTTTCTTACCCTGTGGGTAATAGGCGGATACTGTGATTCTCAGCCTAGATCTCACACCCCTTTCAGAACCCACTCATTTTTCCAGTTGCTGGGAGTGGTGGCTGAAATCTCTCAGCTCGGTCACTCTCTAGATATGCCATAGTTGAAAAGGACTTTGTCACCCATGGTCACACCTTCTTTCCAGTGACAGCCCACATCACATGGTTGGCTAATGTTAGGTGGTAGAATCCAGTTGGGATACAAAGACTGCTATAGCTGAATGTTTATGTTCTCTCAAAATTCATATGTTGGAATCCTAACCCTCAATGTGATGGCATTAGAAGGTGGGGATTTGGGGAGATTATAAGCTAATGAAGACAGAGTATTCACGAATGAGATTAAAAGTCATATATATGCATACAGATACATCTAAGGTACCTCTCTTGGGTCCCTGAATCTTTTTGCCTTGAGAGAACACAGTGAGAAGAAGGTTGTCTATGAACTAAGAAGACCTCACCAGACACCAGACCTGCTGGTGCCTTCATCTTGGCGTTCCCAGTTTCCAGAATTGTGAAAAAAATAAATTTTTGTTGTTTATAGCCACAGAGCCTATGATAATTTTGGTATAGCAGCCTGAACAGACTAAGACAAAGACATATGTTTGAATTTCAGATAATTCTGAAGGGTCATTCTTGCTCCAGAGCTCTTCTTGGGGTTAGTAACACATTTGTAGCAATGACATCTTGATTCAGCTTCACCATGTCACCTCTCCCTTTACCTAATGCTCTTGCCCTCACTGCCCCACAGGAGTTGTTCCCAACAGCGTTTTTCAATAAACATCCCAAGAATCACAAATATTCATCTCAGTGTCTCAGGAGAACCCAGCCTGCAACAGCGCCTCATTCTACTCTTCCCTTTTTTCTCACATTTTAATTTCTTCTCTGATTTCCACCAGAATTAACTGCAAGCACTAAACTTGTACTCATCTCAGCTTGCTTGCTCGCTCTCTATTTTTTCTTTCTGTTGCCTTCTTTCAGTTTTTAGATCCATTGGATGCTTCAGAAGCTGATCCGCAAAGCGATGGATACATTGACAGGAAGATGCATAATGCTACAGTCGGGGAGGAAAATGAGAGAACTGAATAGGAAGTCAGAGAGCACTAGATATAAACAGACAGATCAGCAGAGCCAGCAAGAAGACAACAGGGTTTGTGCCTCTGAGAAATTTACAGCATTGATCTTGAATTCTTGGACTCCACCATCTACCATATTTTAAAGGCCACAGTACAAATGGGTCTTAAGGCACACTGTGGCTATACTAGCTCCGTACTTCGGAGTTTGTATGCCAAACCACTTTAAATTGATAGCCATATGCTTGTAAGTAATTGCGCATGTGGTATGTATGGGAACTGAATTACCTCTCCCCCTTGCCTGAATGTGTGTTTGTTTGTGTGGGTATCACACTGATAATATTCACCCTTGAGTTTGCAGCCTCAGAAGGAGATCCTACAGGAAATCAGGAGAGAAAACAATGATTATGCCTTGCTGTCATGCTCTCTTTCCTCAGTAGCCTCAACTCACATCTTTCTCATGTTCCTTTTCAGTAGTGACATGGGGCCTCCATATTGCTTCAGTGTAAAAAGGGGAACTCAAGTTTCTTCAGCAATTACAAGGCACAGGTCTTCTGCTTCCTGTATGCTGGTTATAATCATACTTTATCTTATTTATTTATTTTTTGAGACAGGGTCTCACTCTGTCACCCAGGCTGGAGTGCAGTGGCACAATCTCGGCTCACTGCAACCTCTACCTCCTGGGTTCAAGCAGATTCTACTGCCTCAGCCTCCCGTGTAGCTGAAATTACAGGTGTGTGACACCACACCCGGCTGACTTTTGTATTTTTAGTAGAGACGGGCTCTCACCATATTGGTCAGGCTCATCTTGAACTCCTGGCCTCAAGTGATCTGCCCACCTCGGCCTCCCAAAGTGCTGGGATTACGGGCGTGAGTCATGTCACCCAGCCTTAATCATGCTTTATATGTAACTACTAGTCGGCTGACTTTCTTTGAGACTGAAATAAATTAACCTGAAGCCTTTACCGTCTACTATTAAAAGTCCAGTGCTTTCCCTGGGATTTTTGTGAATATCCAAATATGTTTTCCTGGTTGCCTTTGGCTCTTATTGTTTCTTCTGAACTCTTATTATCATTCTGGTCTCAAATACATGGCTCTTCTCTTCCCTGTACTCAATGCTGACCCAGATGTGGAACTCAGAATTCCCAAAAACTATACCAACAAAGCACTACAAATAAAAGCCTTTATGAGGAAGTGGAGAAGCAATGATGTTTTACAACACTGCAATGAAAACTAACATATAATCAAATGAAAACATCCCTGTTTTTAAGTTCTTCTGTTACTCAACACTGAGAAATAAATACTTGCTGAGAACTTCAACCTCTTGTCTAGTTTCTCAGTTTTATTTGTCTCCAATCTGCCTCTTCTCTCTGGTTCTCTATTTTCTATTCTGCTTTCAACTTTTCTTATACTCTTAAGCAGAAAATTTTAGCCCTTCTTCCCTTCTTAGCTCTAAACATAATTTTGCATTCCCAAAGGCTCATTAACATTTCCCTGAAACAAAGGGCCAGTTATTCCGGATATTGCCCATTAGCACTGTGAAACTGGCAGAGCCTCTGAAATCCCCGTCTTTTTTTTCCCTCCTTCCTGCCAGTCTCAGGGAGTTAGAAGGAGTAGCCCAAAGATTTATTTTCCTACTGACATAAACTCTGCCCTCTTCCTGAGGAAGAAGGAGCAGTTTTGATGAGTTTTAATGGCATTTTTCTTGACCCAACACACAGAGACAAGAAAATTAACAGAGAGGGCACACACAAAACCCGAGCCAGAACCCAGGGTGGGCCCAGTAATAACCCATTCATTTCCCATCATGCTGCTTTTCTAGAACAGATGGTAGCCAGATGAGCCTCCATTACTAGTCAATTAAGGAACCATATGGAAAAAGAGAGTGGAAGGAATGGAAAAATGGAAGACAAGAGAGGAAACATCAGTAATATTGAAATTGAATTTATGATTGAAGTTTTTCTCTTATTTATGTGGAGTTGGGAGAAGAGACTGTGAGGAATCAGGAGATGGAGTTGAACATTTGTTGTCAATTCACTCCTGAATGCAACAGGGAAAATCCAGGAAAAAATAGGCTATCTCACAGTGTTGAATGTCTACTTATAGCAAGCCATTTGCAAAGCAGGTATCCAACAAAAATGATAAGCTGGTATTTATAAATTCTTATTCATCAAAATTATTCTTTGCTTCCTTCAACTCTTTGCATTGGCATTTACTTCCCCCTTTGCATCTGAAATTTCCAAAATGCTTCTTGGGAACTTCTAACAAGCAGCTCTTAAAAAAAATATATGTATGTATATATATATACGTATATACATATATTTGTTGCCTGACAGTATTTCCTTTCTACTAACTCTCCAATAAAATTAGAATTAAATGGATTTTGAACTTACAAAATGATGTACTGGTCTGATGATTTCAATTACAAAGTCACTCTGAAATTATATATTTTCATACCTCAGTGAAATCCACAATGCATTATGCCTAACTGGTAACTTTCTTGAAGTTCACTTTGTGCTGCACCCACCTCCCACCCCAATAACTTAGTAACACCTTTGAAGCAAAGGCAATAAAATTCTGAATTGACCTGACCTGTGTGTGCCCGAATGTGAATGGGACAATGTGAATATCCAAATATGTTTTCCTGGTTATAGTGATAGCACATAGATAGTTAAGCATTTGCTTGCTAAACTCCCAAACTACACCTAAGAGAACATATTCTTTAGCTGAGAAAGATGAACAAATACAGCAAGATCTATATGAGTGAGTAGTAATACCATGCCTTATTTATGTACTACCAAAAAGAGTAAATGTGAAAGTCTGTAATGGCAGCAGCAGAATTTAGTGATCTCTCAAACAGCCTACCTCTGCGTTTTTGAAGTACAGAAACAACAGTTTATTTATTTCAAGTTAGCTGTTTTTCCCTAAACTATGTTCTATGACTGTCTTCTACTTTATAAATATACTGTTCATCTGCAGTAAACCCTTTTGTTTTTTTGTTTCTGTAGAATCAAGCTAAATATTTCCATTGCCTTCATTTAGATCAAGCCAAAAGAAACCAAGATTTTTTAAAAATAAAGACGATATTCCTACATGAGGCAGAAAAGTGAAAAATACCTCCTGTAAGCTATGTGGTAATAATAACTTGCTATTTTAACCTCGGATGCCATTTGCATTTCATAATGTAATTTCCCTGTTCTGAAAGGACAGTGATGAAATGATCTGACCTTTACATATTACTATTTGATTTCTCTCTCAGTGTTCACTGGAAGAATTCAGAAGAGCTAAATATACCTGGGTCTTTCTGTCTTTCTCTACCCAAAAATTGGTCGTCTGATTAGCCTCTGTATTCTCCCCTCAAGAAACAGTTGGCATGCTTCTCCCCTTCTGTTGTTGACGTACGGCCCCATTAGAGAATCCTGGAATGGAGAGCAGTTCTGTCTTTCCACCGGCAGGAATCTTGTGAATTAAAAAGTAACAAATGATTTTGGATTATTCGGGTCTTCATCTTGAACTCAAACAAACAAATCGCCTTTGCTAGCAAACCTGACTGGAAAACTATTGTGTTTCCTCCTTTATGAACCATGACATGGATGCCAAAGGAGGGAGCAACGAAAACTTGGATTTGCACCGAAAAACTCCCTCCTCTGGCAACAGTTTTTTTTTTTTTTTTCTCTTCTCATCATGAAAAGATTAAGAGGAAAGGCTCTGTCTATGACAGTAACCCTAGGTAAGAACTAGAGCAAGAACAGCAACCACTTTCCTTCCTTATGGCTTGTTTTGAGGCCTGAAATTCAGAACTCAATTGTTTGGGTAGGATTCTGCCTATCCATTCATTTAGAGAAATAATAAAAGATCTGTTTTTAATGGCAGAATTCAGACTAGAGGAAACTCTAAAGGGAAAGAAATTATTGTTGGATAAAATGAGAAAGGGGGTTAGAAGTCTGACTCTGAAGTCAGACAGCCCTGAGCTTTAAACCCAGCTCTGTTATAAATAAACCTTTCTGGACTCAGTTCTTTATCTGTGAAATAAGGATATTAAATATTCCTATCTCAGGTGACTCTTGTAAAAACTGATATAAAGTATTTATCCTGGTACCTGAGACATGGCATGCATTCATTACATTTTAACCACTATTTCTATTCTTAGCCTTATGGGTTATCTTTTTTCCTGGTCTAAATACAAAAGTACAGATAGACTTGAATTGAATGCATCACGCTTAAATTGAACACAATTTTATTCATCCTGCTCTATGTGTAAGGCTCTTATCCAGCACAGTATGAGGTGTGGTCATTGTCTTCAAGAAGTCCTCATTGCAAAAGACTCCTGGCATTTGGGAATTTAACATCTGCTGTGTCTCCTCTTCATTAATTACTCTGAAGCTCAGTGACATGGCAGCTTTTTCTGAGATATAAGTTTGAGTATTGTGCACCGTAAGGTCACAAGTTAGTCGTTCCAAGAAGAGAGACTTAATTCATAATGGCCTAGCCCAGGGCCTTGTCATTGTCTCTGAATGTGTGGTTATGACTGAATAAATCAATCCTCAAGTATATATACTAAAAAGGTGATTACAATGTGGGGATTTTTGAAGCTATGATGGATCATTTGTAATTTATAAAGTAAAAATTTTTGAACCTCAAAATTTTCCATCAGGAAAGATGTTAAGAGAAATTTACTTTCTGGTCTCACCCTCTTGCCTTTGGACAGCACAGCCATCTAAGCCAAGTAGGACAGATATAATTATCTTTTTTTGTTCTGAAGCTTTCTAAGGATGTACACTTCCCAACTACTGTTAGTAGTTCCTTCCAGCATCTTCTCACTCCTTACAGTCAAGATGCTCTTCCTTATGTCCAATTTAAACTTCATTTCCTTCTCAAGTTAAGATTGTCTCAGAGGGAGGACAAATCCATTATCTCTTCCTGTTTCTGATTAATAACACTTTGTACCTTACATACAGTAGATCCAATATGAATTAAATCAGCAAATGGATCAAACATTTCATAAATCTGAAGACATTAATCAAACTGCTCCTTACTTTTATAAAGTTTAACTCAGGAATAAATAATATTAATTGCTAATGCATTTCTTCCTAGGACCCAATTTCTAGTATTAACCATATTCCCTAAATCTCTGAAACTTTTCTATGTTTAAATGTTACTAGAAATAATGATGTTTTATGATCTAACTGATGTAGTGACCTAATTACCACACATAGACTCTGAAGCTAATTATCTAGGTTCAAATCACAGCTCTATCACTTACTTGTTATATAACTTTGGGCAAGTTACTTAATTTTTTTATATCTCAGTTTACATATCTGTAAAATAGGGATAATAATGATATATACTTCATATGGTTGCTTTATAGATTAAGTAGGTTAATATTCATAAAGTGGTTAGAATAGTACCTGCTTTGTAGATGTGTTTAATTTCTGTTATCATTATCAAGACTCCAGGATTATATTTCCAGCCTGAAGAGTCATGTGAATCTCTCTGTAATTTTGAATACCCTTGGTAATCTTACTGCTACAGATTATTTATTTATTTATTATTTTTGGAAGACTGTTTTGTTTAATTTTTTTTAACTTTTATTTTAAGTTCAGAGGAGTACATGTGAAAGTTTCTTACACAGCTAAACTTGTGTCCAGGGGGTTTGTTGTACAGATTATTTTCATCACCCAGGTGTTAAGCCTAGTACCCATTAGTTGTTTTTTCTGATCCTCTCCCTCCTGCCACCCTCCAGCCTCTGATAGGCTCCAGTGCACGTTGTTCTGCTCTATGTGTCCATGTATTTCATCGTTTAGCTGGCACTTATGACTGAAAACATGCCGTATTTGGTTTTCTGTTCCTGTGTTAGTTTGTTAAGGATAATGGCCTCTAGCTCAATCCATATCCTTGAAAGGACATGATCTCATTATTTTTTAAGGCTGCATAGTATTCCATGGTGTATATGTACCACATTTTCTTTATCCAGTCTATCAATCATTGATGGGCATTTAGGTTGATTCCATGTCTTTGCTATTGTTACAGATTTCCTAATACTATTTTCCCTACTTGGAATATCAATTACCTTCCTACCTAGATTATTCTTCTCCTGCATATCTCAGCTTGATTGCACTTTCTCTGCTATGTCATGAGATCTCATCTTCAGGGTCACTGTGATCTCATATTCAGGACCTTTTTTGGTGCCATTAGTGGTCAATTATGACTTCAGGTAGATAGTTATCTTTTTGTAACTTACCTTCTCAGTGAGATTTTTGGATGTTTCTTAAAAAATAAAGTAAATCCTATAATTTTTAATAACCTTTCACAGTTCCTACCAAGTACCTTTGCTTTTACAAAGTGCTTGATAAGCAGAAGTGAACAGATAAATAATATTTTTGTTTGTTTGATTATCTACAAACTTTGGTGTAAAAACTCTTCTTATCTCATCTACTATAATTTTATTGTTGATATTTACATATGAAGCACTGTATTAGTCCGTCCTCACCCTGCTATGAAGAAATATCTGACATTGGGTAATTTATAAGGAAAGGAATTTAATTGACTCACAGTTCCACATGGCTGGGGAGGCCTCAGGAAACATACAATCATGGCAGAGGGCACCTCTTCACAGAGTGGCCGGAGAGAGAAGGGTAAGCAGGGGAAATGCCAGATGCTTATAAAACCATCAGATCTCATGAGAACTCACTCACTATCATGCAAACAGCATGGAGGAAACTGCCCCTATGTTTCAGTCACTTCCCACTGGCTCCCTCCCACAACACATAGGGTTTATGGGAACTAAAATTCAAGGTAAGATTTGAGTGGGGACACAGAGCCAAACCATATTAAGCTCTCATAACAGTGCCTGGTTACAGTGTAAATGTTGAATAAATAGGATGATGATGATGATAATGATTGCTATAGACTGAATGTGTGTTCCCCACAAAAGTCACATGCCAAAACTTGAGCTCCGATATAACAACATTTGGAGGTGAGGTCTTTGGGAGGTTATTAGGTTGTGGGGGCAAAACCCTCATAAATGAGCCCTTAGGAAAGAGGCTCCAGTAAACTCCCTCACCACTTTCCACCATGTAAGCACACCATGTGAAGGCTGTCTTTGAACCAAGCAGTAGCCCCTCAACAGACACAGAATCTGTCAGTGCCTTGATCTTGGATTTCCCATCCTCCAGAACTGAGAGATAAATGTCTCTTGTTTATAAGCTTTCCAGTCTGTGATACTCTGTTATATCAGCTGAAATGGACTGATGATGATGATGATGATGATGATGATGATGATGATGATGATGATAAAGGAGAATACTATGCTTTAAAATGACCAGTTTTTTCCCCAAGTACCTACTCAGGGTCAGGGAACTATGCTAAAATATTTGTACACATTATCTCATTTAGCCTTCGATAACCTAAGAAGAAAATATCATTTATTTCCATTTTAAAGAGAAATTCAGGCTTTGAGTGGCATACTGTAATCATAAATCCTGGGTTTCCTAGGAAAGTGTTGTTTTACACTTGTTGTCCATGGGTAATTATTAATAGTGCCCATTTTCATTCTCAAAGGTGTATGTTTTGTCAAGGACTTGCATAGTCACTCTAGAGTTAATTAATGCCAACAGAACAGATCTTGTAAGTGGAGGAGCTGTAACTTAAAAAGAAGTGAGAAGTCAATCTGAGAACCCTAACCCTTAGGCTAAGCCCTTGTAAAGCAACACATTTTATTTCCTCCTCATATAAAGGGAGTATCACAAAATATGACATTTAGAGAGGTATGGAAGGACCATATACCAATTGAAATTTTGTTTAAGTTTGAGTGGTAACGTGGTTCTGCTCCTTCTCAGAGTAAGAAACAAGATAAAATTATCAGGAGGGAAGAGGGGGAAATTATTTTGATTTTTATTGTCAGTTCTCACAAAGAAATTTCACAATTAAAAATAATATGAATTTCAACTGCATGATGAAAACCCCAATAGCAAGCAAAAATATTATATTTATTATATCTGAATATGCATAATGTGAGTTAATGTTACCCCTGGTGTCTTGGCATTAAAGAGGGAGAAATTCATTATAAGCCTGAGAGATAAATATGAAATAAAAAATACCAGCACTTAACAATTACACTATTGTACATTTTACACATAACTTACACCAGAGCATATAATCATATATATCTCGTGACACTCATAGCTCTCTGAAACAGGTAAAGCAGAAATTCTTGTTATCATTTTACATGAAACTGAGAATCAAAGAGATTAAGTAAATCACAAGATTTATACTTGAGAGTATAAATTAGGATACAACATCATCCTGACATCTTAAAGTGATTTAAAATTGTTCAAATATAGCCTAACAGAAACATGTTCAAGGGAAAGGTACTTCAAGAGTAAAACCAAAACTATACACTCCAGATCAAGAGTGTCTGGACTTAAAAGATTGTTGGTGTATACTGCCCACTGGACACTGATTTTAACTATGAGATTAATTATTAAAACTACAAAATATTAACGTCATCTTGCCTCGTTAACACAGATGTTACACAAGCAGAGAATGGAGTTAGAGTTGTTGATTTCACATCTTGGGCTACAAATTATTAGGCGTCACTGTCAGATCAAGCAAAATGCTTTTCAAATGCAGAAGATCAGTGTAGGCAACACAAACGCTGTCTCAGCACACCTTGGCCACTTTTTCTACCTAGTTCATATCAACTCCCAAATTCAGGAAATTGCTGATTCTGGGAAAACGTATGAAATAACTCCAGCTTCTTCTTTCTCCTTATTCTGTTTTCTAATCTCTGTCCATAAGCAAACCTGTTCTCTCATGCAACCATTCATTCACATTCTGATATAAAAAGAGTACCTGAAGACTAGCATTATGTTTTCCTCTCTCAAGGTTAGCTACATTTCTGCAGGAATCAAAGCTGAATACATCAAGTTCTAATAATGACATTTCAAGGAGATAGCTTTCCAGTTATTCTGAAACCCCCTTCTGCAGGTGCTCACTAGTTATTGTACAGATAGGGTCCCATATTTTGTTTCACCAACTAAGCTCCACTCAGTGAAATTGAACAGGTTAAGTTTATTGAAAAAGAATAAAGGCAATTGCTTTATTTGAGTTTTGGCTCATATCTCTGTCCATTTTGCAGAACTAAAGGTGATGTATAACTCCTTTAAAATGTGGAACAGCAGAACAGTGACTATGCAAACACATAATTCATCAAGTTAAATTTATGTCTGGTAACAGTGATTTTGAACACAATAGAACAGATGCCATCCTGTAAAATCCTGAAAGTCATTCGTTTCCACAGTTTCAGAGAACCACGTTATGAAATTCCTTCCAAACTTTATGCAACATAGCTTGTGGGGTATGTTGTTTACGTAGCAATGTTTACGTAGGTATAAGAGGCAGACACAAATAACCCACCAAGGACTGAATCCATTTTTCCAGTTTTGTGAATATATCCTACTCTCCAAATTTTTTATCCAGTCTTCCTCTCATTCCCAACTTCGACACTTCTAAAGATCAGTTCTCCCCACATGAAGACAGAAGTTTTCAGTTGGCCAATATTAACCTCTGTCGTGAATCTTCTTTCTCTCTTCTCATTGGCCTCTCAATAGTTGGCTTGGGATTTTTATTTCCCCAATTTTTTCTTTAGGACATGCTAAATGGGGGCAGGGGAGGAGGGCAGGGAAGAGACAGAGAGGTGGTGATGTCAGTGGTAAGAAAATTTCACCACCATTTAATGTGGTAGTTGATTTACCACATTTACTGGTTATAACAAATTACTGTGAGAATGTGGAGATTTCAGACAAAAGTTGACATTTTAAAACAGATCATGTAGCAGCAAGGATAAAATTATGTATACATGAGGTATATGTATAATTTTGTATACATACAAAATGACTAGGCAGATAATGGATGTGGATAGATATATATTACATGCATATATATTTGTGGATTAGACATAATTTTAACTTTTTACTTTTATGTTTAGGTCTTTGGTTACCTTTTAAAATATAACTATTCTTATTTAAAAATCCCTACAGATTTGCTAAAAGGCCCCTTTTCATATGCTACCTTTTATTTTTGATTTTTCTTCTTTTTAAATGTCATTCACTTTGTAATACTCAATCAAATTATTCTTTAACAATTTATTACCTGTATCTAGAAATATTGACAGTCCATGTGCCAGTAAGATGATATTTGGAAAATGAAAAGTAGTGATTATTTTTTAAAGCAGACTATATATACATATATATATATTTGTATATATATACTGTGCACATACTCACACACGTATTTTATATATATATATATATATATATATACTGTACACATACACATACATGTACACATACACATACACATGCATTGATATTTGTCATGAAGTGATTCTGTGTCTGTGAAACTGGCTATGCCATGTGATGAAGCTGTTTCTATGGAAACAGCTCATGATTCATGGTCAACATAAAAAAATTACAGATTAAAGTATAAGGTAGACTTGATAAAGAAACTATTAATTTCTGAATTTAAAAATGTAAATGCTATATTTACTAACAATTTTTATGACTCAAAAATTTCTAGTGAATGTTATTATTCAGTCCCTAAAATATGCTGGGAGTGATAATAGAGAATATGAAGAATATAATTCTAAGCTTCCTAAAGCTTACATAGTAGGGGGATAAAGGCAAGGTTAGGAAGACCTTTATATGTATAATTCCTAAATTATATTGGGTCTTTTGTCTTTTATGAGTCTTGATTTCCTAATATGCCCCAGATATTCTTTCTCCAGTATAATTCTCTCTGGTAAGACTGCAGAAAAGACTCCATAGAAAAAATACGATTTGAAGTAGACCTAGAGGCATTTGGGTGGGAGAGGGTTTGCAGGTGGCAGGAGGTAGAAATAATGGCCACTGACATGAGAAAATGTTCTAGACACAGGTGGGATTCCAAATGAATGTCATTGAACTGTCTCCATGGAGACAACAAAGCTATTTCCCTTGACTAGAAAATTGTGTATCATTCCCTTGAAAATAATAAATCTTAAGAAAAAATATCTCCGTGAGTCATGGAGGGCTAGAGTAGGCAGAGATCCTGAGCTTTCGACAAATCTGTTTCTCTGTTTTCAGGGAAGATACCAAATAAACCCTATCATTCAAATGGGATTCACTCTTAGCAACTTCTCTGATTAATCCATTTAGCAACAAGAGTCAAGGCATCTAACCTCTAATTTTTCCTGATATATCTGAAGACCTTTCATCCATACTCTTTTCAGTAGAGGTAGGGAAAGAACAGCTGATTGCTAACAGCTACCTAAGGGCCCTCTTCTATTTGAATCTATTTCTCTAGCTGTTTCTCTGTCTTTCTCTAAACAAAATAGTATAATCTATGAATAAGACTGCTTAAATAGATTTCCTCTTTCCAGGAGACCAACTTGTAGAGGACAGGGCTCTCTTGAATTCTTGTTTAGAATCATACCCAACAGTCCATTCAAATGTTTTCATTCTTGTGCAAAGGTCCTGAGAGTCACTTTTTAATTTCCTGGCAGGTAAGCTTCATTTCTCAAGGCATGCTGTCAGCCTCATTTGCCCTGCCTGTTATATCCGGTCTCATTTCATCACCAAATACACTTTCTACAAGAACTCACACTGCTTTACACTGCTTTCATGCAATCTCACATGGAAACACAATGTTCCAGAAGGACTCTGAATCACTTTAGCGATACAGTGGAGAAGAGACCAGATGCTGTGTAAGTAAGTTTCCCACACATCTATTTCCCCTACCTATAAGGTTTTATAAAGGCATCTAAAACAGAACACAAAGATCACGCCTCTGGAAGGATTGAAAAGTATGCTCTAAATACTGTCAGAGTCTAGGTCCTCCTAGATAAAAAGCTATATTACTAGGGATAATTAAAGTTGACTCTATTCCATTCTGTCTTTGCCCAGCACCCTTTCTCCCTATCTCTAACCAACGCATTTCACTCACTACATTTATGGGCTTCAGGATCTATCTCTGTAGAGCTCACCTTATTTGTGAACAGACTTGGAAGAAATAGTTCATTGATGTCAATATTCAATATTCTAACTCAATTCTTCCCCAAGTGCCTTATAACATATACTTATAATATACTCTAATTTTTTTTCCTGAAAATGTGTCCACTTCAGCAGTGAAAGAGATGGTGTGGTGCTCCTGGCCCTGGGTTCCCTCCCTAGGCACATGCAGCCCCGATGTCAATCACTTAATATGGAACCATAGATGGGGATGCAGGGCTCATTTCTTCTCTAACCCCTGTCATCCAAAGAGTCACTAAATTCCTCTGATTTGCTTCTGAATATCATTTTTCTGTCTATTCCTATGGAAAGTACTAGTTTAGGCATCTATCACCTCTCATCTGGACCTTGAAACACTCTTAGCTTCCTAACACTGTCCTCAGTTTTAGCCTTCTCTACTTCATCCTCCACATAGCTGCAAGAACCTAAAATACAAAACACAGTTGCCTTTAAACACTTTGTCAGATGTTCTGCATTTCAGGATTAGGGTCCATTTCCTCAGCATAGATATTCCAGCATCACTTCTTTATCTGTTTGCATGTGAGTGTGTAGTACAAATTCTCTTTTTAAAATGAAAGTGGAGGACACATACATGTAAGATTTTTTTAAAGCCAAGAGTTCAAAGGGGTATATAAAAGACAGTAAATATTCCTCTGCAGTGCACTTCTGGTCCTTGTTCCACTTCCAAGATGAATAACTATTACTCATTTTCTTTTGTGTATCCTTTCAGAAATTGTCAGTGCATATACAAACAAATATATGTTTATAGAAAGGCTCCTTTTTACACAATGAGAGCATTCAATGACATTGTCCTACAACTTGCTTTTAGCATGCAGTCTGATCTCTTGACAATCCTCCCTGTGCCTTTTAAGTTTTCGCAATAGGAATTATCTGTAGTTCCCAGAACACTTCATGCTGTTTTCAGGCACACCTCCCAGTGCATATGCCCTTTCTTCTGTGTGGAAATGTATATAGGCTGCAAATGAGAAGAACTTCTACACAATTGCTAACTACTATTCTTTTCTAAGATTCATTTCAGGCATTAACCCTTCATCATGTCTTAGAAACTACCAACTGGTGCTCCCATAGGATCCTATACATACATGTCTCTATCATAGCACCTACCACATAGACCAAGATAACTATGGATGTTTCAAATCCACAGTTCTTCTTCCAAAAATATGCTTTTCAAAAAAGACATTCCTCTAAAAAGAAAAATCTTCACTTCATGATTGGAAACTTTAAATTGTTTTGTCTGTTTTTTGAAAAAGACTATAAGCTCTACAAGAACAGAGACCATATCTAGTTGCCTGGTTTTTTTTTTTTTTTTGTATTTTCTTTTCTGCTTGAGTAGTTGGATCAATGCTACTGGAAAATTATCCTTTATTCTCAAATTCACAATGCAACAACAGATTTTATCGGGGATGTGAGAGACAGGGAAAGATACATTGGTTCACTTAGCAGAAGAGTAGCAATGAAGACTCTGAGGACTCTAAAAGGGGTAACTGGGCTCACTAAAGATAAAAAATGCATCTTTCAGTTTTTTCTTGTGGCCAGCCTTTTTTATAAGATTTCACCACTGATATGAATTAATCGTAAACATTTTCTTAAGCATATCTGTCAAGTAGTGAATAATAGATTGTTAAATGCTACTATTAACGTCTTTCCCTTTCAATAGATAGAAGTCAAGGAACTTCATGAAATGCTTGATCTACTGAAAACAGAAGTATTTTGGGAAAAGGAATTTCAGTGCTCATATGGTTTATGGATGAACTATGTACTAATATTTAGTCAACTATAAACATCTACTAATTCTTCCTCCTATGATTTTCAAGTGTGATTATGTCATTTGAGCCCCCTCACTGAAACCTAAGCCAACTGGAAACATTTAAACCATTCATTTCTCTTTTGAAATGTTTTACTTTCCTTGATAATGCAAGATTTCATTTGTGTATGAGTGTTTTGAAGGTGCTATGAAGTATTTGGGGGCTTGCCAAGGCAAAAATCATCAGAAACTTAAAGAATGGATATTAAGTGGTATTCAGCTAAGACAAACACCCTGGTTTTATCCCTCATTTCTCAGTCACCTCATGGAAGGATTTTAGGCCGGTTGGGTAAATCCTTTGGGATACTCAGATCTTCAAAAATAATACTTTCCTTCTGTTTCACAACAAGTGTTAAAAAAATTATTACTTCAGTTGTGGTGGAGCAGTGTTCCCAGTTTAAATACAATGGACAGCTCCACATAGAAATAATTCCAATTTAGTCTTGGCTCTAATGTTCAATACAATATAAACCAGGCATTAGGCCAGTTTCATTTTGAAGATCATTGCTTCTTGTTGCTGTCTTTGTGAATGTGTTTAAGGAAGAAAAAGTTGGATGAGGATGCCATGACTAATTAAAATAATGATTCAAGAGGCCCTAGATTGCACACAATCAGTACTTCAATGTTCCCAGGAGGCTACATCATTTGCACTCAGTGGGAACTCAATAAATTCTTGTGATTGACTCACCTACCAGGAGAATATGGTATTTAAGACAATCTAGCAAGGGAGTAAGATGGAGACAAAGATTTTTTTATTTTGAGGGAGTCTAAAATCTTTAATATCTAAGTTTTTATTATAGGATATTTGAACTGGAAAAGGGTTTAGCAATTATGTAATTTAGCTTCATTTTACAAAGGAGAAACCTACAGAAGCCAAATTACTCACTCAAAGTCCTAGGCTATTTTTTACTAGTCTAGTAGTTAGGAGCCAGACCCTGGAGACAGGCTGCCTGGTTTCAAATTTTGACTCTGCCATTCACTAGCTGTGTAACTTCTGAGTAAGGTATTTAACCTAACAACATTTCCCGCTCTCTCAGCCTCAGTTTTTCAATCTGTAATGGTGGGGAGGGGTAAGAATTGTATAGCATTAAGTAAAGGATTAAATCGCTATTAATGTAAAGCACTGATAACCATACCTCACATATGGAAAATGTTCAGTAAGTTACTATTTATTTTCATTGTATTTCACACTATAATACCCAGTCTGATTCTGCAATCCTAAAATCCCAGGCTTTCAAATGTAAACTCAAACTTTAAAACAATCTAGATAGGCTTGCTTTAATGTGGCTTAGAGTAAAAAAAAAAAACAAAAAACAACAACAACAACAAAAAAAAACGAATATATATATGCTATCTCCAAACAGACAGGCAAAGGGAAGATTTTCCTTCCCCAGCCTCTCCAGACGTTATAAAATTGTAACCCAGAACCTAAGAGAAAAACTTGTGTGATTACTCATATAAGAATAAAATGTATTTACATGCTAGCTAATACCTGTTTCTGCTTTTAAGTGGT
The DNA here is from genome assembly GCF_000001405.40 of Homo sapiens. Classification (NCBI taxonomy): domain Eukaryota; kingdom Metazoa; phylum Chordata; class Mammalia; order Primates; family Hominidae; genus Homo; species Homo sapiens. The sequence goes on along the minus strand of NC_000004.12, from coordinate 47,037,351 downwards.
ACTCACCTATTTGTTCTGTTTGCAAAGGAAATTCTATTATAACCTCAGAGAACTTACTGACAGCATCAAGAGTATGTTTAGGCTATTTTACAAAGTTATTGCTAGCTCCTCAGTGGTGCAAAAACAGTTTGCAATGTTCTTTATTCTGAAGAAAAAAGGCATAGGTGTCCCTGTAAAGCAACAGGATAGTACTGTGGAGTTACTGTACTTGGAAATGTTTTCATTGCCATCATTTGAGATTGGTTGATTCACAGGTATTAATACAGAAAAGAAGACTATTTATTAGTTTAGGTCAAGCCCCATCTCCAGGCTCCTGCCTTTATCCTGTTGCTTATCATCATCATCATCAATTATGGCATTAACTTTCCCTTTAGAGAACAGCTACCTGCAACTTAAATAATAACATTCCTAAAGAAATTTTAATGGAAAAAAAAAGTTCATTTCTTTTTTTCTTTACTTTTCTTTCTTTTTTTCTTTTTTTCTTTTTTTTTAAGACTGTTTTGCTCTATCACATAGGCTGGAGCACAGTGGCACGATCTTGGCTCACCGCAACCTCCAGCCTCCTGGGTTCAAGTGATTCTCATGCCTCAGCTTCCAGAGTAGCTGGAACTATAGGCACGCACCATCACACCCAGCTAATTTGTATACTTTTGGTAGACATGGGGTTTCACCATGTTGGCCAGGCTAGTCTTAAACTCCTGGCCTCAAGTGATACACTCGCCTTGGCCTCCCAAAATGCTGGGATTACTGGTTGGGGCCACTGTACCCAGCCAATTTCTTAATTAAGCTAGAACTTAGGATAATGTACTACCTTGATATTCAAAGTGCAATCTATATACCAGCAATCAGCATTGCCCAGGAAAAATGCAGAATGTCAGGCCCCATCCCACACCTCTGATTTGGAATTTGCATTTTAATAAGATCCCAGAGTGATTCACCTATATGTTAAAGATTGAGAAGCACTGACCTAGAGAAATTCATGTGGGGACTGGGAATCTGACAAGCAGTTACTGTTTTGAGTCACCACAGTGATAGTAATGAGATATAATTGAAGTATGTACCAGAAACTTCCAGAGTCTAATATTAAAATAACCACAACAACAGAAACAGTGAATTTTAAGTGGATATTTGGTAAATTAAATTTGTCTTTCATTAAGCATTATTTATAAAATTGGCTCATTTTCGTTTTTGTCATCGTTGTTCACTGTAATGTCTGTAAGAACATTCACTGTTATACTCATTCATGCATGAAGGAAGGAAAGACAATGAATCCATGATAGCTATCTCATATTGGGAACAGCTTGAATTGAGTCCTGCATTGAGTCAGGACTCATTCGATGTAAGGTCTTCTAGGGGTGGCCATTTGGACCATCGTGTCTTCAGATTAGGTACAGAGAGCTGCCTGGTTGGAACTCCTACTTGGTAATCAGGATCCACCTCTTGAATAAAAAGGAACAGCTAGTCACTGGAATTTGAAATACAAGAGTTCAACTACTTGTTAGAAGGTAGTTAATATCATGTTTCCCCAAACTACTGTTCGAAGAGAAAATTTGCCTACTACTGTCTGTGTTTTACTGGCTTTATAGTAGCAGATGTTAGTGGTTATGTTAAGGACAATTTCTGGGAGCTCTTGTCTCCATTTACTCCAACTGCCTCCTGTTCATCTTTAGTCAGTCCTCTTTGTGCGTGTGTGTGTATGTGTGTGTGTGTCTGTGGCTTGGCAGAAACAGTTAAAAGACAAGGTTTGAAGGTTATAATATATAAATGGAAATCATGGTGGTTTTTTAAGATGACAGTTTAGAAAATGGTAACAGTATGTAGTTGCTATCACACAAACAGTATATCCCATGATGCCAAAAGAACAATCCTTTCTAATTTAATCAATAATATTATTGCCTGAAAAGTCTTGTTCTCAAGTAGATATGTTTATCTACATCGGCATTATTCTTCACAAGTTTTGCATTCACTGCTTAGAACCAATGATTCTTGATTGTAGAGATTCTTTACTATGTAAAGATTGCTTTTGTTTCTTAATTTGTGAAAAATTAAGAAAACACTTAATTTTTCACAAATTAAGAAATCAGATAATACTCTTGATACGATGTTAGTCTGTAAAGCAGACAATGTGTAAACCAATCAGGGATTATATTTTACTTGGGGAAGCAATGGTAAAGAACAAAAATGAATGGAACCTAGTTCTCAAATCTACTAATTTAATGCACAATTATGTCATTTTCCCAGCCATGGAATGGGTAATAATGGTAATAAATAAAAACATAAATATAAGCAATGTTTTGGAAATTGATTCAACTTGCATTTTCTTAAAAACTATTTTTATGATATTATTGTCCATTCTCTTTGTTATATTCTTGTCATTTAATGTAGATGAAAATTTTCTATTAAATTACTCAAGTTACTGCCTATCAGGGCACCGAAACATGCTTAATACAAAAAGCAATAAGCAATAAGTCTTATTTTCCATGGACTTCCTACCCTATTTATATTAGCTAAATATCACAACATATAATAAACAATTCTCTTTTGGGGGTGCGGGCTAACCATCTGAGTTGTGTTTATACAGAACCCTCAATTTTAAAAACATTACTCTTTATTTCCATTTTTCTTGGAGTTATTTCCAATCTATTTATTTCAATGTTTTGTCATAGATGACAGAAGATAAAATAAACTTTGGGTTCTGTTGATAGTGCTCATTAAAAGGAGAAACAAGAAAGAACAAGTAAATCAAGGTTTATTATTTTTCAACTTTGAGTGGTTTCTATTTTCTAATCATGTCTGTAACATTGTTGTGGAAAGGTAATGGGGATTGTAGTAGAACAGGTATTTTCAAAGGCTTATCAGCTGGGTGAATACTTTTGAAAAATCAAGTGCATACACACGTGTTGCTGTGAGTAAACAGACTGTATTATTTAATCATTAGGAAGAAATGTCCAGTGGTATTTCAATTAAAGTCAATCCTTGTTCTGAGCTTATGTATGAATTCAGTTGAACAACTAATTATACAGAACTTTTTGTTACGGTGGTTGTTGATTGCAGCAACTTCCCTATTTAATTGAGTTTTAAAAAAAACTGAAAAGGGGTATGTCAATATAGCCAACAGAATTATATATTTTTTAAAATTCTGAAAAGCATGACACTCTACACGGCAAGGTAGAACAAAGGCTGCATTTGCTTTTTGAGCTTTTTAAATCTTCTATTTTATCAATTATCTGTGGATGCTTACAAGATACCAAAGGAAATGATTGAAAAGGAAAAATATTAACATTATTAATCTACATGATACAACTTGTTAAACTAATTCATTGTCTAATTTGTCCAGTTGCATTCGTGTAGATTAGGCACATATTATTACATTCCTCAGAGTGTTTCTAAATAATATGTTTTGGGTTACTTTGTGGTGTTAACATGTATGTAAACAGAATATAATAAGTCAGTTTGCCAAATGAGAAATATTCATTGTGTATTACGTTTTTAAAATTGAGTTTCTTTTTCCAGCACGACAATCAGAGACATTTACAAATAGTATTTTAAATACGTTATTTGAAGCAGGAGCCGCTACAACTACAAAATACAGAAATTAAATAGTCACACTTTTTATTCTATTCCTATTCAATAAGCTATAGACATATTTATTTCGACCCTAACATAACCTAAAAAGGAAAAGAAAAGAATTCTTAAACCATAGTATATTAAAATAAAACGACACAGTAGGAATGAAATGAAAGACAATTCAATAGCCTTTATAGCCATAGAGTGATACAATCTCAAATGGTTTTACTCTTTAAATTATTCAGGATTTATAAATTTCTGCCGCCATAACATTTTTTCACAAGTGGAATAAAAATGGCATTTTGCTCACGTAGATCTAGCTGTTCCCTGGGTGGTTGATTCTAGAAAAGCAACAGGCTTTTCCGTCTTACGAGAAGCAACAGTTAGAAACTCTAAGTAGAAAACTCCTACACACAGTGGACGGAACCAGCCAACAGAGAAAGTGGCAGCTATTTCAGTTCATTTTGCAATAGCTTCCAAAAAGAGAGGGAAGAAATATATAAAAGAATGTTGACCCCTTTGAAATGAAAGGACTGTGCTGTGTTACTGTCGCCCCCTCTCCCTTCCAACGTCCCTTAAATTATCAGGATTTTTAGGCATGCTTAGGTTTCTAGAGTAAGGTGAAGCAATATGACTTGATTTATTCTGTTTCAACTTAAATTTGCAAGATGCAGTAAGACAAATTCATAACCTCCCGCAAGAGAACAATACAAGCCTACCCAGGCTCGGGCACTTTTCCTACTAGCAAACATGGACTGTTGTCTTAGCCTGTTGCTCCTGCCACCAGGTGTGCCTGAACCTGGAGAGAGAGGACACTTTGAAACCCAGACTGTGCTCTCGGTGGCAGGGCCTTGGTGCATCCGGGCTCGCGGACTGCGAGGGCCATGGGGATTGCCAGCACCGCGCCTGGGGAGGTGATGGCTGCCGACCACCGGTCCGGGGACCCTAGTGCAGGCCGCCCGGCTGCCAGCAGATGGTGCCCTCCTCATCCAAACACGCAGGGAAACCCAGCTAAAGTAACGCTCAGACTCCGCCCCAGCAGATCCACGGCGCAACAGTCACTCGTCCTTCCCAAAATAGTGCCGAGCACGTTTCCCCTGGAACACCGCAGTAGCCCGTGTGTGTCGAAATTACAAACCAGGGGCGACCGGGTGTGTGTGCCGGAGCGGGGAGCGGGTGCGGAGTGGGACCTCAGGGGCCAGGGGCGAGGTGACCGCCAATGAAACGCAGAGGGCAAAGGGACCTGTCCATTTCCCATCTGCGTAAGCCGAACCGCCGGGCCCCTCGGGAGGCCACTCACCATATTCACTTCGGAGACCATGTCTATGCTGGCGACATCGATCCGCATCCCAACGTCGACGGGGGGCCCTGCCGGGGAGGTGGGCCACATTAGGAACAGATTCTCTCAGTGACAGCAGGCTGGGGAGGGTCTGGGGGCTTCCCAGCCCTTACTCCATTCTTAACGGGCTCCCTCCCTGCTCCCCCCACCACCCCTTTCAGGGGACTGCCTGGGAAAACAGGTGTGGGCACACGCGTGATGCAGTGACTATGCAGAGGGTGTGTCGGCCCGGGAGAAGGTCGCCTCCGCCTGAGGATTCATCCACCTGAGACTGGGGACCCGGGGTGTGTGTGTGTGTGTGTGTGTGTGTGTGTGTGCCCAGGGTATAGTGCACGCTTACGAAAATGACATGCCTTTTCTTTTTTTTTTTTTGACATTTATCTTTGACAGAAAAGGAGAACTAAGGATGGGTTACAGGTTGAAAAAAGATGAAGCGTTACCTCCGAAGTCCGGCCGCAAGCGAATGTCATATCCTTTGAGCAATCTGTCCACTGTCTCTTTCACGTATGACATGTTGCTGGGTTCATTGGTGCTAAGGGGAAGAAGTAGGGACCGTATTCAAAATGAGCACAAACTGTGAGCACATATAAAAAGATACAGGCACACCTACCCCCAAACAACAAGATACATGATCCAGCAGACACGTAAAAAGAAACATACCAAGAAAAAAAGAGAGAGAGAGAGAGAGAGCGAGATTCAACAACAGCAGCTCACCTGTGTGCACAACAGACCATGGTAATCATCACAGGGAAAGAGAGAAGCCCCAGACTCTCTCGATTTTGTACTGTCCACATTACTAACTCTGATTAAAAGAATTGTCTTTTCTGCGAAGATTCAAGGAATGCAACTTAGTCGGCTGCTGGGCAGTAATTCCCGAATGGACCTGCGCATGCGCAGAGCGCGCTCACTACCAAAAGACACCTTGTGCCTTGCAAACAATATTCCTAGTGGAACAGGCAACAGATTTCAATCCCTCTAAAGTTCCTATTTGGGGTGCTCCATGTCCTCCGGGTAGTCAGAGACAAGCTGCTGTTTCCACGCAGGGGATCCTACGAGCATGTGTAAACGGAGTTTCCTTCATGCATTGGAGGTTGCTATGTTGATTTCATTTCTGCCCTCAACCTGATTTTGTTTTTTTTACTGGGCGCTCAGTGATCTGGCTAAGGCTGCCTGTGATTGGCATCTTTCGTTGACAGTCAGGGAGGTCCTAGAACGGGGACTCTGGAGGAGGGTCTGTTGTTCTCTGGTTGCCTGTGGCGGGCACCGGGAGGATGTGATCAGCGGGGGTTGTGGGTGGGGGTGACTGGGAGCAGGGAAGAGTGGAGAGAGAGGGAACGGGAGAGTTACTAAAGGTACAGAGGAAACTCAGGACGTATTTGAGAACTCCAAAAATTAGGTGCCCTTGGGAGGCATCCTAGGACATCTGGCTTGGTGTAGACTTCTGTAGGAGGCAGAGTAGGAGGGGCAAGCCAACTTTTCTTCCACCCCACTTTTCTTCCCTCCCCTTGTCGTTTTTCATCCAGGTTGGGAAATGAGGGAAACAAAGGATCCAGCAGCAGTTCTGGGCAGGCAATCTTTTTTTCTAGGGCCATCCACTGCAAGCCCCACTTATCCTCCAGGTTGTGATAAGAAAAATCTCCTTCTTAAATTGACAGCATTTAAGGTGGTATTTGTGACCCCTAGCAGAACTCTGAAACATCCAGACAGTTTAACCTCTGTTCGCCAGTAGGTTGGGATTCTGCAGGAGCAAGTATTGTTTGAATTAAATCAAATTCAGTAACTTCGATTCTACAAATGTCATTGAGCACATGTTAGGCAGAAGGCCCTGGACTAGGTGTTTGTTCTTTTGTTAAATAGTATATATTAAATTTTGTTGTGGGCATTCTGGGACTTATAACTGATTCAAAAAGGGTTCTTGTCCTAGAGAAATTCACATCTAATGGGAGAGGGACACACACAAGTGTAAGTAAAGCGAATTGTAATCCCTACTCCTATTATAGTCTGCTGCTTACTTTTATGAGGGAAAGAGGAGACAGCTTAAAAATTAGCTTCTAACTAGGATGGAAGTGTCTCAAGGTCAAGAAACTTATGCATATTCTTAGTATTTCCCTACACAGGAGTTACCAAACAAAAAAACGTAATAGAAAAATTTATTCCATTACAATAATAACAAAAAATTCTAATGTACCTAGGAATAACTGGGGGAAAAATATGCACAAGAAGTTTAGAGTGAAGGTACATAACATTATTTAAATACACAAAATATGACCTAGATAAATGGAAAATGTACCATATGGGTAATTGGGAAGACTCAACATTGTAAGGATGTCAATTCTATCCAATGTAAGAAATATAACCAATTTGAATCAAAATTCCTACATTCTAAATGGAAATGAATAAACTAATTCCAAAATTCAAATAGAAGAATGAGGGGGTAAATAAAAGCCAAGAAAACCTGGAAGAAGAAGAAGAAAAAAAGAGAAGGAATATGGGGGCATTTGCCTTTGAGATATCAAGACATTATTGTGCTATATAGAAACTGAATCAGTTTGTCTTTGGCATGGAATTCATGTAGGGATAAAAAGCAAAATAGTACGAGCAAATAGAGAGCACAGAAATACTCCTCTATTTTAAGAGAAGTAGGAAAAGATGAGCTACTCAATAAATGTTGCAAGACAATTTATTATCCATAAGGGAAAAAAGTAGATCTTTACATCATTACATACATGAAAATATATTACAGGTAGATACGTAACTTTAATACAAAAAACAAAACTTTCAAAACTTTAAACTATATAGGAGAATATCTTTATGACTGTGATAAAAGGAAAGATCTAAAGATGAACAAAGTTATAAATGATAAAAAAGATTATTGCGATAACTATGTTAAAATGTAACCTTCTTTAAATCCAAAGCTTCTTCTGAAAAGTCAAGTTATACATAGAAAGAACATGTTTTCAGCAAATTTAACCATCAGAAGGTTTGTATAAAGAAATTACCAGAAAAAAAAACTTCCAGAAGTAAATAAGAAAAGATCAAAAGCCACTCTAAATAAGGAATTGCAAATTAAAGGAATTGTACACTATTTTAAACTCATGAGATATGCAAAACTTAAGAATATTAAAAATTGGCTTTTAAAACTCCATATATTTTCAGTAGACATATAAATTGATCTAAACACTTTGTACCACTCTTTGGACATACTAGTAAAGTCAAAGATGCCCATGCTCTTTGGCCCAGAATTGCTACCACTCAGAATATACCCTAGTGATAAACTCATGCAGTCTAAGAATATTTATGGCAGTGTTGTTTTTAGTAGTGCAAAACTGGCAACAATTTTTATTAATTGGAAATAAATAGGAATATAATCACACAATGTAATACAACAGTCAAAATAGTTGAATGTCTACATGCTTCTACACTGACAAATCCCAGAAGTAAAACACTGAGCAAAAACGAAACAAGAGCAAGGTGCAGAATGATATAATGAGCCATGATAACATAAATTTTAAAATATTTAAGTGTAAAACCCAAAAGATATATTATGTACATATACACCATATATATATATATGGTATATATACCATATATACACATATACACCATATATATGTATATATACCATATATACATATATATACACATATATACACATATACATATATATGGTGTATATGTATGTGTCGGGGTGTGTGTTTGTGTGTGTATGTATATATATACACATACACAGAATAGAGAACAAAAATAAGAAGGATACCACACTTTAAGGTTCAAATGAATCTACAATATTTTATCAAAAAAATTTCATTCCAATTAGCCACAACATGATATGTGGGTGTTCATCATTCTACTCTCCATATATTTCTAGATATTTGAAATATTTTACAAAAAGCTGATCAAAACTGATAACGAAGTGACCAATTAGGAGATACATTTGCAATTTATATTTTAAAATGTTTATGCCAATCAATGAGAGAAATAAATGTCTAATAAATAATGAGCAAACAATTGTAACAAGCATTTCACCAAAGAATCTCTAATATTTGATAGCAGAGTAGGGTGACTGTAGTCAGTAACTTAATTGTACATTTTAAAATAACATAAACAGTGTATTTGGATTGTTTGTAATTTCAAGGATAAGTGCTTAAGGGGATGGATACCTCATTCTTTATGATGTGCTTATTTCACGTAACATATCTATATCAAAACATCTCATGTACCCCATAAACATACACACCTAGTATGTACCTGCAAAACTTTTTAAAAAATAGAAAATATTTAAAAAAATAATTAAGTGACCAATAAATATATTGTAAAGTTTCAAGCTCAGTAGTAATCAAATGAATACAATTTTTAAAATAGATATGAAGTACCATTTTCACTTGTTGGTTTGCTAGTTTAAAATGGTTTAACCTTAAGTATCATGGAAGCTGTGGAAAAATACAATTTCATATACTTTGGGGACAGTATAAATTGCCACAATTTATTTTAAGGATGATTTGTAATACTAATAGTAATATAATATGTTATTGGATGCATGTATTGGTGGCATTTGCCTTCTGTTCAATTGATCAGTTTTTCTGATTTAACCTAATATGATATAATTTTATTATAATCACTCATTGTTAGAAAAGTATGAATTTTGATAAGGCAGCAACACCATTATTGCTTTTCAAGATATTTACATATCCTTTGTTATGTTTACATACTTTATTTTCTAGCTTAAGTATAGCATTAATTTAATACAATCTAAAAATCTCATGTTATTTTTATATTGCATTAAATATTCTAATTAACTTAAGAAGTCATTTTAACCTGTGTTAATAGGAATGGCACCACTTCACTTTTTGCATATCAATTTATCCTCTAGTGATATATTATTTTCTTTAAAAAAAAATTCTTGTGTTTCAGGTTATATTAATAGCCAGCTATTTAATATACTTTAGCTATATGAAAATGCATTTTTCACTTTGCATTTTTCAGCTCTTCTTATTTATATATTATAGCATGGACCTTTGAGGATAAAACTTGTATCATGTAATAAGCCAAGTATATTTTTACCTCTTTTTATTTTTACTTCCTGTTATGTAACAATTTTCATATTATATTTAAAAATTCATATTGCAATTTTTTCTGGGTTTATTCTTTTTGGAATGTCTTCTCAAATTATTATTTATGATATTTTTACTGTTTGATAAATTGTGGTGATAATAAGGATATTCATTGCTCCTTTCAGGTATAATTCTAGCCAAATAAATATGATATTTTGTTTCAAAATGTACGCTCTATCTTACTAATAAAGAGATGTTCTAAGCCATTACTTTTATTAAAATGTTACCATTGCATTAATAAGTATAGTTAACATTTTAATAGGCTTATTATTTATCAGCACTATTTTAAACACTTGACATATCTAGTGTTCATAATATCTTAAGAGGTAGGGATATATAATTAGTTCTGTTTTAAAGATGAAGACACTTAAACACAGAAAGTAACTTATCCAAGGTCAAACAAAAAATGAGAGACAAAATTCAAATTCAAATAGTCTAATGACAGTTTACATTCTTTTCTAGTACGTTATTAATTATGAAAAATGTTGCCAGCATAAAATATATTTTAACCTCTACTGAGATAATTAAATGCTTTTGCAACTTCTCCTGTATAATTAAATGCATTTAGGGTTTAACATATGTTATTAGTGATTTATATTTTAGAAGAAGCCCAAATTACGTAAAGAATTTGTATTTGAGTACAGAAGACCATGCTATCCAAGTAGAATCTTATGAAGGATACTCTGCAAATCCTGATTTGCAGTGTTGTGCCCTCTAGTTGGTCCCTGTAATGCTGTGGGTCAGGAAAAGTCACAGAGAATGAGGACTATTAAGCCTGTTACCGGTAATATATTGTTTGTAGAGCATCATTTAAAAAGTGTTGCCATTTATATCTGTGTTAATGTGTTTTTACATATTTTATAGTAAAATAGATTTTACTGTTTACTGTTGTTGTTTAGTAGAAACTATAATTTTTATCTTCTTTTATAAAATAAATATTTAGTGCCTGATATTAACTGGAGAACAAAACAAACAACCCGGTGATTATCTGGTGAACACTTTCCAGCTGAACATATAAACTTTGCGCTAATTCATTTATTCGTGAGTGTATTTAAAAACATTTTTAGAACTATGCAACAATAAGTGATACAAACTGTTGGGGCAAGGGCACCCAAATCACCAATATATAATAAAAAATGCTAGAAACGTGAAAAGGACTTTTTATTTATTTATTTATTTATTTTTACACTAAGGTCTCACTATGTTGCCTAAGCTGATCTCAAACTTCCTGAATTCAAGAGATCCTCCCACCTCGGCCTTCAGAGTAGCTGCCATTGCGGCCAGCAAAAACATTTTTTCTTGCCTTGGAATATCAGGGAAGACACCTCAATAGAGTTGAAACTTTCTGCTAGATCTTGAAATTCACCAAGTTGAGAATTTGGGAGGAGTTAGAACAGGTGGAAAGCACAAGTAAAGGCTTTGAGTTTTAAAGTTGATGGCATTACAAAAAAAACGGAAGTAGTAAAGGCAGAATTGAACAAAATTATGTTTGCAGTGGTGAGAGGAGAGGGGATAATGAGAAGAGGATAGGAATGGAGTAAGATGGTGAGAGGTATGTTTCCAATTTATAGCTAAGCAAGACAAGATTAGCAAAAGAAATCTGGGGATTTGTTTGGGAAAAAAACTTCTTTTACTCTGCCTCATGTTAAATACATATTCTTCATTAATTAACTGAGATAAGAACATTGCTAATCTGTCATTTTTATTTTGTTGTCATTAAAATTATTTTAAGATAGATTTAAAGAAAAATTTAGAAAAACCTGGACTGAGAATATGACATAGTGACAGTAATTAATTAAGAAATAATCTAATTACTTTCTGTGGAAAAAAAATTCAAGTTTATAAAACTATCCTCTCCCTGAAATGCAAATCGAAATCACAATACAATACCGCCTTACTCCTGCAAGAATGGCCATAATCAAAAAATAATAGATATTGGCATGGATGCAGAAAAGGGAACACTTCTACACTGCTGGTGGGAATGTAAACTAGTACAACCACTATGGAAAACAGTGTGGCGATTCCTAAAAGAACTAAAATAGAACTACCATTTGATCAAGTAATCCCACTACTGGGTATTTACCCAGAGGAAAATAAATCAGTATATGAAAAAGATACTTGCACACGCATGTTTATAGAAGCACAATTTGCAATTCCAAAAATGTGGAGCCAACCCAAATACGCATCAATCAATGAGTGGATAAAAAAATTGTGAGATACATATATATATGATATATATATGTGATATATGTGATATATATGCTATATATATGGATTTATGAAATTGAAATGTAATTGTAAATTTTAAAATGAAATTCCACAAATGGGTTGAATGGCACAGTAGAAGATTTTATTAGTTAGCTAGATAATAAAAACAAATAACATATATATATATATATATGATGGAATACTACCCAGCCATAAAAAGGAATGAATTAATGGCATTCACAGCAACATGGCTGGAATTGGAGACTATTATTCTAAGTGAAGTAACTCAGGAATGGAAAACCAAACATTATATGTTTTCACTCATAAGTGGGAGCTAAGCTATGAGGATGCAAGGGCATAAGAATGACACAGTGAACTTTGGGGATTCAGAAGGAAAGGGTCAGAAGGTGGTATGGGATAAAAGACTACAAATGGGTTCAGTGTATACTGCTCGGGTGATGGGTGCACCAAAATCTCACAAATCATCACTAAGGAACTTATCCATATAACCAAATGCCACTTCTTCCCCAAAAATGTATGGAAATAAAAAATTTTAAAAATAAAACTATCCTCTCTGTGAGAGATAAAACTTAAATCATCCAGCATTTTAAACAACAAATATTTTCTTCGGTCGCATGTCACTGCTACTACATACTAAAGCTGAATAAATATCGAATGGAGGATTTGGGGGATTGCAAATTTCTTTCCCTTCCTGTCATTAGAAATGTATTAGCCATAGTCATGGAATGGTTTTAATTTGTGCTTAAGAAATAAAATACTTCTCAATATGAACCCTCACATAAAAATATGGGCATATAATAAAAAGTCAGCAAGCCTTTAAGAAAAATCAATATCATGAAGTATAGGAAGTAAATTCCAGAAGCAGAAAATTAAATCCCATGGAAAGTAAAACTACTTTAAAACAAGTATAAAAGCATCCAAGAGTACACAACAAGAAGAACAAACTACTAGGAAAGAACAAACTACTAGGAGAAAACAAAAAACAACAACAAAAACTAAGATTTATGAAATTGAAATGTAATTGTAAATTTTAAAATGAAATTCCATAAATGGGTTGAATGGCACAGTAGAAGATTTTATTAGTTAGCTAGATAATAGAAACAAATAACAATCTAGATGGCATTGCAAAAGGTAAAGACACATTGAAAACGATCCAAAAAATCTAACAAGAGTTACATAAGAAAAGAACAGAGAAAAAGAAGGGGAGGAAATAATTTTTAAAAGTAATGTTCCCGGAATAACAACAGTTATTAGTTTACACCCTTACTCAATTTTTTTCATTTTTCTGTTTTTAATTTGTGTTGGTACACAGCAAGTGTATATACCTGCGGGGTACATGAGATGTTTGATATGGTCATGCAATGTGAAATCATCACATTTATTGTGATTATTTACACATGTGAAATCCCACATTTATAATTATATGAAATGACTAGAAAGAAATTAACCATTTTCATCTATTATTTCTGAATGCTAATGGCTGCAGTTATTTTTTCTTCTTTTATACTTTTACATATTTCTTTCCAAATTTTACAGGAATGTGTTATTTTTAAACCAAAAGATATACCTATAAACAAACTGCATACTCCAGTTCTTTTGTCAATAATCATGAAATGACAAAACTTTAATAAGACTTGAAAATGGCAATTTTAATAAAAACACACATAACCAAAAAACAAAAAATAGAAAGATAAAACTTTATAAAGAAAATAAGAATGATGCAGAAAGGGATATTCATCCCCTCAAGCGTTAATCCTTTGAGTTACAAACAGCCCAATAACACTCTTTAAGTTATTTTAAAATGTACATTTAAATTATTATTGCCTACAGTCTCCTTATTCTGCTATCAAATAGTAAGTCTCATCATTTTTTCTGTTTTTGTATCCGTTAACGAATCCCAGCTTCCCCTCAGGCCCCCCACTACTCTTCCCAGTCTCTGGTAACCATCCTTCTACTCTCTATGTCCATGAGTTCAATTGCTTTGATTTTCGGATCCCACAAATAAGTGAGAACATGTGATGTTTGTCTTTCTGTCCCTGGATTATTTCACTTAACATAATGATCTCCAGTGCCATCCATGTCGTTGCAAATGATTGGCTCTCATTCTTTTTTATGGCTGAATAGTACTCTGTTGCGTATATGTACCACATTTTCTTTATTCATTCATCTGTTCATGGACTCTTAGGTTGCTTCCAAACCTTAGCTATTGTAAACAGTGCTGCAGCAAACATAGCAGTGGAGATATCTCTTTGATATACTGATTTTCTTTCTTTTGGATAAATACCTAGCAATGGGATTGCTGGATCATATGGTAGCTCAATTTTTAGTTTGAGGAATTGAGCTCAATTTCAATTTGAGGAACCTCCAAACTGTTCTCCGTAGTAATTGTACTAATTTACATTCTCACCAACAGTGTACAAGTGTTCTCTTTTCTCCACATCCTTATCAGCGTTTGTTATTGCCTGTCTTTTGGATCTAAGCTATTTTAACTGGGGCGAGATGACATCTCATTGTCATTTTGATTTGCATTTCTCTGACGTGATTGAATGTTAAACAGCATTAATTAGTCATATTCTGATGAAATTTTGGAACATCATGGATAAAGAAAAACATCTAAAACACTCTTGAGAAAAATAAATCATATTATCTACATAGAAAAAAGAATAATTTGTCATTCTTTTGGCCAGTAAAATTAGTACCAGAAACAATGAAGCAATGTTTTTAAAATTCTGAGGAAAAATGACTTTGAAGTGCTAATTTCATACTCTAAAAAACTAACATTCAATTGTGTTGGCACTATAAAATCATTTTTAGACATAAAAGGACTAAGAACATTTTGCCCCATTAGATCCTTTTAGCAAGAAATACATAAGGATTACTATAGGAAAACAAAGCATTAATACAGGAAAGAAGTAATTAACACACAAAATAAAGTGAGAAGCAAATAAACCAGTAAAATAAAATATTCTCCAATTTTTAAGTACAGTGCTGTGAAATTTAAAGCAATTGTTAAAATAAATTATTCTGAAGCTGCAGACAAGGGATACAGAAACTAATTATGAGTTAGAGGAGGAGCCATGAGTTTATCAATTTTGATGAAACAGAAAGAAGATATTTTAAATAAGCCATAATTCTTTACTAGGAATTAGGAATTAAAAATAAAATCTCTAATTTATTGAGTGCTTACTCTGTTCCAGGCCCTGTTTTAAGTCTTTTTTGTATAGTAAGTCATTCATACCTAACATATCTAAGCTCTGGTAATATTATTATTTTTTTGATTTCTTAAAAGGAGGAGCAGATGGGAAAAGTAACTTGTAGTGGGTCACATAGCTTAGACATAACAAGACCAGAGTTCAAGCCCACAAAGTCAAAATCAAAACTCAATATTATCAACTGTTTTGCTATACTTTTTCTGATAAAGAAAAGACACAGGATAGAGAAAGAAATATTTAAATATTGATGAACAGATAATTCTCCCAGAAAGAAGAAGGAACTGAGATAGTAGATGAGTAAAAAAAAGTTGGAATATTCAAGAGAAGACCGCACATTATTGAAGATAAACATACCTGCAGAGGATCCGAAAGCACAGCCATTTCTGTGGGTTGCCTTGATTACCTCTTATTTTTTCCCAGCTTCATCATGATTCCTCTATTCCTAGTAGTTTAGCATTTCCTGTGTCCACACATGGCAGAGTATCACAGCTGTTTATTATCAGCACATACATTCTTATAATAAAACCACTAAATCAAAGTGCTCTGAGGAAAATAACCTTTTTTAAAACTTACTAATGTCTCTTACTTATCTGGAATTCTGTCTGGCACAAAACAGATATGCAATAAATGCTTGTTGAATAGATGAATAAATAAATAAATTTAGCAATATTTAGTAAAGAGGATGGATCATAAGAAAGGCAGATATGTTAAGTATATGATACGTTTAGATAGTGATAGGAGAGAAAAATTAAATCAGGTCATGGCAGATAGGAATCTGTGGAGGGTTTTGTTTGTTGAAAAGTAGAAAGAGTGGTTAAGGAAGACCTGTATAAAAAGGTGACATTTGAGTAAAGAACTGCAGTTAGCAATGGATTGAGCCTTGTAAATATGTTGACAAAGAGCACTACCAACAGAAAACTGCAAGTGCAAAGATACTGAAGTAGGAATGTGTCTGGTAGGTTTAAGGAGGCCAGTGTGACTAGAGCAGAGTGAGTGGCAGAAAAAGTAACAGGAGGTGAGTCAGAGAGTTGAAGCATTCACTCTAAGATGGAAAACCAGTGGAAGGATTTGATATAAAATAACATGATCTGATTTGCCTTTTAACAGAAGCACTCTAGCTACTCTAGAATATAGACTATTAGAGGGCAAGGGTGGAAGAAGTTAAGTCAGTAATCCAAGTGGGAAAATTATAGTGGTAGTAGAGGTGATGAAAAGTGGTCATATTGCAGATATATTGTGAAGCTACAGTTAACAGGACTTCCTGAGAGAGGATATAGATGTGAGGAAAAGAAGTGAGTAAAAGATGACTCCGATATCTTCGAGCTGAGTAAATGGAAGGGTTGCCATTCTCTGAGATGGTGAGGATGTTGATAAACAGTTTTGGGAAGGTTTGCATTGTAAATCAATTTCAAACATGTTGAGTTTAACATGTTTATTAGAAATCCAAGTGGGAATTCTGAGTAGGCAGCAGGGTAACTCCATGTCAAGGAAGAGGCCTTGGTTGGAAGTATACATTTGAAAGCTAGCAGCACATAGATACTATTCGTATGAATTGAATTGTTCCCCCCAAATTCATAAGTTGAAGACCTATCCTTGAATGTGACTATATTTGAAGAAGTACTCTTCAAAGAGATAATCAGTGTTAAATGAGGTCAGAAAGGTTGGGGTCCTAATAAAATATGATTGATGTCTTTATAAAAAGAGGAGACACCATACATGCTCATGCACAGTGGAAAGGCCATGTGAGGACAAAAGGAGAAGGCAGTCATCTGCAAATCAAGGAGAGAGACCTCAAGAGGAACCAAATTGGCTGGGCACAGTGGCTCATGCCTGTAATCCCAGCACTTTGGGAGGCTGAGGCGGGTAGATTGCTTGAGTCCAAGAGTTCGAGACCAGCCTAGGCAACATGGTGAAACCCTGTCTCTACAAAATATATATACATATACATATACATATACGTATACATATACGTATACATATACATATACATATACATATACATATATTATATATATATATAAATTAGCCAGGGTGGTGGCATGTGCCTGTTTTCCTATCTACTAGAGAGGTTGAGGTGGGAGGATTGCTTGAGCCTGGGAGGCAGAGGTTACAGTGAGCTGAGATCTGCACTACAGCCTGGGCAACAAAGTGAGAGCCCGTGAAAGAAGGAAAGAAGAAGGAAAGAAGGAAAGAAGGAAAGAAGAAGGAAAGAAGGAAAGAAAGAAAGAAAGAAAGAAAGAAAGAAAGAAAGAAAGAAAGAAAGAAAGAGAGAGAAAGAAAGAAAGAAGGGAGGAAGGGAGGGAGGGAGGAAGGAGGGAGAGAGAGAGAGAGAGAGAGAGAGAGAAACTAAACCTGCTGACACCTTTATCTTGGACTTTCAGCCTCCAGAACTATGAGAAAATTAAATTTCCATTGTTCAAGCCACAATTAGTATTTTGTTATGGCAGTCCTAGCAAACTAATACAGTGTTTAATGAAACACACTGCATAATTTCAATAATATTGTGAGCGTAGGTAGAAAAGGAAGGAAATTCCAGGTATGCTGGGGTTTTCAAACTTTTGAGGTTAGGGTAGACAAAAAGAAACTAGAAAGAGCGACAAAGAAGAAACAGGTAGAAAGAAAACCAGAAGAATGAAGTGTGCTGAGAGCCAAGTGAAGAGCCAAGCATCTAGGAAAAGGGCCGAGCATCTAGGAAAAATTGTTGATAGATTAACCAATATGAGGCCATAAGGAAGTTACCATTAGTCAGATGAGAAATTCATATTTTTCAATGCGGTTGCTTAGTGGATTTTGAGGTCTTGAGTTTTGAGGTCTGGAGTGTCAAATTATTTTCATTTGATCTCATTAAATGTCTTAAATGAAAAGTTTAATATATTTTCAGAGAAAATACATTTCTTAAAAGCTAGTGATGCATGTGCAGTTTACAAATTGTCAGTAAAGATAAGAGCAAAAATGATGAAGAAAAAATACAACTGAATCTTGAAAAACATGGGTGTGTATTGCATGGGTCCACTTATACGCGGATTTTCTTCCACCTCTGCCATTCCTGAGATGACAAAATCAAACCCTCTTCTTCCTCCTCCTCAGCCTACTCACATGTAAAGACAATGAAGATGAAGATCTTTAGGATGATCCACTTCCACTTAGTGAATAATAAATATATTTTCTCTTCCTTATGATTTTCTTAGTCACATTTTCTTTCTCTAGCTTATTTTAGTGTAAGAATGCAGTACCCAATGCATGTCATATATAAAATATGTGTCAATCAACTGCTTGTGTTATCAGTAAGGTTTCTGGCCAAGAGTAGGCTATTAGTAACGTTCTTGAGTAGCCAAAAATTACACATGGATTTTCAACTGCCTGGGGGGTGAGGGCCCCTAACTTCTATATTGTAAAAAGGTCAACTACATATTTTAAAATTGTAGATTTCTGACATTATCATACTGTTTTTGTGGCATTAGTCTTACTACTAAGAAGCAGAGACATTAGCAATTTAACAATTGACTAGATGTAAGGTGATTATTTGTTAAAGAAGAAAAGAAGGCCAGGCATGGTGGCTCCTGTCTGTAATCTCAGAACTTTGGGAGGCTGACGTGGGAGGCTGATGTGGGTGGATGACTTGAGGCCAGACAGAGGCCAGGAGTTCAAGACCAACCTGGGCAACATATGGAGAGCCTGTCTCTCCAAAACCAAAAAAAAAAGAAAGAAGAAGAAGAGAAGAAGAAAAAGGAGGAGGAGGAGGAAAAAGGAAGAAGAAAGAGGAGGAGGATGAGGAGGAGAAGAAGAGGAGGCAGAGGAGGAAGAGGGAGAAGAAGAAGGAGGAGGAGGAAGAAGAGGAGGAGGAGGAAGATGACGACAAAGAAGAAGAAAGAAGAAGAAAAGAAAACTTATTTTAAAGCAGGAAAAACTAAATGAAAACATGAATAACAACAGAAAAGATAAGAGATTTTATTTTGAAAGAGAAAAGTCAATAATTCAAATCTGAAAATCTGAATTTAACAACAATTTAATGATTTGAGTTCTAAAAGAGGATAACAAGTTTTCTAACCATATTCTGAACTTCTCCTTAACAATCTGTGGATGAATATCTCCACAGCTTCAAAGCAGTGAGCAAAATTTTGATTGAGAGATGAGTCAGATGCTGTTCATAAAATAGTCACAGTGAGGGTGTTAGGTCATCAAAAATTTAAGTATCTTGACAATATTTCAGAGATTCAGTGGTAAAACTAGAAGCCAGCATGCTTGTGTGTGTGTGTGTGTGAGTGTGAAAAAATAAATCATTCGATTTCATAACTTTCCTGGTTACAGCTACTCTTTCCTGTTTTATAGGCTTTTATTTGTTTCCAATGTGTTTCTTATTTCTTTATTTGGATTTAGCCTTTGGTGGCTTCTTACAGTGGTTGTCATAGTACAATTCTCAAAGAAGTCTATCTCATATTTCCCAGTGTTTCCTTTAAGTTAAATGATATATACTGCTCAGTTAAGAAAATGTTTATTTTCAGTTGTCCAAGGAGTTTGAGTAAATAATGTGAGTAATGCGACCATCAGCTACAATTTAAGTTAGTGTAATTTCACATAGCTGCCAGAGTCATAATACTTTTCCCTGACAGTTGTGTCATATCAAAATCATGATCCCAAGCAATCCTTTAGACTTGAATGTTAACACAAGCAGGGAATTAAAAAATGTGACTCAACACTTTCATAAACGCATAAACTATAAAACATGGAGAAGGCCGCACATGTAGTAAATTGCAGATCTGGAATTACTTTTCAGGTCATTTAACTCCACAGCGTCTCTTTCTAAATACCTTATTAGCACTTCCTACAATCTAAGAAGAGTATTAATTTTTGCATTCTCAAGTTCTGCTTTTAAAAGTTTGTTATGTATTAAAAGTTAAAATTTCTAATTATAACAGGTTGGATATTTTAGCACCTAGTTCAAAAACTGATTCTACCCTCATTTAAACCGAAAAACATCATTTTGCTCACTAAATTGTCTGCACAGGCCAGGCACAGTGGCTCAGTCCTGTAATCCCAGCACTTTGGGAGACTGAGGTCAGTGGATCACCTGAAGTCAGGAGTTGGAGACCAGCCTGGCCCATAAGGTGAAACCCTGTCTCTACTAAAAATACAAAAATTAGCCTGGGCATGGTGGTCGGCGCCTGTAATCCCAGATGCTCAGGAGGCTGAGGCAAGAGAATCGCTTGAACCCAGGAGATGGAAGTTGCAGTGAGCCAAGACTGTGCCACTGCACTCCAGCCTGGGTGACAGAGTGAGACTCCATCTCAGATAGATAGATAGATAGATAAATAAATAAATAAATAAATAAATAATCTGCACAGATAGAAATTTTGTCACCTAGAGGACGGTAAAGAACATTTCTGGATTTCGTTTTCCTTTTATCCATAAAATTATTAAGCAATTCTATGATTCACTAAAGTGTCACTATGTCACTTTAGTGATCAAGTCAAATAGGGATTTTCAAAAATTTTTATTACACATTATTAAAAGAGACGGAAAAATCTTAATGACAGGAAAGAAAAAGATAATAGAATTGGCTTTTTTATTCAGTAGTTGAGAATATGACTTTTTATAGGGCAAAGCCTGAAAGCAGCATTTTCTAAAGAATTTTTGGCTTTTGCAGCCTGGTTCATGTTTTGTTTAAAGCAACATGTTATACCTGGGTAAGAAGGGAACCATCTCCCTCTCTCTAACCTACATTATTTCTATTGTTTTTTCTTCATTGAACCTCTCCCCTATTACCACATACCCAGTGTTTAATTAGCACTGATATACTCCTATTTTCTGTATAAGCCAGAAGCAAGCCTTTCACCTGCTGCATCCTCTACCTGCAGTGCTTTTCTGCCCATCTCATCCTTGTGAACTTTCAAGGTCTAGTCCTCGCTAATACTCCAGCTGCTGTGGCATTTGGCCAAAACCTCTATTTGTACACTTTTTACCATAGTTCTACCGTTAGCTGAATATATTTTTTTCTACTAGATTATGACCTCTAGGACAGAATATAGCAAAAATCCTGGTATGCTGTAGGATCTCAAAAATATGTTTGAATAAATTAAGAACAAAATGAATAAATATTTGCAGGGACTGTATGGATAAATAGTAAAGCTCCAATATTGTTGATCACAGATAGTAAACATGTAAAACAGGCTCATGCTTGCCCGTTGCTTGTATAACATATTAATAATCTTTACAAATTATGGTAAGCAATTGTTGGCAATACTTTCCAATTATTGCTTTGAAACCATTTGGTGTCATTTTTGCATCTCAGTAAAGGAAGCCTTTATGCTGAGCTCTCACTTTAGTGTAGTTAAAAGCCAGAGGCCACAACATCCCAGAGTCTCATAATTTTGCTTTCCAATGTGGAAGAGTCACTGTTGAAAAAAAGGAAAAGGAGTCTTGTTTGGACTAATTCATTGTTATTTAGGCTAATATAATCTATTAAGGATATTACAGTATTGACATATATAATAGTTACTCTCTCAAATATAATGAATATTTTCTATTTCTGTTTATCCTTAAATTCTCAGTAATACTCAACACTATTAATTTTATCAACCTAACCCTCTTTGAAACATATTGTTATTCTATATTATTATACGTCCTCTTAAATCTCTGCCTTTTCTTTCCTGTCTCATTTATAGACCCATCATAATAAATATGGCTACTAGGCCAGATACAGAGGCTCACGCCTGTAATCCCAGCACTTTGGGAGGCTGAGGTGGGCGGATCACAAGGTCAGGAGTTCGAGACCAGCCTGGCCAACATGGTGAAACCCTGTCTCTACTAAAAATACAAAAAATTAGCCGGGTGTGGTGGCGTGTGCCTGTAATACCAGCTACTTGAGAGGCTGAGGTAGGAGAATCACTTGAACCTGGGAGGCAGAGGTTGCAGTGAGCCAAAATCGTGCCATTGCACTCCAGTCTGCAAGGCAGGGCGAGACTCCGTCTCAATAAATAAATAAATAAATAAATAAATAAATACAGCTACTAAATACTATAGTTTCCCAAACTTCATCTTATGTCTTTCTATAGCCTTATTCTATACTTTTTCATAGAGTATCCTATCTATATCCTGGATTTAATTACCAATTATATGGCAATTTTTCTCAAATTTAAACCTGTGGTTTTAACTCTTGCTTCAGAATCATATACTTAACTTCTGAATTAATATATCATATTTATTTTCAGTTTGGACATTAATAAAGGAGGAAAATCTAAGTCCTTAACCTGTGGGATCTGATGCTATTTCGAGGTAAATAGTGTCAGAGTTAAATTAAATTGTAGGACACCCAGTTGATGTCCAACCCAGAAGTGGACAATTGCTAGGTATGGGAGGCTGGTGGGGAGAGAGGGGGAAATGCTACACATTTTGGTGATCAGAAATATTGTAAAAGTGTAGGAGAGGAAAAAAAATTTGCTTTATAAAACATAAAAGAAGATGTCAATAGTGCTTATCCTATAATACAAACATGACAATAGTGTTAGATTTAGATATTGACAGGTTCTTTATAAAGATGACATTTTGAAAATTTATATTGACAAACCCAGGGCAAAGAATAGCTAGCTGCAAGTGTTTGTAGAAAGCAAAGTGGAAGATTTTACCTTAGTAGCTCTCAAAATCTATCATGAAACTATGGAAATTGTAAAAGTGCAGAATAGGACATTCACAACCAGTTCCAATAATATATGGATACATGATACATTATAGAGGTAACACTGCAAATGAGAGATTATAAGATCTCTAGTGTTTTTAGAGTTGATTATCTATAGGAAAAGACAATAAACCTGGATACCTACTTCGTAGCATATACAAAAATGTACTCAAGGTGAGATAAATGAAAATCCTATAAAATTTTATAATTAAAATAAATGGGACAAAATTTTGTGACATTATTTTAGAGAAAAATTTCTTGGACAAGACAGAAAAAACACAAACCATAGTGAAAAGATTCATAAACTTGACTATTTTCAAATTTAAATCTTCTACATAATGCAAAATTCTATTTTGGTGCAACTCCACATAAAAGTAATAAATTTGTTCTCTTCCTTCTATCATAGTTTCACTCCAAGACACTATTGGAAGTTTAAAAACTTGGTATAAAATATTTTTGCAAAAGATAATAGCCTATAACAAAAAATAGAATCTAGGATTAACAAAGTGCCCCCTAAATAACTAAGGAAAAGACAGCCAAGTCAATAAAAGAATGAACAATGGATATGAATAGAATTCAAAGAAGATAAATCCAAATGACAACTGCACACACGAAAATATCTTAAACCTAAATAATGTAAATAAACTGATGAAACAGCATTTTTAGCATTATCAGGTTGGACATTTTAGCACCTAGTTCAAAAACTGATTCTACTCTCCTTTAAACCAAGAAACATCATTTTGTTCATTAAATTGTCTGCACAGACCGGGCACAGTGGATCAGTCCTGTAATCCCAGCACTCGGGAGGCTAGGGTGGGTGGATCACCTGAGGTCAGGAGTTGGAAACCAGCCTGGCCAACATGGTGAAACCCTGCCTCTAATAAAAATACAAAAATTATCCGGGCATGGTGGTGGGCACCCAGCTTATTTCTAAAAGTAATTTTAAAACAATAATACAAGTGTTCTTAAGTATGTAGAGAGATGGGAACACAAATTATTTAGTTACCTTGAAAAACCATCAGGTGTAATTGGTAATGCTAAAGATAAGAATAGCCTTACACACACACACACACACACACACAGAATGCAATTTGTTGGTCTAATGCACAAAGTGACATGTCCAAGAATGTTCATTGCACTCTAATTTATAGTAGTGAAAAATTAAAAGCAAGGTATATGCCCATCAACAGGAGAATGAATAAATTGTGGTGTACTCATACAATGGAAAACTTTGCAGTGGTTACACAAATGAACTACAACTATATTTTTGTGGCAGAATCTGTTGTGGAATACCAACATCCACAGGCTTCTTGACATACTTCCCTTGAGGTTCCAATTACCATGTGACATGTTCTGATCAAAAGAATGTGAAAAGAAATGTCATAGGTTACTTCTTAGCTAAGATGGTTAAATATCTCATGTGTTTTCTCTCCTTTTCCTTTCTCTCCCATGTATACAGAAAATGGCTAGAAAAAGGGAATCTAAGATAGTGGAGCCATGTAATGAGAGGAGCCAGATACCTGTGTCAACACTTGGAGACAAGCTACTGAGGAATGCATACGAATAAACAACATTGGACTTTACATGAAGAAGAAATAAACTTTTCATTATTTTGTATTGTTTTTGTTATAGAGGCTAGGGTTGATTACCATGACAATGTTTAAACATAGGTAATCTCAAAAATACAAATTAATATAAAAAGCCTTTGTAGGGAAATGGATGGAGCTGGAGACCATTATCCTTAGCAAACTGAGGCAGGAAGAGAAAACCAAATACCACATGTTCTCACTTATAAGTGAGAGCTAAATGATGAGAACACCTGGACACATAGAGGGAAACAACACACACTGTGGCCTATCAGAGGGTGGAGGGTGGGAGGAGGGAGAGGGTCAAGAAAAATAACTAATGTATACTAGGCTTAATACCTGGGTGATGAAATAATCTGTACAACAAACCCCCATGATGCATGTTTACCTGTGTAACAAACCTGCACATGTACTTCTGAATTTAAAAACATCAATTTGCATGATGATATTATATATAAAATATTTAAAACAAAAAATAATGTTACATGGTATTTATTTTGTATACACATGTAAAAATATATAAGTGTGCATGAAATGAACTACCAAATTCAATATGGTGTTTACTTTCAAATGAAGGACAGTGTGGTGGATACTCAGGAAGCTTTAATTGTATCTGTAATGTTTTATTAATTTATTTTTAAATTCTGAATCAATTTTGACAAATGTTAGAATTTAATAGCACTCAGTGTGGAGTACCTAGATGTTTATTATATCATATTCTACTGTGGGATTTTTTTTCCTGTATTTGGAAATATTTTTTAAAATGGGCTTTTAATGATTGGGAAGAATTTTTATAGAAGCCTATACAGCATATATAGTTGGTGGGAAGATTTATACTCATTCATCAAACATAAAATTAGATTTAGGTACAAATCTTAAAGCTTGAAAAGGGGAAGTTTTTCCCCTTTATTAAGAAGTGCATTTTACTCAGAGAATATGAATAAATGAGCTACCCTAAGATTGAAACTATATGAAAAATACAAAGTGAAGCAAGGCTTAATCAAACTCATGTACCCCACCACCATGACTGGAACATACCAGAACAGATGTGCATGCCCACAAATGATCTCTTTGGGAGCAGCTTGGCCTCAGAGTCTGAGTCTGATATGTTTCTGTTTCCCAAATGGTCAAACAAAACCATTTGACCCTACTTGGGACCTTACCCTTATTCATTCTTGCACCTAGTTTTTGGCCCCAAGCAAGCAGTACCCAAGGTAGAAGTCCTCAGTTCAGCTCACATCCTTCTTGCTGTCCATTTTTCTCTGTAGTTGCCGCCCAGACAGTTCACAGCTGGGTTTAATACCTACTGCAGCTCCCTCAGTCCTGAGTGGGATCACAGGTCTGGGTCCAGCTCATACCTGTGGCCTTATTTTTGCAGCAACAATGATAAGGTGAGGTCTTGGGCAAAACAGGAAAGTCTTTGAAGTTTGTCCCTGGGCCCTCCCACCTTTTTCTGCTAATGTTTCCCACACAGCTGCATTTCCTCTCAATTTTTAGGTACTTTGACCTTTGAATTTCATCTACCATTGAAACTGCAACTAGTCTAATGCTTTCACTTTCACTTTGACTAAAACTTATTCACACCAACGTGTTAACTCTCTAATGTTTTAACACTTTTAAGATTTTTACCTCTAGCTGAAGAAGGACTCTCTGTCAGTGGCAATGAGTTTAAAAAAAAAAAGTGTCAGGTTCAAAAATCCACTGTGTGAGTTATTAATAGAACTAACACTTTGTTAGTGCTAACTATGTTCCAGGAGCTCTTCAAATAGTTTTAACATGTATTAACACATTTCATCTTTGATAAAAATCCTATGAAATAGGCACTATCATTGTCCTCATTTTGCAAATGACACTGAAACCCAGAGTGGAGAAGCAATGTTCCAAAAGTGAAACAGCTAAGAAGTTCAGGAGTCAGGATGACACTAGGTCAGAGCCAACAACATTCCAGCTTTGGGGAGGAAGATTCAGGAACTTTGCTACATAATAAGAATATATGGTGATGGCATGATAATTTCACAATAATAAAAGTTACTGGGAAATGTGGCAACATTTGAGTTGATCATATTTATTTGCATTGACAAAATAAAGTAAGCTCTGCATTGCTTACAATATTTCCTTCATTAGTGTGCAACACAATCATTGTTATGCAATCATTCACAGACTATTAGAGTAGGAGGCAGGAGACCTAACTACCATTAACTGACTAGATGTGATCTTTATTTTGTTACTTAACCCCTCAGGTTCTCATCTCTTAAGCAAGGATGAGGCAGAGATCTGAACTAAATAATGTAAAAAGTTATTACTGCTCTAATAGTCAGCAAATGGGTCTGGTTAGCTTTACTGGCTATATTTTATTATAGTTTGTTGCTCAGATAACATGATCATCTGATTACATCTTAAACATTTTTTTAAAAAGAAATACTTTGGTGATTGCAATTCCTCCTGCATTGTTTCATTACTTATTAAAGGAAGGACAAGACAGTGTGTGCCACTCATTGAGAAAGCTTCCTTGAGTATGCACCAAAGCAAAGGCTGGCTGAGAATCTGCAGCAAAACAGCCAAATTTATCCAGAGGTGAGCAGAAGCCTGGTTAAAATGTCAGCTGTGGTAGGTAAAGTTTATCTGCACAGAGTTGCACAGCTCATCCGAATGTCTTGTTTTGTGAACTGTTTAGTAGAGCCTTTAAAAAGGAAGCTTTCAAAGTATACACATCCATTAAAAAATACTGAATTTGGATGAAACTTTCAGTTGCTTATCAAATGGTGACCACCATCACATTCTTGGTTTTATTTATTTCCGTTCCAGGCTGAAGACCACCTGTTGAGTACTACCTCAATCACTCAGTGGTCAATACATAATGTTTTTGGCACACTTCTCCTTATCCAGTGGACAGGCCCTAAAACCCCCCAACTTAAATCACCTCAACCAATTAACTTCTCCACTCCTACAATCAAATTCCAGAGTACCTTTGGAGATAATCCACAATGGTATGGATTTTATGCTATCATACGACTTTGACATCATCTGGCTAACCAGAGGCCTCTTGTCAATGGTCATAAACTTGGTTTCTACAACTGGACTTATTAGCTCTCAAGTTCTATTTTTTTCTTCTTAAAAAAACTAAAATTGATGTTGTTCTTAATGTAAGCACATTAAACACATTAAACTTGGTAGATAGTGTTGATTACCTGTGTTAATGCATTAATTTTAGGTGTTATTCTTTAAAATTATATAGGTAAGCCTGTAAGGCAAATACATTATAATGGTAGTGTTTTTAAAACTTTTAATTATTATGGGTACATAATGGTATATATTTTGTGTGGTAAATGTGATGTTTTGATACAAAAACATATATTTAACTTTTTATAGATACATAATTTATATAAAATTTAATTAATAAATATTTTGAATATATTTATATTTTGTTTTATATTTATATACAAAAATATTGAGTGAACAAAATGTAGTATCTGGCCGGGCGCGGTGGCTCATGCCTGTAATCCCAGCACTTTGGGAGGCCGAGGTGGGTGGATCATGAGGTCAGGAGATGGAGACCATCCTGGTTAACACAGTGAAACCCCGTCTCTACTAAAAAATACAAAAAATTAGCCGGGCGTGGTGGTGGGCGCCTGTAGTCCCAGCTACTCGGGAGGCTGAGGCAGGAGAATGGCATGAACCCGGGAGGAGGAGCTTGCAGTGAGCTGAGATCACGCCACTGCACTCCAGCCTGGGAAACAGAGCGAGACTCGTCTCAAAAAAAAAAAAAAAAAAAAAAAAAAAAAGGTAGTATCTGATAGCGTGACAGGGTGAACTACAGTTAATACTGCTGGTATTTTTAAAAGTCCAGTTAAAATATTGGCTAGGTGCAGTGGCTCACGCCTGTAATCCCAGCACTTTCAGAGGCCAAGGCCGGTGGATCACTTGAGGTCAGGAGTTCAAGACCAGCCTGGCCAACATGGTGAAACCTCGTCTCTACTAAAAATACAAAAAAAAAAAAAAAAAAAAATTAGCTGGGTGTGGTGGCGGGAGCCTGTAATCCCAGCTACCCGGGAGGCTGAGGCAGGAGAATCACTTGAACCTGGAAAGCAGAGGTTGCAGTGAGCCAAGATCACACCACTACACTCCAGCTGGGGCAAAAGAGTGAGACTCCATCTCAAGAAAAAAAAAAAAAGTAAAATATTTTATTTTTTCCTGAAATGATAGTCCATATTAGAAGTTTTACAGTTGGCATTCCTTATATTCTAACACAAACTTTCTACTCTCTTCTATTATTTCTTTGTAGAATCTCATCTAGCCCACGTCTTATTTACCATTTATCATTTCAAATGTATATTTTAGGTACAGAGCACTGTTCTAAGTGACTATAGGGCACTTTTGGTTGTCCCACAATGATCATCTCTAGTTTTCTGCCCTCCAACTTCCTGTATTCTGTATTTAATGAATGACAACACTCAAGCATGTAACCAAGACAAAAATCTGGGAGTCATTTCTTGCTAACAAATACCAACAATGTCCATCTTGCCACCTAAATATTTCTCTAATCTTTCCTCTTATTTCTATCTCCACTGCCACTATTCCAGTTCAAGCAACCACACTCACCAATAATGCGTAAGGGCAAATTGTCGTGCCTGTCTCTATACTTCTCTTCACTCCAAAACATTATTTACCTAATCTCACAATCATTCCTCCCTGGCATCTCAGCTGTAACCAGAATGACTATTTAAAAATACAAACTTGATTTTATATATATATATATATATATATATATACCAGTTCCAAGGTATACGTCCTTTAATGGTACTTAATGCTGTTAGAATACAAATGTCCTAAGTAAGGCTTACATCTCCTTGGTATCTGTCTCCCCTATCCGGCCTCTTGCCCCAGCTTTTCTTCATTCTCTGGAAAGATTCTCTGGTTATCTATTGCTATTGACTTCAAGATTAATTTCACAATGGTCAGAGAACATTCTTGGTACAATTTCTATTCGTTGACATTCTTCATTCTTTATTTGGCATGCTTTAAAACCCAGCATGTGGTCAACTTGAGATAAGGTTACATGTCATTTGAAAAGAATATATATACTCTGCAGTTATTAGGTGCAGCATTCTCTCTATGTCAGTGAAGTCCAGTTTGTTAACAGTGCTGTTAAAATCATTTATGCCTTTATTACATTTTTCACCTGTTTGTTCCTTTAGTTACTGAGAAGCGTATGTTAAAACATCCCACTATAATTAGAGATCTTAGTTTTGTCAATGTGTTCTTTAGTTTTTTAAGCTATTAATTGAGGTTCAGATAAATTGAGAATTATTAGATCATTCTGACAGGTTTACCTCTTTATCACTTTGAAATATCTCTCTTTAATAATACATTTTACAGATAAAGCATCCTTTGCTGGATATTAATATAATGACAAATGATGTGTACTTCACCTTAAAATTTTCTGTCTTTACATTTAAAGTTTATGTACTTTCTTT
Source organism: Homo sapiens (assembly GCF_000001405.40). Lineage (NCBI taxonomy): Eukaryota > Metazoa > Chordata > Mammalia > Primates > Hominidae > Homo > Homo sapiens. Next base: position 47,007,161 of record NC_000004.12, on the reverse strand, counting down.
TCTTTTTCTTTTTTTTTTTATCCAAACAGGGTCTCGCTCTGTCACTCAGACTGGAGTGCAGTGGCACGATCATGGCTCCCTACAGCCTCGGCCTCCTAGGCTCAAGCAATCCTCGGACCCCAGCCTCCTAAGTAGGTGGGACAACAAGTACATGCTACCATGCCTGGCTAATTTTTTGTAGGCTTTGCCATGTTGCCCAGGCTGGTCTCAAACTCCTGAGCTCTAGCGATCCACCTGCCTCAGCCTCCCAAAGTGCTGGAATCCCAGGCTTGAGCCACCATCCCCAGCCTAAAGTTTATCTCTTTTAAGTAAACTTGAGATTGGTTTTGTTATTCAGTGTGGCAATCTTTATCTTTAATTGCAGCATTTACTTTTATATATAATGCAATTATTTAAATATTTGTCTATTTGTCTCACTTAATCTCACTTGTTCCTGTTAGAGTTCACATATAGCAAAACTTTGTGTTACAAGAAAAGCCAAATATGTTGAAAATAACATGTTAGTTACAGAACCTTATGCTAAACCTAGATATAATGATTTTTTATTCTTGGACTCTATAATTCCCCACTTGATAAACAGTATTTTTATAGCTACACATCTTATCAAAATTCAAGTCACTATAATAAAATGCAAGTGAAGCAATTTGATTTTGGAATAATTTTGTATTCATGTTATAAGACATATTATAGATGCAATAGATGTACCTGACCTATAAAAGAAAATAGTTCCATCTTATGATCATTATAGGAAAGTTTTGAAAACATTTTTAATTTTTTGGTACTGCAAATTCTGTGGGAATATGCACTCTGTATTATATGTATTATATATGTATAGTATTATTTTATTACAATAAATATCTTTCCCAAGAGCCCAACTGTTTCAGCATAACATAATGAAGGGTCTGTCTGTGAAAGATTGGTAGACTTATGAAATTTTTGAAAGATGAACCCAATCTAAAATCAAAATCTGTGGTCATAATTCAATATATCAGGGACAGAGAAAAACACATTTTTCGTTATAATTCTGTCGGAAATGATCTAATGGAAGGGATTCCATTGTCAAAGAATGTCAAAATGAGTCAGAAAAATAGTGTCTGATTTTTACCAAGCAAAATAAAACAAAAGAAATTATTGCTTCTTTATTAGAAGATGTGAAAAAAAAAAGAATAACAAAAGCCTCCTCAAATCAGATACTTCCAAGTTTTTAAGTAAATAAAAAAATAAGTACAGGAAGAAATGAAAGAAGGGAGGAAAGAAGACATTTGTATTCATAAGACAAAGATTAAAATCCTGAAAGTTTGGCTGCAAATAAGCCAGAGTAGAGGACAAATTAAATGAAGGCACAGTTTTGCTAAGCCCCATATGTTACAAGTTGACTCTTTCAGAGTTAGGTAAAGAAATTGGGTAGCCATTGCAGAAGCACTGGTTCCTAATTTTAGAGAAGTTGCAGAGGGAGACGTAAAGTTCTCTGTGATTGACAAAAGGACATTTTTAGTCCTTGGATCTTCAGGAGGCTTAAAAAAAGCTGACTATAAGTTAAGAGAGACTGCCGATGGTTTTTACCTTATGACTGAAATGTTTGCATTGCTTTACTACTTTCTCTTTTAGCATCAAATGGATCCTTATCAGATACTGTGCTCAAACCACAGGTTTGCTGCATTTTCAGCATACACTGACATTTAAAATCTCACTGGATGGTCACTTCCTCACCAAGAACAGTTTTTGTTTGTTTGTTTGTTTGTTTGAGACGGAGTCCCACTCTGTCGCCCATGCTGGAGTGCGATGGCTGGATCTCAGCTCACTGCAAGCTCCGCCTCTCGGGTTCACGCCATTCTCCTGCCTCAGCCTCCCGAGTAGCTGGGACTACAGGCGCCCGCCACCATGCCTGGCTAATTTTTTGTATTTTTAGTAGAGACGGGGTTTCACCGTGTTAGCCAGGATGGTCTCGATTTCCTGACCTCGTGATCCACCCGCCTCGGCCTCCCAAAGTGCTGGGATTATAGGCGTGAGCCACTGCGCCTGGCCCTACGGAGAACCATTTTTAAAAATCACTTCAGGAAAGTTTCTGCATCTGGGACATTAACCCTAGGAGTCACAAAGCCAGGTGTGTCTGGCCTCCCCCTAGGCCCACTCTTGGCTTTGGCTCTCTCTCCATCTAGGTGATTGCATCTGCCTGCTCCTTAGCCTCTCAGAATTCACTGTTTCTATATATGCCTTAGCAACAGTTACAAATCACTGCATGCCATTGACCTTCGAGGAAACACAAAACTATTGAAACTATAAGTATTAAACTTCAAATAGCAAACATATTGTTTTTCCTAGAAGTATAATTTTTAAAGGTGGAAAAACTAGATGATACGAAATCAAATACACATTGACAGAATAAAACCAATTCTGGATTATAAACTACGTATCTTAACAGATTCGAAGAGACTGTGTCATCTGTTTTTTGTTTGTTTGCTTGTCTGTTTGTTTTTTAAATCAAGTGTCTGGCCGCACCAATAGTTGGAATAGGCAGTCAAAAAGCAAGGTGTGTTTTGAGCATCTCAAACTCTTCCCATTCAACCCTAAAGTATATCCTTTAATAGTCAAAGACATTGGAAATTAAACCAGGGAACCTATTCTTTTTTTTTAAAGTATTAATATTATGCATTGCATGCCTGTATTAAAATATCTCATGTCTCCCATAAACAAATACACCTACCATGTACCCATAAAAACTAAAAATAAAAGGTATTAATAATGATGCTCTATTGCTCATCATGCCTATAATCTTGACATAAGTGTCTCGTCATTTTCTTAGAATCAATGCCTAGAATTGTAACCACTGGGAAAAATTAAAGAACTTTAAGAAAGTTTTAAATATATTATTGTAGGTCAGGCACGGTGGCTCACACCTGTAATCTCAGCACTTTGAAAGGCCGAGGCAGGCAGATCACAAGGTAAGGAGATCGAGACCAACCTGGCCAACATGGTGAAACCCCGTCTCTACTAAAACACAAAAAGTTAGACAGGCTTGGTGGGACGCGCCTGTAGTCCCAGCTACTCGGGAGGCTGAGGCAGGGGAACCGCTTGAACCCAGGAGGTGGCGGTTGCATGAGCCGAGATGGCACCACTGCACTCCAGCCTGGGGACAGAGCAATACTCCATCTAAAACAAAAACAAAACAAACAAAAAAAACAAAAGAACGTTTTAAATATATTATTGTAATGCCGCATAACATAATTAATGATTTCCTAACTTGCCTGTAAATATGTGTGGGCTGACATTGATCAATAGGATTGAATTCCTGAAAGGACATTGCATTTTAGGTTCAAAGCCCAATTTCCTAGACCTAAGGTTCCTCTTAAGGGAAGTCAGAGATTAAATCAGCAGAATAAACGCCTCACTGGAGGAAGAGTCAGAAGACTGGGATTCCAATCCTGATTCTGGTAGTTAGCAATTACAGAAACTTAGGAAAATCATGTCGTCTCTCTGAGCCTCATTCCCATACTTAAAAGAATGTAGCAGAACTAGATGATTTCTCTGGTTCTGTTTTAGCTCTGCAATTCTGTCATGGAAGTGGGAAACTTGAATGTCAATATGGACATTTACTTTCTCCAAAACCTAAATTTGTCCCTTGTCTCAGTGTCTGTCAAGTCTGAAATGTGAGAGGTTTCTTTTGGTTTAAAATATTGTTATTTATTTCCTAAATAACAATGAACTTCCTCCTGGATTCATTCCTTACATAAGCATATTAAATGCTTAGGACTTGGGTCTTACAAAAATAAATAAAACATCATCCCCATCCTCGAGAAACTCAGTCAGTCATGAAAAGAAACCATTAGGCAAACGGTCCACAGAATTACAACAGTCTGTAGAGACAGATAACAAAACCCTTACCTGGGAGGAGGTGGATTTCACAAGTGAGCTGCACTTAATCTAAATTTTAAAGATATGTAAGTGTTTTCCAGGTAGATAAAATAGAAAAGGGTACTTCTGAGGCAAGTGACATGTGAAGATACATGGAGGACTGAAAGCTTTAGTAGATTCAGACAATTTGCTACATAGAATTTATCACTAAAAGAACAAAGTTTTTTTTTATTATAAAGCAAATAGGAGTGATTTGGGAGTCTTATGCTATCCATAAATCAAACATTCAACTTTTGCTCACTCTAAACTGTTTCCAATAAATAACTTTTTGTGGTATACTTTTCTATGGCAAAGTCCCAAATCCTTCTCTGATATTTATCTTCATGCATTTTCAATATTAATCAATACCATTGAGGTTCTCCTTCTATTCTTATGACATTCACTCCCTTTAACTCTCTCTTAAAATTATGGTTAATGCCACTCCATGCAGTAGCCACCAGATGGTAATGAAGAGCAGTCTGGCTTCATAGTCTTTTGAGGACCAAATATTTCACCACTGTATCATGTTCAGGATTCACAGATTTGTTTGGAAAGTGAAAGTTTAATTCCAAACACTGTGTTGGTTTGATGGCAGGCTAGTATATATCTATGATACTTTAATCATTTAGTTTGCGTGTGTCTGATTTGTGTTATAGGTTCTGTATTGGGGACTTAAAGATACAGAAAAAAAAACACATACATTTCTGCTATTGTGCTTTACTTTAAAGGTGGTTCTTATTTAAACATTTGAAAGACTAAAATATTTGTGTCTAGAATGATTAGTGAAAATACCTGCATTCTTTAGGTTTAATTTGTGTTTTCTTCTGGTTATAAATATATTTAAAAGAGGAATTCCTTCATATCACCAGTAAAAAAAATGATTAAAATATCCAATGCAAATATATATAATAAAATTGCATAAAATACACAACACATTCTGCATCTTTGTTTCTTTGGCTTATTAACTTGCCAAATATGCTCACTCACTACTTTTTTACCCAAAGCTTGTAAAGTAAATGTTGATATTTTCGCAAAGGCTTAGGCCTATGTTTTTAAAAAGAGTTTTAAAATGTGTTTTACATTGTATGGTATATAATGTTTTCTTTCTAGTATTTTGTTGTCTCCAAAATCTCTATAGTGAGAATGCATTGTTTGACTGAAAAGTCAAAAGAACAAAATTCAAATATAATGATTAATTTAGAATCTAAGTAATAGTTCATGAAAGTTTAACATTTATAATGGTTCACATATCATGAGTTACTGTGTCGTAAAAAACTGCCTATCCTAAGACTAATAAAAACAATAAGTTGTTGTAAGATAAAGTTCAGAGTTCTGTAACAATTTCATATCACTTTTTGGAACAATTTAATGGCATTTGAAAGGTGAGAAAAATTTTAACATTGAATTGACACACAAAATTTTACTAGAACCCAAAACATTTAATAAACATTTAATTTTATATCCCCGTACAACTGTATTAGTTAGGATTTTCTAGAGAAATTGAACCGATAGAGTATAGATTATTCTATCTGTAGAAATTTTAAGGAATTGACTCACACAATTACAGGGGTTGGTAAACCCAAAATCTGCAGGGAAGTCTGGCAGACTGGAGACCCAGGGAATATCTAATGTTGCAGATCAAATCTGAAGTCCATCTGCTGGCAGAATTCCCTCTTCTGGGAGGTCAGTCTTTGCCTATTAAGGCCTTCAACAGATTGGATGAGGCTCGCCCAAATTATGGAGGGTAATCTGTTTTACTCAAAGTCTATTGATTAAAATCTTTATTTCATCCAAGAAATACATTCACAGAAATATTGAAAATAATATCTGGCCGGGCATGGTGGCTCACACCTGTAATTCCAGCACTTTGGGAGGCCAAGGCGGGAGAATCACGAGGTCAGGAGATTCAGACCATCCTGGCTAACACGGTGAAACCACATCTCTACTAAAAATACAAAAAATTAGCTGGGCGTGGTGGGGGGCGCCTGTAGTCCCAGCTACTCGGGAGGCTGAGGCAGGAGAATGGCGTGAACCCGGGAGGCGGAGCTTGCAGTGAGCCCAGATCGCGCCACTGTACTCCAGCCTGGGCGACAGAGCGAGACTCCATCTCAAAAAATAAAAAATAAACATAAAAAACTAAAATTAAATTAAAATAATATCTTACCAAACATCTGGGTACTGTGATCCAGGCAAATTAACACAAAGTTAACCATCACACCATTCTTATAAAATGCTATTCAATTTGTTCTATGAAATATTTCAGGCATATGAAAAATATATATAACAGCTAGTCTTCAAAGATGGCCATCAAATGAATCATATCTCTCAGTATTTACATCTTTGTTATCCCCTCTGCATGAATCTGGTTTGACCCTGTTACCTGCTCTGACCAATAGGATAATGCTCTGTGACTTTCAAGGTTTGGTCATAAGAAGTCTTCAGCTTCAGTCTAACTTGAAATGCTTACTTTGGGAAAACCAGCCGGCATATAAAAAGTCTTACTACCCCAAGATCATCATGTTATGTGGAAATCCAAGCTGGCTAAGTAAGTAAGATGGGGGAGGTGGGGGAAGAGAGATCTCCAGCCAATTCCCCCTGTCTATCTGAAGCACCAGTCATGTGAAGCAATAAGCTATCTTCAATGCCCAGCTCAGTCAAACCTTCAAATTATGCCAGCCCCAGCCACTATCTAACTGCAATGGGATGAAGGACCTCCAGGGAAAACCACCATATGAGCCTAGTCAAACTATGTGCACTGTGAAAGAGTATCATAAATTGTTTTAAGCTAGAAAGTTTTATAGTGCTTTGCTCCACAAAAGAAGATGAATATAAAAAAAGTAACATAGTGAACACCTAAGTCCTGACCACCAGATTTAGCAAAACTTAACATTTTGCAATATTTGCTTGAGGTATTTTTAATGAGATAAAGCTTACATAAACAGTTGAAATAGTCAATGTTTCCCTTATTTCATTCCTCTTTCTGCCACAGATACCCATTATCTTGAATTTGTTATTAATTTTTTCATGCAAATTTGTTCATATGGCTACATACATACCTACAACATGCATAATGGTTTTTTTAAGTTTTAAATTTTATATGAGTATTTGGCTGAAGGTATTATCATTATTGAGAGAAAGTGGTTTGCTCCCTGATGCACTAGAAGCCAATAGTATGTCACTGAGTTTTTGATAAAAGAGAAGTTTTTATTGCAATTTGACTAACAAGGTGACATGAGTCCAGCTCAAATCTGTCTCCCTGTACTGGCTTTAAGGTAGTAATTTTATTAGAAAAAGTTTAGGGGGTGGATTCTGGAATTAGCAGGAGATTGGTGGAAGGAAAGAGGAGGTCTGGAAAGTCCTTGGGCATGCACAGTTATCTCTTCATGCCTCCTCATGGGTCCCATGTGCAAATTTGGGAGGAGTTAGTATGAAACATGCAGTGAATATTCAGGCTGTGATGTCAGCATGTCTGTTCTCTGCAAAGTCTATTTCAACAGTCATATTGGCATTAATCCATTTTAGCTAGTTTTGTTATCTTATAAGCAGAAGGAGTTTTAGCACTGTTTCTTTTTTTATTTGTTATCTTGTAAACTAAACAATTTCTGTCAGTCACTGGTCTCTTCAGCTCTTTGGAGAATGATTTCTTTGTTTTGCCTCTTGCTTCTTTTGTATACATTTACTCCTGATATATTTATATTGAAACATATATCTTATTTCCTTATTTTAATTGTTGTCTAGTTCTCTCTTTACACCACAATGTAATGTATCCACTTCCCTGTTAAATGACATTTAATTTGTTTCTAAGTTTCCACTATTACAAACAACGTAACATATTTTAGATGTCTCCTCATGAACATGTTTGAGAGTTTCTTGGAGCTATAAAATTTAAATTAGATGGTTTGGTCATATGGTATGAATATGTTAAACTTAAATATATTGGCAAACTGCTTTCCAAAGTGGTTCTATTAGTCCCTTATCAGTCTTGAAACAAGACATGACATTATATTCATCATAAAATAGGCACTTGGCAACAAATTTAACAATGTTTAAATGGCCATCAAATGAATCATACCTCCAGTATTTACATCTTTGTGTATCCCCTCTAAATAAACTATATGGGTTAATTTGGGGCACTATCGGTAATGCATAAATTATCCTTGCAAACCATTACTATTAGGTGCTGAAAATAAATGTGTTTCTTAACAATAGTATCATCTTTTTCAGAAACTAAAAATTCGCACATACCATACATATACACTAACATAATTAAAGGAATGTTTCTTGTAGTAATTAGTACAGAGTACTAATTACACACGATCACACACACCATCTCACACACACAATCACTGCTCTTTGGAGTAGCACTTCTAAACTTATTCTGAGAGCTTATTTCAGAATTCAAGTCTGATGAATAAAATAATGCTTCACACATTATTAGGCATTTTCAATTGAGCCTAAAAGTAGTTATTAAATGTATTACTTGGATTGTATCCCCTTAAATTGTATTCTTTCCACTTTTTTTTTTTTTTTTTTTTTTTAGACAGAGTCTTGCTCAGTGGCCCAGGCTGCAGTGCAGTGGCACAATCTCAGCTCACTGCAAGCTCCGCCTCCCGGGTTCACTCCATTCTCCTGCCTCAGCCTCCCGAGTAGCTGGGACTACAGGCTCCTGCCACCACGCCTGGCTAATTTTTTTGTATTTTTAGTAGAGACGGGGTTTCGGCATGTTAGCCAGGGTGGTCTCCATCTCCTGACCTTCGTGATCCACCCACCTCGGCCTCCCAAAGTGCTGGGATTACACACGTGAGCTACCATGCCTGGCTGGCCTCCACCTATTTTAAAACTTCAGACTTTCAAACAAAACAAAAGCTAATATTGAATAACTAATATTTCTGAATGTAATTCAAATTAATGTGAGATCTTGGAGACTATTAAATATTGATACATTGTCTTAATGTCCAACTTGATCTCAGAAAATTATAAAAAAATAATTAATAATCTAAAATACATACTATAATAGGTGACTTTCCAAATTTCATGTGTAAAGTTTATTCAGATAATAGTATTGTCACAATTTTGTTTTTTTCAAATAATTGCACTGAAATATCTAAATCTGCATTAACTATATGGCAAAAAATTCTTATTTTGACAGCAGTATTAACTGGTATTATGAAATGTTTACTCAAATACAATATGTTAAATTCCCCCAGATTAGGAAACCCTTGTACACTGTTGGTGGGAATGTAAGCTGGTACAGCTATTGTGGAAACGATATGGAGGTTCCTCAAAAAACTAAACATAGCACCATCAGATGACCTAGCAATCCCTCTTCTGAACATACACCCAAAGGAAATAAAATCAGCATCTTGTAGAGATATCTGAGCTCTAATGTTTATTGCAGCATTATTCATAATAGTCAAGATATGGATACAACCTATGTGTGTCCATCAGTGGATGAATGAATAAAGAAACTGTTATATGTATATGTGTATATGTGTATGTGTGCATATATATGTGTGTGTATATATATACGTGTGTGCATACATATATATACACACACATCTATATGTACAGCTTTGTAAAAGAAGGGATACTGCCATTTGCAACAACATGGATGAACCTGGAGGACATATAGTAAGTGAAATAGACCAGACACAGATAGCACAGAAAAATAAATATGAAATGATCTCACTTATTTGTGGAATCTATAAATAGTCAAGTACATAGAAACTGAGAGTAGAATGGTAGTTACCAAAGGAGGGATGGTAGGGGGGAATTTAGGAGATACAGCTTGAAGCGTACGAAGTTATAGTTATGTATAAGAAAGTTATTATTATTATATATTATATAATAATATGTTATGTATAATAAGATCTAATGTACAACATGAGGCCACAGTTAATAATATTTCATTGCACACTGAACAGTAATTTGCTAAGAGAGTAGATTTTAGGTACTCGATCCTCACACACAAAAAGGTAACTATGTAAGGTGGTGGATATGTTAATTTGACTGTAAAAGTCATTTTGCTATATATTTATATCAAAACATCTTGTTGTATACCTCAAATACATACAATAAGAAATGAGTGAAGATAAAAAGTCTATAACTAGACAATGATAGTAGGCTGGTATACAGGTAATATTTCAGTGGAAACACTGTTTTAATACAAATGAGAAAAGGCATTAACTAAGAGACTATTAAATCAATTCTTCCCACCTATGCAAAATACGAGGGACAGAGAAATACATTAACATAAAATTGTCAATAGCTTCTAAATTCTTGGAACAGGAGCATTTCAAACTGGGCCTATATCTACAAGCCTTCAGAATTTAAAGCAGTAATTCACATCAGTACCCTCCTCAAATGGTTACAATTGGTTCAATTTTTACCAGAAAGAATTAATGAAAGAAAAGAGGAACAGGTTGAATCCTTTCAGATTATTTAATTTATTACCACTCAAATATTTTGCATACCAAGCTCTTTGGACATATGATAAATTGACAATAGATGGGACCAAGTACCTGCAAGAGACTTACAATCTACATGACAGTCTATAGAAACTGGCAATGGGGAAGCTTATAAAATGGGATAGAGATTTTTATCACACATTAACTACAAATATTCATTCGCCTGTTTGGTCAAATGTTCTAATATTTGAGTTATCTTTTATATTAAAATGTTGGTCCATACTACAGTTGTCCATGGCCTATAAGAACTTGATGAGAGATAAAGTCTCACAGGAAAATGCACATACTTACATAAACACAAGATTTTGTGTTCATTTCCAGGGCATTTCATAGGCACTGTGGGCTTTAAAGTGTCCATCCTAAGACGTTAGCAGTTGGGTTATCTGTATTATTTGCATCTTATTATATCCAAAGTAAACTCATTTGTTAAATTTATAAAATGTGACTGGCTTAATATAATGATATTTGGGGATAGTGTACTTGGGCCCAATTCAAATTCTGCTAAACCTAGTAATCAGAGGCTTATATCAACTTAAAGAAAAAAAGAGGTATAGGTATGATTTTAACACCTTCCTATTTCTGCACAGCTACACAGACAATAATAATAATTCACTGACAATCCTGGGCTATCACAAATAGGAGTTTACATGGGAAACAATAGCATATTTATATTCATAAGTTAAAGTAAATTATAACTTTTCAGAATGTTAGATTTCTAAAAAAAAAAAAAAAACCTCAAGTTAGCAGGCAATATTTTTTTAAAGATTTCAGGCAGTGAAATTCAACATATATCTTCTTGAAGTAATACAAAAGTGGCATAAATAAAAGACTGTGAAATAAAATGAGAAGAGATATAAATGCCTTTAGTATTATCTTCAGCTGAACTTAAATACTATAACCCAATTAACAAAAATATAACTGGAAGTAGCTACTCTGAAAGAATGTTCTTTTAATTTGAATATAATAGTTTCACAGATTTTAAGTTTGAATTTTAAAGATACGATATGTAACTGTTTCCCCAAAGCCATTATTTTGGTTTCTTAATTTTTTGATATGTGTATTTTTAAAATGAAAATTGCAAGGGAAAGTGGTTTAGAAAATACAAATTTAGGTTTTAGAAAGTATAGGAAAAGGCTTACAAATGTAAGGCGGTGGCTTACATCTGTCATACCAGCACTTTGGGAGACAGAGGCAGGAGGATCACTTGAGACCAGGAGTTTGAGGGTAGCCTGGTGACATCGCAGAGCCCCCACATCTCTACAAAAATATAAAAATATATTAACAGAGCATGGTGACACATACCTGTACTTCCAACTACTTAGAAGGCTGAGGTAGAAGGATTGCTTGAGCCCAAAAGGTAGAGGCTGCAGTCACTATGATGGTACCACTGCTCTCCAGCCTGGGCAACAGAGCTAAATTCTCTTTTTAAAAAGGTAGGAAAGTATTAAGATTAGAGAAATAATATAATATGTGGAGAATCTGTGGTGACTAATGCTTTCATGGCATATTTGGAGGATACACTAGTTCTTCCGCTATTTTTCCCAAACGAGAGAGCTTGATAGTCATCCACATTTATAAGATGGATCTGAGAACAAGCAATTCATTGCTTTGTTTAATTGTTCATTCAATAAATATTTATTGACATTCTATGTGCCATGCACTGTAACAGCAGATAAAATAAACACAGATGAGCAAAAATTACCTAGCCCAGGCCCTCAGAGAGACCACAGTCTATGAGAAAAGAATGATAGAGATGGGATTAGGATGAAGTTAACAAATTCCATGAAGAAAGCAGTACAGAATACAGAGCACGGAGCTCTAGCTACTGCCCACGATGAGCACTTTGGGCTTTCCCTTAGAAAGAAAACTTGAATCCAGACGTTTAAAACACACAAAAAAACCAAAACCCCTGTCTAATACAATGCGTTCCCTCTTCATACCCGTCCACTAGTCATCTCAATTTGAACAAATCATCAGAGTTCCGACTAGAACCTAATTGGTGTTTGGTTCCAAGGTATGGGAATTACTTAGCTCATTGATCCATCATATGAAAATTTCCACATGCATCATTACTAATTTGAAAGACGCTTTTCCCCCTTGGAGCCAATAATTAATGTTTCCAAAGATCTATTGGGAATGCTTATCTTTGCTCAGTAAAACAGTAAAGATATGGAGCTTAGTGTTCCCTTTCATGTCACAAGGGAACTAATATTTGTCCCCCTCCATTTTAATTTATGTATCCTTTCTCTCCATACCCCACCTTCTGCCTCTCTCTCTCTCTCTCTCTCTGTCTCTCTCTGTCTCTCTCTCTCTCTCTCTCACACACACACACACACACACATTTTCTCTTTCCCCCCCCACTCTCTCTCCAGCCGTCCTTTCCCCCTACCTAAAGCAGTCAACCTCTGGAAGTAAGTCAACTCCATTCTGAAAAAGAAGAGTGTCGCAAGAAGTGAAAGTGATTTTGACCAGAGGTCGCTTGTCTCCACCTCTCCCCTCCTCTCCAGAAAAGGATGGAGCAGCAAAGCGGAGGGTGTGCGCGTGTCTGGTGGAGGCGGGTAAAGAAATGGGGTGTCTTTAAAGCAATAGCTTAGCAAATACTGGGACTAGAGTGCGGCTCGAGTCCACTTCCCAATAGTTTGGCGAGAGTCCGCCGGGTGAGCTGCAACCCCTGTTACCAGGAAGAATCTTTCTGCTTTCATTGCTCTCCCTACCGCCCCCCATAACACCTGAATGGGAGGGTCTCAAAGGTGGTTTGAGCCCGGACTTGATCCCCTCTCCTCACCACCGCTACCACCCGACGCCCAGCAGTCCCCGTCACCCGCCCTTTCTCCACCTCCAACCTTGACTCTGGGTACAAACAGGTCCTCGCACAACCTGATGACAGAGGAGCTTCATTGGTTAGATCCAAATCCCAGCGGAAGGGAGGGGGCCAGGAGGTAGGAGGACGAACACTGCTGTGGGCGGGGAGCCCACTTGGGGTCGGGGGCTGCGAAGCCGGAGGAGGGGCGAGAGACCCCGTTCCTCATCCCCGGAGTTACAGTCGGAACAAACTTGCCGAGTCTTGCAGCGCAAGCGCGCGGATACGAACCCCAGAACCTTCAGCGCGCGGGCACGAAAGGGTGTGGAGCGGTATACATAGCTCTACATACACATTGAGCGCTGAGCGAGAAAGGAGGGGGCGAGGAAGGCAGGTTCCGCCTCCCCTGGCCCCGTGCACACACACGCCCACCGCGGCTCGGGCTGGCTGAGCGCGGGCGAGTGTGAGCGCGAGTGTGCGCACGCCGCGGGAGCCTCTCTGCCCTCTCCTCGCACCCTGCTCAGGGCATCTGAAGAGCCTGGAAACGTGAACAGGCTTGAAGTATGGCATGTTGCAAAGATGGTTTCTGCCAAGAAGGTACCCGCGATCGCTCTGTCCGCCGGGGTCAGTTTCGCCCTCCTGCGCTTCCTGTGCCTGGCGGTTTGGTGAGTTCTCTGGGGTGCGAGGAGGTGGGCAACGGAAAGTGGAGAAATGGCTAGCTCCGGGACCCCTTTGGCCACTCGCTCCTCCCTGGGTGGACTAGGTCTTCTTATCTCAGCTGTAAGAGCAGGGGCCGAAGCCAGGCTTTTCTGTGACCGCATAGATGCGGAGAGCACCAAGGGCGCAGGATCCAAGAGGCGTGTGGGCACTGGGGGTCTTGCGGCGGGGCGCGCTTTTCCTGACCATTTCTGTCTTCTGCATCCCAACCCCCAACCTCCTCTCCTTTAGCTTGGGGCAAGCGACTCTTTCCCTAGAAAACAAACCTGTTTGCACCTGTTCTCTGATGGATTCTTAAAATAATCTCCTCCGCCCCCGGTTTTTTTTTTTTCGCTTGCAGTTTAAACGAATCCCCAGGACAGAACCAAAAGGAGGAGAAATTGTGCACAGAAAATTTCACCCGCATCCTGGACAGTTTGCTCGATGGTTATGACAACAGGCTGCGTCCTGGATTTGGGGGTATGAACGATTTCAAACGCGCAAGTGTGTCCTGTCTGTCCCTCTCTTGGTCTTCCTGTCTGTCTGTCTGTGGGAATATCATTAGGTATGCCTCACGTGCAAAAATAAATCTCTCTCTCTTTCTATCTCTCCTCTCTTGGTGAGACCTATGACAAGAAGACCGCCTCCACCCGTACTTTCCCATCTCCCTGCCCCCTCAGAAGCTTTGCCTCTCCCCCACACTAATTACCTCCCGGGACCTGACTGCTGGGTGGGGGAGGTTGGAGAGGAAGAGTCAAAAATGGGAACTCTGGGCTCAGCTGCCTGGACGCTCTTCGCTGAGAATAGTTTCCCTGAACCTGGCCACTTCGCTCAGAGCAGGTTGCATTGGAGGCAGCTGAACCGAAGTCCCTCATCCTCCCACGTGTCCATGCCTATGCCAAAACCTTGGCCAATGTTCTACCTGGGACATAAATCTGGGGCATGAAGCTGCCTGCTCTGCTAGAGAACCCAGTCCTTTCCTTTTCTCTTCTACAGCAGGATGCTTTTCTTTTTTCCCTTTCTTTTTTGGTGATGTGTCATTTGCTTTCCTCCTAAGACTTTAAAGTTAGAGATGTTCCAGCTTGCTTTCTTCAACAAAATAAGTATAAAGGACTTAATAGAGGTACATCCATTAACAGCACTGTTGCTGTTTTTCATATTCATATTTCCTTTGCATATATAATGGAAATCTATGTGGCAAGCTTTGCGCTAGGTACTAGGTCCACAGAAATATTAAGATACAATTCTTAACCTCAAACAGCTTCTCAGTCCAGTTCAACGAGGACAAATGACTTGCTAGGGTCCCATTCATAGGTTTGGCCCAGGTCCTTTGATCTCAAAGTCCCTGTTTTTTACAGTACACTGCACTAATTACCCTTCAGCAACTGAGTTGAACAGGATAGAGATTCTGCCTTAAAGGAGCTTACATTCAAGTGGTAACAATAATAACAGCCAGTAATATTGTATTTATTTAATTAAATGTTCACATATACCAGGCATTTTGTAGGCATCACCACTCTGTTTAACCCTCACAACAAAGCTTTGAAAGCCATTACCATCCCCACTTTACAGATAAGGAAATTGAGTCCAAGTTCCAAGTTAGTAAGTAGGAGGAGAAGGATGTAAACCCAGAGCAGGCTGTGTATTTAAAAGACAAAGCCGTGCAGATGGGGATGGTATCAGATGCTGTGTGATGAGTATCATCTAATATTAGAAGCATGGAGCAACTTTATACCTCCTATTGAGGGTGTGTAGGAGATGACATGTTGGGAGAATGGAGAAAGTAAGAATGGGGAGCAGGACTGCCTGTGATGTGAAGTAGGAGTATGGCCTGGGGCTAGAAACTCTTTCTAGCCTTCACTTGAAATGTCAAGTTTAAAACCTTTATGGGCAGATAAAGTAGAGTTGGGTGTTTCTTTGGCATCTGGTCTCATTTAACAGATGGGGACACTGAGGTTTAGAAAGGGAAAGTGATGTATATAAGGGCACATAGTACATCAATGATAGGATGAGATCAGGTCTTCTGAATTCCAAACCATTATTTTCTTGGATTTTATGAGAAGGTTATGGGAAGTCATTGAGGGTATTGATTCAGCATTTGTATATTTCTTTTTTTTTCTTTGAGATGGAGTCTCGCTCTGTCACTCAGGCTGGAGTGCAATGGCGTGATCTCGGCTCACTGCAACCCCTGGCTCCCAGGTTCAAGTGATTCTCCTGCCTCAGCCCCCAGAGTAGCTGGGATTACAGGTGCAAGCCACCACACCTGGCTAATTTTTTTAAATATATTTTTTGGTAGAGATGGGGTTTCACCATGTTGGCCAGGCTGGTCTCGAACTCCTGACCTCAAGTGATCCACCCTTCTTGGCCTCCCAAAGTGCTGGGATTATAGGCGTGAGCCGCGCCGGGCCAGCATTTGTATATTGACTGATAAGGATAGATGAGAAGGATGAAACTTTCTCCTGCTTCTTTTCATGTTGCCTCTCCAGGGATAGGTTGCCTACACTGCATTTGCCTTCATGCAAATCTGAAAAGGGGTGAATCATTTGTCAATGCATGATCTTCCATTTTAGATCAAAAATAGTGTTGTGGAGAATCGTTCAGATGATGTGATACCATTTAAGGCAATATTATATCAATAAAAGAGGATTTATCTGCCCATAAATGTTTTAAACTTGACATTTCAAGTGAAGAAAAAAAATAAGAAAAGTATCCAGTCCTATGTAGTTTAAATATTCATCAGAAAATTGATATACCAAAACATAAATCAAAGTGAAAAGTTAGAACTGAAACTATATTGTTTGATTATAAATGTTGAAAGTTAAAATAAGATGTGCCCAGCTGGCTATAATGCAAGCTGTAATTCAAAAGGAAGAAGGGATCCATTGTATATGGATCCTTTTTACCATCTACTCTCTCCCATTGCATAATATTGACAATAACATAAGTGAAAACAATATATGTGAGCCATTACTGGGTTTTGGTTAATCGTAATTCTATTAAACGTCTCAAGGACATTATTAGTCATCTAATTTGTCACTGCCAAATGATCTGCATTACCCACCTGAAAACATTTTTATAGTTTTATGGGAAAGGGTCGAATTAACATTACTCCCAGCATTACCAATTGATTAACCATTTAAACATTTACTAAATAGCATAATATGGGTTTTGTTTGTTTGTTTGTTTGTTTCTTGGCTTTGCTGATAAATGTTTGTGGTAAATGTGATTCACTTTTTAGAAGTGGGTCATTCTCTGTAAATGTGTAGTATTCCAAATGTGACAGAGAAATAGTGATTCTCACCTGCAGAAAATGTGTTTTCTGTTTATATGAAGTTGTAAATGTGTACCACTGAAAACAATGAGAAACTTCATCATTAGCACAGACTCTTAGATACCACAAATCAGATGCCTTCTATAGTATTGGATACTCTGTGGAAAGTTTGGTATTTTAAAAATAAAATGAAAACAATCCAGATTTTGACTAGTAGGCTATAAATATGGATTTACTTCCTGGTTCCTATAATCCTGCTTCTGCTCTTCGTGGGGCATTTACTTTATATCTGTTTATACAACTTTGCTGTGTTCCATTTCAAACAAAGCTAAAAGCAAAGATTTGAATTGAAATTGGATGGTTTGTGATTGCTCAGTAGGCCAGGCAGGGGTTGAAATAGATTTGGAAACTAAATTACATATTTTTAACTCAGCAGCACAGCTTGCGATAGGGAAATAAAAGGAACTGAAATGGTTTCCTTTTTTTACATCCCTCCAGGATCTCCTCTCCCTTGTCTCCTACATTCTCCCATTGGAGAAGAAAAGGGGAAAAGGCGAGAAGAGAGGGAAGGAGTCATGGTGACAGAAGCTGGTTTCCGACTTCTGAGAGGATGTAGTCCTCTCAACCTCTAATAAATCAGTTGCTATCATCCTGAAGTAGCTTGCACCTGTCTAGACATAGCACACAAGTGAAGCCTTCCACAAAGGAGCCAGAAAATAATCCCCTAGCTCTCGTTCACTTTCAACACTGTAACACTGTTACATAATTTCTCAAAAATGCATTGCTAAGGTATTTACTAACTACCAGGAAATGGTTTAGGAAACCTGCCGTCACTCATTTTCCGTTTATTGAAGGGTTGCACAGCCTTTCACGCATCTCAATCTTTTGAGGCATATGATCTAGAATAATAAACGTTCCAAATACAGATCACTGCCTTTGAATCATCTTCCACAACCTCTCTGAAATGGGAATGAAGCATTTGAGTCAATTTTGTAAGGTTATTCACTAACATAGTAGGACTTCACATTAGTGGACTTCGCATTATTTACTAAGATTATTACGACAACACAAAGAGATAAGGCAGACATCATCATTCTGTTAGAAAAGAGGCTGAGAAAATTTCCAATGAATTGACCATCAATTTTATAGCTACTCCTTGGTGAAGTCACAACACACACCCTCATCTTTAAAACCTTAGTCAGGCAGCTGGTTTATTGCTATATCCACTTCCGAGGCACTCTTTCATTGCCCTGTTTATCAAGAGTCAAATTTCCTCAACATACCTTCTTGCTACTAAGTTAAGTAGGACCTTAAAATAAGCAAAACTACATTTCCTCTAAAGAAGTGAGATAAGAACTTTTGTTCTAAAGCTTTAACAACTTTCAAATAGTAAAGAAAACACAGAAAATTGTATGCATTTGGGTTAAGTTGGAATATTTTCCCCACAAAAATCAAATTGTGTTTGCAGTGTTTTCAAATGATCTATGTTTCTCCACTTAAAAGTTAATGTGTCATGTGCTAGCCTTATTAATTAAATGTCAATAGAGAAATACCTTTAAAAATACATAGACAAAAAGAGCACTTCTCAGCAACATAAAGCTTCATTCTCTTCCAATTTGTCCCATTCTTTCATTCATTCATTTGTGAAACCTATCTGTATTGAGAGACCACTGTATGTCAGGAAAAATGTAAGGTTGTGAAGATATCATTCTGATCTGATACGAGCCCTCACAGACTTTATAGCTAAGCATTATAGAGAGATGAATATAACAAAGAAATAATAAAATAATTACATGAAAATGCTATGAGATAATCTAATATCATGCTAAAAGGGAAAAAAAATGGGTGAGGGATCTATTTCAGATTTGGTGTTCCTGGAAGTCTTTTAAGCTAAGACTTAAAGGTGTCAGACATGAAAAGAGTAAGAGAAAAGTAATTCTCAGAGAGAACAAAGCAATTAAGTGCAAAGGTCTGAAGGTAGATAATAGGTTAGTGTGATGTAGATGGTGAGAGGAGTCCAGTGTGCCTGTAGCCAGAATGCAAGAAGAAGAATCTCATGGGATTTGGTTGGGATATTAAATAGAGGCCAGGTCTCATAGGGTCTCTGGGGACCCTGTAAAAGAGCATAACTTATTCTCTTAGTGAACCTGGAAGCAATTGGAGTTTTCTAAATGGAGGGAATGACATGGTTTGAGTTAGAGTGAAAAATGCTCCATCTTGTCTGCATAAAGGAAGACTTAGAAAAGGAAGTAGGGCAATTTGGAAGCAGGGAGACCAATGAAGCTTTTGTTACTTCAGCTTTAGTTCTCTTAAGTTGATGGTTGCTTGGAATAAGGTGGCAGATATAGTAAAGATGGATATATGTAAGTTGATTAAAGTGAGTTTTTGGAGGTTTAATTCAACAAAGAATTGGCGATTGACTTGATATGGATGTTAAAAAAAAAGAGAGAGAAGTAAAAAATGACTTTTCAATTTCTATTTTGAGAAATTGGGCAAGGTTGGT
This sequence comes from Homo sapiens, assembly GCF_000001405.40. Taxonomy (NCBI): domain Eukaryota; kingdom Metazoa; phylum Chordata; class Mammalia; order Primates; family Hominidae; genus Homo; species Homo sapiens. The sequence goes on along the minus strand of NC_000004.12, from coordinate 46,987,533 downwards.
GTTATTTAAAGCTGGGGAGGACTGCACGATTTCCTGCCCTCATAAGTTCACACTGTGGAAGAGATAGAAAATAAGTAACAGAAATAAGTAAAATATAGTGTGTGTGCCAGATGTTGGTTAACAGCTATAGAGTAATGTAAAGCAGGGGAGAGGGTTGCAATTTTAAGTAGAATAATTAGTGGAGACTTCACTAAGAAGGTGCTGTTTGAATACTGGTCGTAATTCAGTAAAAGCATAAACCACATTTGGGATGGAGTCTTCTAATGAATGAGAAGGAATTCTAAGTGCAAACATGTAAAGTGGGGAAGTCAGGGTCCCTGTAGTGAAGTTTAGCAGGGCTGAGGCATAAAAGGGGATCAGTGTGGTAAGAGGACAAGGTTGTGTACAGCTTTGCAGGCTGATTAGGACTGTGCTTTTACTCTGAGTCAGATCAAAAGTGACTGGAAAGATTTTAGCAGGGACAAGTCCTGAACTAATTTTAAAAGGCTCTCCTTGTGTTCAGAACAGGCAGTCAGAGGCAAGGGCAGATGCAGCAAGGTTTTCCATAATAAACCAGGCAAGAAATGATGGATACTTTGACCAAGCTGGTAGCAGAGAAGTTTGTAAATTTATAAGAAATGGTTGGCTTCTGGATATTTTGAAATTAAAGTCAACTGACGACAGCTAGAACGTGGGATGTGAGAGAAAGGGAGGTGTCAAAGCTGATTCCAAAGTTTTTGATTTGAACACCTAGAAAAATGGAGTTGTCAAGACTGTGCCAGAAGTAGACCAGGGGCATAGATGAGCAATTTGTATGCAGGTATGGTACCTTTGGGATGTCTATTGCATATCAGGTGGAGATGAACCTGAAATTCAGGGATCATGAGTATGTCAATATACATGATATTTAAAGCTAGAAATCTAAAAAGATTACAGGGGATTAAGTTTGATAGGGAAGAGGTACAAATATTGAGTTTTGATGTCTCCAATGTTAGGAGGTGGCTCCAGAGAGGAGAGGAGGAATCTTTGTCCCAAGAAGACTTAAAAGGAGTGGTTTGTGAAGTAGCAGGAAAACCAAGGGAGTGTGTATAAAACTAAAGTAAAATATAAGGGGAAAAATAAAGAAAGAAAAAATAAAGAAAGGAGGAGGGGTTGATTTAGTCAAATGCTCCTGACAGATGAAGTAAGATAAGAACTTAAAATTGACCACTGTTTTGACTGTTTTGATGGAGCAGTTTTGGTGGTGTGATGGGTGTGAAAGTCTGATTGAGTGCATTCGAGAGAGAATGGAATAAGATTTTTCTGGGCATTTGTACATGGAAGCAGAGAAATTGCGATGGTAGAAGGAAGGAGGTAGAAAAATGCTAGGAAAAAAATACTTTTAAAGTTGGTGGGAACAATGCTGTATATAAGGAAAAACTCATGGTACTGACAAAAGGAAGTGGACCCTAGGCATGAAAAACAAGTTATTGAGATAGATGATGGAGTGAATAAGAAGAATCAGAGGTACCGTTGATAGATTTTTTTCAGAAGTTCAAATATAATATAGAAGAGAAAGAGAAAAGTTTGCCTTTCTTTTTTCAAGATTAGACCATAACATGTTTTTCTTTCTTTCTTTCTTTTTTCTTCTACTGGGATAATCTAGTACAGGATATTTAACATTAGATTGGTGGGAAGGCATAGCTGAAAGAAATACGTCTTTTAGAAAACAAGAGAAGTTTGAATTCAGAGTGCAACTTTACTATCTTATGTTCTTGGTTTAAAAAAAAAGATATACAATATACTGGTGCTATAATATATTTACATTTTCATTAGGGTTAGGATGTATCCATTGCATTTGGTGTTTCCTGAAATAGACATTGTAAAATCTAGATTATGGGATATTAGAAAATTGGTGGATATTTGGGTAATACTTCACTGAGTTGTTAGATTTCTTTTAGATGAGAAAATACATCTGATTGCATTTGTATATATCATTAAACATCACCGCCTTATACTCTAAGCCTTTCTTATATATTTATTCTATAAGCCACAGTTACACAGAATTGAAACCTGAATTAATAATTCCTGGTATATGACACATTTTCATTATTGGCCCATATGTAGCCTTCTTTTTATACGTCTTTTCATCTATTCAATCATTTATTAAAATATAATAAACATACCAGTTAAACCACCAACCAGCACAAAGTGTAGGACTTGGACAACTCTTATTCTGCTATGTGGTCTCCTCCATCCTATCTTCCTGTCTTCTCCGTCCAAAATAACCATGATTTTAAGTCCTTTTAAAATTATTTCTTAGTTTTCCTTTGAATGTCATTTTAGGTTGACTGTCTTTATTTTAAAAGTTTATTTTAAATATTTAATTGTTTTGAACTTGCTATATATAATCTTTCGATGCTTTTAACTTAATTATATATTGCTAAAAATCATTCTTATTGTTGCATATTGCAATAGATCATTCATTTTGACTGCTGTGTGATATTCCCATTGCATAGAAACCAGCTTATTCATCTGCTCTGTTGGCAGTAGGCTTTTTGCTTGTTTCCAAGATTGTGGTGCTGTGAATATCCTGGCCCAAATTTCCTGCTGTAAATGTGCAAGAGTTTCTTTTGCATATATATCAAGAAATGGATTTTCTGGATCTTAGTGTAAGTGGGAGTTGACAAGATAATGCCAAACTATTTTTCATGATGAGTTTACAAAATCAACTTCCATTTACAGTTTACAATGAACATGACATTCAGGATCCAGATACCCTCTTTAACACAAGATATATATATCTTGAAATGGTATTTCTTAAAATGGCATTTTATTGTGAAATGATTTGAATTTTTCTGATTCTCACTATGTTTTAACGTGGTTGAATATCTTTTCCAATCTTTATTGGCTACGATAATTTTCTTTCCGTGAATTACTTGTTTTTATTGTTTGCCCATATTTTATTTTTATTTTTGTTGTTGTTCATGCTTTTCTTATTTATTTGATGGCTGTAATTATTTACAAAGTAGACCAGGATTGATGGATTATATGACATGGGAGGCACTAATCTTTAATGACTTCTAAATGAAAGAAACTTCCAGAACTTTATAGTGTTTTCTGCTTTCTCAGTGATATCAATGGGTATCTCTTGTCTGTGTTTAGTATTCAGGAAGGCTTGTATTTGTATATTTTGTAAATGACAAGCAAAGAGATTTATTAATGTATTTCAGTTAGGATTCCTTGTTGTATCCCTTCAAGTGTCTTCATTTTTGGAGATATGTAACTAGTATTTTGTAAGATGATGGTGGATGCATGGATAAGGTGGCTGGAAAATTAGAAATGTTTCCTCAAGTGCATGGCTGGGGAGGCAATATGGAAAATGAGGATGGACTAGTTTCAAGATCAGCAAAACACCCTAGGTTTTCTCATGATGTGGCAGCAAATTAGACATCATTATTGGAGATGAAATTTCAAAAATGATTCCACCCTTTAACCATATCTGTACTGCTAAAGTTAAGTAAACTGGGAAATTATCTGATTCATCGTTAATTGCCTTCCCTCTTTCCCAGCAAGTTAGACTCATTAATTAGATGGGAATATTTCCCTGAATTTGATCTTGCTGGTCTTGGCTCTTTCTTTCCCAAAAACTGTTGAATCATCTTGTTTACCTTACAGACTGTCAACCATTAGGTATTAAAAAATATATTCCTACTACCAACAAAGTAGAATTTTAAAATAAAAGATGTCTTTAATGTTGCACAAATGCATATCAAATTATGGGAAGAAATCCTTCCAAGCTCAAAATTATCTGGTTTCCATGTAATTATACTCTGAGTAAGTTTGATTTGAACATCCTAAACTGTCGTATTAGAGGAAGTGTCTCTAAGAATTATTCTTAATTACATAGTGACCATTATTCATTGACAACTGATTTATCAGAAGCCTATTACATTTAAAACCTGTGATTGGTCCTGCCAGAGGATACAAATACAAATAAGACAGTTTCTTAAAATGGGGAATATTTTTAGTTTAACTGCTGTGGAAAGTAATTCTGTTAATTTTTCCTTTTGATGGGTTTTTAAATCACTACTGGGATGATATTAGGAACATGATGAAACACAGTTATTCAACGCCTAATATGTGCAAGGCATTGTGCTAGTTTGGGACTTCAAAAAGGATTAAGATTTTGCCTTTGCTGTTACAGATAGAAAGACCCAAGCAGTATGCTGTAATAAGAATAATAGTAAAGGCATGAAAAGCGCTTTGAGAAAATACTTCAGAAACTAATGAACAAAGCAGGGAATGTAGGTATAGCATGTTATATTCTAGATATGAAATTCCACATTTGCTTAAGTAATTAATAATTTATTATTGGTGATATAATGTAGTATAGTAAAGCTAGCACATGCTTTGGAGATCAATACAAGGGGGTTAGAATTCTGGCTCTGTCATACATTATTTAATCTCTGTGAACTCAGTTTCCAGATCCATAACATTCTCATGAGGATAGCGCCTTTGGAGGGTGTCGTGAGGATTACATGAAATAGTATATGGGAAGAACCTAATAGCCTACCTGGCACATAATTCATCTTCAATAAATAGTAATTATTGTATCTTCGCTTATTGTTCTTTGGAAAATACCGACACCCTGTGAGCATACCAGCCCCTCAATCTGTCCAGTCTTCATCCCCACTGCCACATCCCTAGTCCAAGCTGTTATCACCAACTCTCGACTTGAACAACATGGCAGTCTCTTAGAAGAGCCCTTCTTCTACTTTTGCTTCCCTGTAATGTATTGTCAATACCATTGTCAGAATAATTTTGTAAAAAATATAATCTAATCATATAAACTCCCTTACTTCAAACCCTCAGTGGCCTCCCAATGACTATGGGATACAAATCAAACTTCTTACCACGACCTATAAGTAAAGACAGAGAAAGACTGAATATCAGAAGAAGAAAGCTCCAGGAAAGAACATAGGAAAAACGATAAATTTTGGGTTCTCTAAGGCTGCTATAAACAAAGTACCACAGACTGTGTGGCTTAAACAATAGGAAATTAATTTTTCACAGTTCTGGGGATACCAAAGTGTAGGCAAAATTGGTTTCTTCTAAGTCCTCTCTCCTTGGCTTATAGATGGCCATCTTCTCTCCATGTTCACATTGTCTCTGCTATGTGTGTGTGTGTGTGTCTGTGTCCTAATCTACACTTCTGATATGGTCACAGTGATATTAGATTAGGGCCCGCCCTAGTGAACTCATTTTAACTTAAGTATCTCTTTAAAAATTCTATCTCCAAATATGGTCACATTCTGAAGTACCAAGAATTAGGACTTCATCATAGGAATTTGGAGGGAATACAGTTTAGCTCATAACAATACTCTATGTAGCTCTCCATCTTTTACTGATATATCTACAACTTATTTTCCTTGTAGTTTTAACTACAGTCACCATAGCATATATTATAAGTATGTTGCTTAAAAGATGCCACTTTTTAGAATACGAGTTCAGGGGTAGGTGTTCTATCCACTGTACTCTGGTTTTTATTCTATCATTGTGGCTTTTATTTCTCAGCATTCTGTCCCTCCCTTGCTTTGCTTCAGCCCCACTGGCCTCCTTTCTAGTCCCTGAATACACTCAGCCCTTTTCCGGTCTTTGATCTTGTCCTCTTGGAGTTCTTTCTGCCTGGAATCCAATTTCCTGATCTCTTGCAATGGCTCATGCTCATTCTCCAAGTTTGAGTTTAAAAGTCACTGCTTTGAAGAAGCAGCTATGACTGCAAATCAGGAATGACCCTCCCAGTCTCTCACTCTTACCATCCTGTATTTTTCCTCTTAGAAATGATAGCATTCTGTCATTTAGTTTATCTTTTTACTACTGTATTTATACTCTGACTGCCCTAATGGCACCTTAGCTCTTTGAGTCAGGGAATTCCTGAGTCTTGTTTACCAATGTAGCATCAGAGCCTAGCAGGGAACCCAACACACAACTGGCACTCATTCAGTAAACACTAATTGAATGAATGTCTGAAGGAAATCCCTTTACAATCAAATGTTTTTTAGGATCTTACTCAGTCTCAAAGATCCATAGGACCATATAAGGCAAATACTGAATAATGAATGTCACAAATGCTAAGGTTATAATTTTGAACACAAAACATTATTCAAGAATCATTGAGAAAGTAGCATGTTATGCAAGAATTGGAAAATGTTCATTATTATCATGGAATCATTGTAACTATAGAACTATAAGAATTAGCATACGCCCACACACTTTAAAATAAATGTATAAAGAAAAATATCATTGGCCTAATTCTTTTCTCTTCTAGACTCCTCACTCCCCTGAAATACGTATGATATTAATATTTTATAGCACATGGTGTTGTAAATACTATCCTAGAAAACAGATGAACACTGTAAAATAGAGTAAAGTGAACAGCCTCAGCTAGGAACTTGTTAGAAATGCAAATTGTGAGGCCGCACCTTATGCCTAGTACTAAATCAGCGTATCAGGGTGTGGAGTTCAACAATCTGTTTTAACAGACATATCAGAACCACTTCCCTAAACCAATCATCAAAGTAACTTTTGATTTCTCAAGAATCTTGCCAAATAGTCTAGTTGTCAGGACATAACCAACCTTAATTATTCGAGTAACTTATCACCACTTGCCCTGACTTGCAATGGCATAGTGTTTCTGCTTTTTAATACTCTGGCAATTGTCCTTAAGAAACTAACACAGTGATTTGTTTCACTGTTGAACCTACTTGAGTGAAATTGCTATCTTCTAGGGTTCAGCACACATTACCTGCTTCCTGGATTACCTAGCTATTCCTGGAACAATTTGACATTAATGAGCTTATTACTATCATGTTTTGCTGTTGTTGTCTCCAATTTTTCATTCAAATAAAAATTTAATTAACTTTTCTGCTTTCCATAGATGTAGTCTTGAAAACATTAAATCTCATGTTAGCTAAGCCTGATTCAGACTTTTTCTCTTACTATACTGCCTAAGGCTCTATTTTTCTTAGGATACTTATTCAGTAAAGAATTTTCTCATTCTCCCTCGAGCTATCTTTCTTTGTGTGGATCAATCTTCATTCTTTAGAAGAAGAAATATTCAGATTCATTTTTATGAAGATAACTTTGGAGCTAAGGAATTAAGTGATACCAATTTCTCTCTGCCTTTTTTTTTTTTTTTTGGCATAAATCGCATTTCCCAAGCAAGAATCCAAGTGAGAGATTATTTCATCTTCATAGCAGATGTCATTCTTCCCAGTTACGGAATATCTAGCCTCTGGCTATACAGTACTATAAACCATTGTTTAAGGAAGTTATGTTCAAGGGCAACAATTTTTATATTTTTGTTGTATTAGAATGCTGTATTATGCATAGTAATGACTACTGTCATTATTGAGCACATTATGTTCTAGAGACTGGGACAAATGACTTACAAGTATTATCTCAATTAATACTCATTAATATCTTTACCTATGAGGATATGTGACTTGAAGATGATATTACTAGAAGATGTTAGAACCAAATTTGAACTCCAAACTTTCTGATTTTAAGCTTCATGCTAAACTCAGATTGTGTTAAACCCAGATTGTGTTCCCTTGTCTAAAATCTGTGTCAGCCATATTGTCATTATGCTCCCACATTTCTCTTCTGCCAAAACACCAGTGTGCTTCTTTACGAACTAGTCTTATTTAGATACGGGAAACAGTCTCAGTAGTGGCCACTGTCAGAAGCAAAGGGAACCTCACATGGAATGAGTACTTTCATGAGAGAGTCGTTTTGCTGAGCATCTTATTTCAGCAATTTCATTTGATCGCTATCAAAATCTTGCCTGATGGTTGTGGTGGCTACTATTGAGGAGTTAAATAACTTGCACAAGATTGTACAGCTAGTAGGTGGCAGAGTGTAAGTATCTGTCACTTGTAAGAAAGTTTGTCTTTGATCCCAATCAGCAGTGGATGGTGTGCTTGTTGATAAAGGTGACATGAATCATTTTTAAAATTATTTACTAGTATCCTCAGCTCTCCAAGGATACATTCCTTACAGCTGTTATGGTTTTTCTCTTCTTTGTTGCTGTGGCCACACTTCCCCTTTTTAACAGCTCACTTCTTTATTAGAGGCCAATCAGATGATGGACTATAAAATATCGCAAAGGTTAAAAGCTTTTGTGTCTCTGCATTGCCTGTTGTAACAGTACCCAGGGGTGACGTATCTTTGAAGAAACAAGGTTCCTGGTAAGTAATTGGGGTTTCTTTTTGCCTGTAAGTAAACACTGCTTTCTGGTCTTGTTGCGCTTTGGTCTACATTTGTTTTGTAGAGATTCATTATCTCACTGAAAATGTAAGATGCTTGTAAAAACATGATATATCATATCTGTATTTACTCTGTAATTATCTAACCTTCCCAGCCTGTAAAATTGGTAATTATTTTTTCACACTTATTTACTTCATACCCGTTAGGTCCTGTTACAGAAGTGAAAACTGACATATATGTCACCAGCTTTGGACCTGTTTCTGATGTTGAAATGGTAGGTATTTTCGAAGTTTAATGTACCTTTTGAGACTTGAAGAAAACATGTAGAAAAGAGGGCAATTAATATTTATTTTGTTGTCAATCACACAAAGCCAGAAACCTAAAGAATCCCTAATTAAACTTAAGAATGTATGAAGAGTAAGACATTGAATCTCATTCAATTTGCATTTCAGTTGTAACATTTGAGTACTTGTTGATTTAGGGTCATTCTAAACAAAGAGAAGAACTTTCCTATTACTGGTTCCTATAGCACAACCTAGGGTGCAGCTTTTTTGCTTTCCTTTTTACTTTTCTTTTCTTTCTTTCTTTTTCTTTTTTTTTTTTTTTTTTTTTTTTTTGAGATGAAGTTTTGCTCTTGTTGCCCAGGCTGGAGTACAATGGCGGGATCTTTGCTCACTGCAACCTCCATCTCCCAGGTTCAAGTGATTCTCTTGCCTCAACCTCCCAAGTAGCTGGGAATGCAGGCATGCCCCACCGTGCCTGGCTAATTTTGTGTTTCTAGTAGAGATAGGGTGTCTCCATGTTGGTCAGGCTGGTCTCGAACTCCTGACCTCAGGTGATCCTCTCACCTTAGTCTCCCAAATTGCTGGGATTACAGGCATGAGCCACCGTGCCCGGCTGTTTTTTCTTTAGGAAACTATTGAGGAGGAGAAAATTAGAGGTGATAATTAGTTTCAGTATGAACTAGTCGTGTACACTATTTTATAGTTTTCATTATATTTAGTATTTCATGTTGATCTAATTGCTTGCTGCCCATCCCAGCCCTTCTGCCTCCTTCTCACTCATGTTTAAGAGCTTAGAATACGAAGCACTGGTCAGGAAGAATTCATCCATACAGTTGTGCTCTCTTATATTAAATATATTTAGTTTGCAAGACAAAAAACTTACTTTAGTTTATTCATTGATTTAAAGCTCCTAGTAATTTGAAACCCTTGAGTTATTTGACTCATTTTAATAAACTTTGTGAAAATAAAATATCTCTTACACATATTATTTTGTCTTTAAAATGCCTACAATTACACGATTAATTGTGCATGATATTTTTTACACTTTAACTGATTTTTGCTATCTAGTCTAAAGTAAAACACAATTGTAACTACCTGGTACTGGCAGTTTTCTTAAATTATAGCAAATTTATTATTAAATTATTAGTATGTGTGGTAATTTATTTATCTTATGAATGTAGAAGATGAAGGTATCAAGATGGATAAAAGTTATTCTAATTGCTGAGAATCTTTTTGCTCCATTGATTCAAGATCATTCCTGCTCCTATTAATTTTATTTGGAGTGGTATTTTTTTATGAGCATGAAGGAAGACAGAATTTAATGCATTATTTTCACATACTTATGTGTAGTCATTTGCAACTTAAATATGTTCCAAAATAATTGTCCTAGGAATACACAATGGATGTGTTCTTCAGGCAGACATGGATTGACAAAAGATTAAAATATGACGGCCCCATTGAAATTTTGAGATTGAACAATATGATGGTAACGAAAGTGTGGACCCCTGATACTTTCTTCAGGAATGGAAAGAAATCTGTCTCACATAATATGACAGCTCCAAATAAGCTTTTTAGAATTATGAGAAATGGTACTATTTTATACACAATGAGGTAATATTTTTTTTTACTTCTTCCCTTCCTTTTTTATTCTTTTCTTTCTTTCCTTTCCTTTCTTCCTTCCTTCCTTCCTTCCTCCCTCCCTTCCTCCCTCCCTTCCTCCCTCCCTTCCTCCCTCCCTTCCTCCTTCCCTTCCTTCCTTCCTTTTCTTCCCTCCCTTCTTCCTTCCTCCTTCCCTCCCTTCCTTCCTATTTTAGAATCTAAAGTCACAATTATTCTTTAAAAGGGTTGATTTTATTTAATTGCATTTTTCATCATAGACTCACCATAAGTGCGGAGTGTCCCATGAGATTGGTGGATTTTCCCATGGATGGTCATGCATGCCCTTTGAAATTCGGGAGTTGTAAGTTATAATAAAAATTTTGCTAGAATTTATGATTACCTCATGCAAGCTAATATTTACACATGTATTTTATTTTTCATAATCCAACATTTAAGTCATGGTCCATAACAAAAACTGTCCGGTTTTATTTCTGGAGATTTCATTAACTAATATTTTATAATAAAGAAATAAAAACAACCTCCTTTCCCCACAACAAACAAAAACCTATTTATACAGATAATCTAAGTAGTCTTAGTCACAATTGGCTGGTGATCAGTGGTGAAATTTAGGGACCTCTGAACTCTACATGTTGGTAGTGTTACACAGAAAGTACAAATTATATAGATAAATATATATATAATTGATATAATTATAACACATATCACTTCAGATAGATAGATAGATACATAGATAGATATATAGATATTCTATTGTAAGCAGTCCTTCATAGCTAACTTGGAAGAAGTCCATAAAAGGTTCAGAGCTTCCTGACACAGTATAGGTTAAAATGACAGAAGCAGCACTGTTAGCATAACAGTGACTGAAGCATGGCAAAAGCATGGTAGGGGTGTGGTCTGAGTTAATATAATGCCTTATACAGCACATTAAGGAGTTTGGATTCTATCTAAAAGCTATGGGAAGCCTTTGGAAGGTTTGACAAAACAGTGTAGCTTTCTTTGACATTTTACAGTTCCACTTCCGCTTTTTTTTTTTTTTTTTTTTTTTTGAGAATGGGTGGTAGAGAGGCTGGAGTGGAAGCAGCAGAGAAGAAATGGAGGCTGTTGTTTTAGTACAAGCAAAGATGGCAGTGGCTTAGACTAGGATGGTACTAGAGAGGAAAGTGTGAAATAGATATGTTTGGGAAATTTTGTAGAAATGAAGGCAACAGGATGAGATGAATGGATAGAAAACAATATGAGATTCCTTCCCTTAAGCTCCCTTCTCTGAGATGGCAGCAAAATGTGATTGCCTTTTCTAAGGTCTGCCTCACATTTTCAATTCAATCAGAATCTACTAAAAATAGATGCTGGCTTTTACTATTGCTTCAGATTCTTAGTCGCACTGATTGTGAAACTGTTGCCTGCTGTTATCATCGCTCATTGCTTAACTTAATGAGAATCGGCAGTCACTATTCTTTTTATAACCCCTAGTAATCACAATATTCAGTGGGCTAACTTGAAGCCAGAGAGTATTATGTTCTCTTACCAATAATTTAATGAGAGAAGATAAAGGCAGAAAAATACATAGACAGGGTGATCTCATTGGGGCCAGAATTAAAATCCATTTGTGCTGTAATCATTCAAATTTTACCCAAATTAGTTCTCATGTAGAGGAAGTCCTTTTCACTCCCCGCATCCCAACCTCTAGTTCTCAGAAAAAGCTCTCTTCAGAAGGACTTGAACATAGTTCGTGTTCAATCAGGGTTTGTATAAAATAAAGAAATTGCACATTGGAAGCTGATGTTTTTGGATTGGGAATTAAAAAGAGAGGCACACCATACTCAGCAGGTAAGGATTTTTAATTAATCTGGAAAGAGGAAGAAAACACAAAACACTATTTAAAACCCCCATGCTTACAATTCAGAGGAATTAGAAAAACCAGGAAAGAAAAAGGTTATTCTAGCAAGGTAGGGTAGCCAAAGGAAGGATACTTAATTTGCAATATCATAGACAAGAACATAGTATACAGAGGCTGTAACAGTTTACTGAAGTGTGAATATATTTCTGGAAATAAATGCTGACACATAATATAACTGAATGGTGCTAAAATGACAACACAAGCCTCATAGTTTGTTTCATAAGGTGCTCTTAGGTGTCAACTCCTTTTGAAGAATTAAATGATTCCATTGAGGACCTACTATGCTATAGCCATTTTAGGATGGTTTGGAGGGAGGTTGGCACACAATTCATTTTGGTTCTTTTGAACTTACTTGTGTGTGAGCCAAGCTGTCTGTTATGGGTAGACTGGTAAGCAAGCAGCTGTTCTCCATTTGCACAGAGTGCCAAATAATAGAAAATGGGCTTAAATTGCCACCGGGAGAGATTTGTTGAAGATGTAAGGGGAAATGTCCTGATTGTAAGAAATTAAAGGTAGTGGAATTGGTTGTGTAATTATATTCCCTGGACAGCTTTACAAACAACATAGCCAGTTGTCACTGTACAATGGTCCCCAAACACAGTGGATATTGCCCAGAGGCAGAGTTTGGAACAGGTGACCCCAGGGGAGCTCTCCTAACAGTAGGATTTGTTTGGTTTTGTTATTGTATTATTACAGGCAGCATTTCTAAATAGCAGAACTGTGTTAGGATGGTATTGGTCAAGCATTGGAAGTGAGTTAGAAGTACGGCTTTGGGAGTTCAATATATCTGCTTTTGAACTGTTTATCCTACTGGCATGGACACACATCCAAGTGTATTCATGCATATGTAGCATTTTAGATGCTTCAGTTTTAATATCTCCTCCTCCTTTATTTGGCATAAAAAATAAATACTGTTGAGTTGCAGGGGTATTTACTTAGTCTCTAGTTTTCTAAATCTTAAAGATGTTTGACTAAATTATAGTGAACTAAATTATAGTGACTAAATTATAGTGAACATTGTTTTCATTTATTCCATCTTTCTTGAACAAGTACTGTTTTTAAGTGTTGACCACTGATGTGGATGAAAAAGGAGCATTGACTCTAACCACATTCTGTGCTCTCTTTTAGATGCCTATCCAAAGAGTGAGATGATCTATACCTGGACAAAAGGTCCTGAGAAATCAGTTGAAGTTCCGAAGGAGTCTTCCAGCTTAGTTCAATATGATTTGATTGGGCAAACCGTATCAAGTGAAACCATCAAATCAATTACGGGTGAGATGTGTAATGATTAAAGCCGACATGCTACTTGGTGTTAGCAATAAAGTTTTCTCCTGACTTTTTCATTGAAATAGTTAATTTTTTCAGGAGAACAACAAACATTTTCCAGAAATAGAGTTGATGCATGAGTTATAGCTCATAATTTCTTTATATTTATAATCTTACTTTAGTTTAAAATAAATTCTGATTTAGTAAGATGCTAAAAGTGAGTTGGTTTTCTTATTCAGAAATGAAAGCCAGTAATCAAATATGTTAAAATTATTTTCACAAAATTATGTGGTAGGAAGTCTGATCTTGTTTTTTGTCTTTGCTTTGTTTCTGCTTTCGGTTTTTGATGATTTTTGTGGGGCTTTCCAAAAATTTTCCTTTATCTTGCCCAATTTTGTGGTGCCACTTTCTCTCATTTTCTGAAAGTAAACAAAAATCTAAAACTTAATTACAAAGTATATTATGGGTATACATTAAGGTTATCACATGAGTAGGGGGGATGTTTATTATTTATGATTCTTGGTCTCTCTTTTCTTTTGGAATGTGAATAGGAAGAATTATAGAATTTAGTTTTTAATCATATTTAGTGGAAAAATTAGCTGATTATTGCTTGTTCTAAGACTGTTCCTTACATACACATATCACCAGAAAAAATATTTTTTATGATAGTTAACTTAGTTTGTTTGGGCCATTGTAACAAAACAACACAAATAGGGCGGCTCATAAACAACAGAAATTTACTTCTCACAGTTCAGGAGGCTGACAAGTCTAAGATGAGGTGCAGTCAGATTCAGTGTTCAATGAGGACCCATTTCTTCGTTCACAGAATAGTACCTTCTATGAATAAGTCCTCACATGGGGACCCCAAAGGTGTAGGGAGTGGGTGCTCACACTGGGGCCTCTTTTATAAAGGCACTAATTCTATTCATAAAGGCTCCACCATCATGGTTTAAACACCCCAAAGCCAACCTCCTATTATTACATTGGCTATTATGTTTCAACATCTGAACTTTGAGGACCACAAACATTTAGACCATAGCAATAGTTAAACTTTATTCAGCAATCACCATCTGATGGGCACCCTTCTAAATTATTTCCATGTATTTTTTTCTCATAACCATCCCATGAAGTGGATACTACTATAACATTTATTTTATACACGAGAAAGGTTTAAGTACAATGTATTTGCCTAAGTCATACAGCTAATAACTGGCAAAACCCAAATTCACATCTAAGTGTTATGACTTCTGAGTTTGTGTTCTTAAAAGGTGTTGACTGCGAGATAAAATGCTAAGACTGCATTAGTAGAAAATGAGTAGTTTTAAGATCTGGAGCAAAGATGTGAGGTAACAAAGTTTTTTTTTGTTTTTGTTTTAAGAAAAAATGGATAAAGCAGTGTTGTGAAGGGATGATGAATCTAAAATAGTCAAACTGAAAGGCAGTGAGAGGAATGGTGGTAGTCAGGGGCCTCCGGGAGGAGGAAACAGCGAGGTATTAGTCAAAGGGCATAGTATTTCTGTTCTGTAAGGTGAATAAATCCTAGATATCCACCGCATAGCAGAGTGCATATAGTGAACAGTACTGTATTGTCTACTTAAAAATTTGCTGAGAGAATAGGTCTCAAATGTTCTTATCACAGAAGATAATAAATAAGAAGGAGGGAACTTTTGGGGGTGATGTATATATTTGTGGCATAGATTGTGGTGATAGATTAATGAGTGTATACTTATCTCCAAACTCATCAAGCTGTATATATTAAATATGTACAGCTTTTTGTATGTCAATCATACCTCAAAAAATTGGTTAAAAATTAAACATAAATAAGATAAAATAGAAATTTATTATGGATAAATAAAATTAATACATAAGTCTTTGTTTTTAAAAAGGAATTTAGCCCACTGTCTCTTCTATTAAAACTGCTTTGTATAAGTCACACACTGTCTTTGTCATAAAATCAATGGCACTGCTCCTCTCTCCTAAATTTCCATTACTTTTATCTTTATGACACCTGTCATGACTATTATCATTTTGAGGAAACCTTCTTCACATCAATTATGAAACAATACAGTAGCTTTCTAAAGGGCACCTTGCCTCTCATCTGTCCAGGAAAATTTATTTTTGGAAGGGCATTTATTTTCCAGTCTGCAAATGGGATTTAGAACACATCTGGTAGGATGTGAGGTTTCTGAATGCTGGCCTCATGGTTTGTGAATAAGGCCACTGCTTCCTAGATAACTTTCTTCACATATTCTTTTCAGAGGTAACAGTAAAAACACTTATCAACAGCTACCAGAAATCTTATGGTTTATTGTACTTATTAGTTTTTCAGGTTTTTGTCTAAATGCCAGTAAAACATGCTTGAACTCAGGGGTGTTATATATGCCTGTATGTTATACACGTCTATATTTTTCTTCATATAAAGAACATTTAGAAATTCACCTCTTTCCTAAAACTATGGTAGCCTCTCTCTAAGCTTGTGACTGTGTATGAAATCTATATATGAATGAAATTTAAATATATTTATATATAAATATGTATATTTATTACTTTCTAAAATTAAACTTTATATTTTCATAAATGTGTGTGTATGTGTCAGTGTCTGTGTATGTGTAACTGTGTGCATTTCTATTTTTTTCTAGTGGTTTTTCATAGAAGATAGGTCTAAATGCTGTTTCTAAAAAACGCTGAAAATGAAAGCTAATTGCCTTAGCAATATTAGACCATCAAAATAGAAAGCACTACAGAACATTTTTAAAAGTTTTAGCCCAATTTGTTAAATTGCTTAATCATTACACGGAACAAAGAGTTTTTCTGTATAATAACGTTCAATATCATTTTCTCCCTCGTTAGGAAACTACATACTTATTGATGTTTGTGTAGCTATGCACAAAAGAGAATTTCTTTCCTTAGAATCCTGTTTGTTAGTCTGAAATATGTTTATGAAGCCATTGACTAATTGCCTGCAGAACCGATAACACATTTTCCTCCTGTTTTCTTGGCAGGTGAATATATTGTTATGACGGTTTACTTCCACCTCAGACGGAAGATGGGTTATTTTATGATTCAGACCTATATTCCGTGCATTATGACAGTGATTCTTTCTCAAGTTTCATTTTGGATAAATAAAGAATCAGTTCCCGCTAGGACTGTATTTGGTAATTGCAATTCATTTCTTGGGCGTTTTTGTTCACATTACATTTTATTCATGATTCATGGGATATTTCTAAGAAAATCTTAAACCCTAATACATCAGGCTATCCTGAATAAGGAATCACATGGCTTTCATTTTTATCTAGCCAGTACAAAGTAATAAAGCTTGGGGAGATTTGGGCATCCTTCCTTTCCTCTGGGGCCAGGCATCAGATTTCCCTTGTTGAGAACCAGACAGGCATAGACCAAATGTGAATCTGGACATAATCTCACTTTCAGTGATATTCTTGGGCTCCTAGTATAATGCTGTGTAATTGAATTAAAATTATATCTCCATGTTAAAAAGAAATGCACTGGCAGCTTAAAATAAAACAAATAAAAGTCATGGCTGAATGAATATGAAAGCCTTAGAATAATTTAGCTTTTAATGAAGAGGAACAAAATGCAAACGGTTTAAATGCATTGAATTGGAAGGTATTATATGCTTAGTTTATAAGCTCATATATTTACTTACTTCTTTTTTTTCTAAACATTGGTTTTTCTTTTTGTTTTTATAGTGGCTTCATATATACTGTATAGTATTCTGAACAATATAAAGTTCAGAGCATATGAGTTTACAATTTTTATAAGTTAATGTGTTCTACATGTCAGTCATGCTTTTAAATAGTATAATTTGTTATAATTATATTTATTTTAGTTAATGTCTTTCTCTATTCTTTTTCTGTTCATTGTGAGTAACAAAAGCATTCAGTAGTAGAATAAGAAGGAAAATGATCAGAATTGCTCTGGAATGGTGGTGTATTCCTCACAAGAGTGCCAATTCCTCTTTGATTTTCTACCTAGTAGGATCACAGCCATGGTATAATATCCTTTATCACACAATAGCTGAAGAGATGCTGGTGCGAAGGAACTAAATAGAACGGGAACTTTTCATCCTACCTCCCCATCCTTTTCAAGAACTATTGATTAGGGTGTCTTAGTGTCCTCAATGGATCTGAAATACTCTAAAGACAACTATCCTCCCTTTAATCTTAGGTTTCTCTAAGAAGGTGTTGGAGTATGAGGATGCATTAAAAAAATAGAAAGAAAAAGTACTGGAAGTATACTGGAGAAACTCATATGGGGGGGCAATGGTGGAGGGAGGGTGTGATCTTAGGAAAGCAGTGAGGAGGTATAATGGTACCTTAAAGAGTTATAAGGGTTCAATTAAAGAATAACTGCACAACTCAAAGTGTTGAATAAATTTTAGCTCTTAAATATAAGTTTGAAAGCAGAAGAGAGAAAAAAACAAATCTAAGCTGTAGGTGTCAGCAAGTCTAGGTTTAAACCCAAATCTGCCACTTATTTTCTCCATTCATAAAATTATGATAATACATCTCACCCTCATAGACTAGTGAGGATTTAAAAAGTTATGTATCGTTCTCAATATAGGGTATCTGGACCACTTAGTTCGTATTAATTACTTTCTCCAATACTTCTCTTATCTAAGGAAGATAGATTTTGTTCAGACTTAGTTTCCTTGACTTTTAAGTGTTTTAAAGAAAGCATAACTTTCTAGTGTTGTACTATTGGATGCTCTGCTAACTTCTTGATGTTCATTATCTCATTTAACACTCAAGCTAATTTTGTGTCTTTACACATCATCTTTTGAAGCACTCTGACTAGGCAAGAAGTATCTACTGAAACTGAGCATCCAAAGTCTCTTAACTTTTTTCTTGTACAAAAAAATACAAATATTTCTGGAGCTACCCTCATTAAAAATTTAAAGGAAAACCCAGAAGTTTCTATTATATTTTACGCATAAAAAAACTCATGTATACATTTTTTTAAATGATCCTAAAGAGTGTGTAGAACAGCAATTAACGATCCATCATAGGTGCCTGTAATCAAGAGGTGATAGTGTCATAAGTGCAGAATGTGGAGGCAGAAAGCCTACCTTCTAACCAAGGGACTATCACTTATTAGCTGTGGACCTTCAATAAGTTACATTTGCCAGCTTCCTCATGTGTTAAAACAGGATGAATGATTGCACTTACCTCACAGGACTGCTGTAAGGATTAAATGAGTTGATTTAGAAAAGCACTTGAAATAATGCCTCACACATAGTAAATATGATTTAAGTGTTATTTATTAGTATGGCATTCCATGCTGCTGTCTACTTCATTTGAGAATTATTACTTGATAGGTTAATGTGACTGTCTGCCATATATTATTATTATTGTGATGACTTGATAACCTTTTATTTATTTCTTGATTGATTACAACATGACAGGTACTGTTCATCTCACTTGTCCCAAAATAATAGAAATTTCCAGTGGTGTGGGGAAGGCTAGTATTGATTACAGCTGTACTCACCCAACATTTCCTATCCAAACAAGATATTTTAAGAAAACGAAGTAGCAGGAAGTAAGGATATTAGTATTACTAGTACCAATGATAAACAGATTTGCCAAATATTGTTAACCTTAATAATTACTCAGCAAGGTAGTCATTATTTTTATAGTTAAGGGAAATGACTCAAACATATTAAGAAACTTGTATAAAATCAAATTGTAATTGGTGGACCCAAGACAATTTCTGTCTAACTTTGACAACTCAGTCAGTCTGTCTTCACAGGAGGTGTGGGGATGTGGGGGCTTGTGGAGAGTTCCAGAACTGCTGAGTGAGATTACATGGATATGTGCTAAAGATGCTTTGTGGGTGTTTTTTTTTTCATTAGAAATTTACCCATCTTTTGTGCCCATGTGCCAAGATATTGTTTTCAGTTGAGCAGACAAATTATGTCTGTAATTAAGTCTTCAAAGACCTAAGATGTGTCAGATTGATAATTATTAGACTATCATTGAGGGCCTATGAAGGTACTTTCTTAGAAAAGTTAAGTTTTAAGTATTTAGGAGGAAATTAGCAAGCTATTTTCATATGAGATTTAGGTAAATATTAATTCTGGGCAAATTTTTTTCTTTCCTAACTCTTATTTCCCTTTCCACTCATAAGAAGATAATTTGTTGGGTCAGAGACATCATTAGAGACTGTGTAAAAACAAAGCAAAAAAAATCAGTGTAATAAAAGGAGCAGAGTGTCCTAAAAATCTCTCCAAAGGCCTTCTATCTCCAAAGCTGTATGCCTCTAAGTTTTCTAATTATTCCAGTATAGTAAAACATTAAACACAAGTAAATGCCAGCTGGCATATCTTAATCATTGCTATTTCATTTTCTAGGAGTGGCCAGCCAAAAATTCACTCTTGTGTACAGTCTTTGCCTACTCTTACACATCCTCACTCAGCTTCTGGGCCAGCCAATATGGTGCATATTCAGCATGCTAAATGCAGGGAATGGCATCAATAATTGGATATATTTTTTAAAATATGGCTTTTAAATGTGTTCAGGGTAGATGCCGGCTAAGCCATACACGACAGATGAATTGTCTTCCTGGATGCAGAGGAAGCATGGATTCTTATTCTGAAGAGTTGGTTTCTGTTTGCTATTCCACTGGTTTTCATAATCCACCAGTATAATAAACCAGTATAATCCACATCACCACTTAACTCATGAACCTGGTGATCTATCCTCCTAAACAATTGGAAAGTAATTACTGAATTTATGGGTCAATAACTGCATTAGTATTCTGTTTGCTTGACATTGGTAAGGACATTTATTCACATGATAAGAGGAGAAGATGAAGAACACTACTTCTGATCACCAAGAAAAATAGTCCTATTACAAAAAAAAAAAAAGTTCAAAGTAACATAGGGAATCTTAAGTTGCTTGTATTTGAATTTGGGTATCCTTTTTGGTTATCACACTATGGTGTGTGTAGAATTTTCTGAGTACTGAGTAGTATTATTATTTATACTGCACTGTTCATATTTTATTCTAACTGCTTTTAGCATTGTTTCTATGACATTAGAGGAAAAATATTGCTTATATATCTGAGAAAGTTATAGAACATTTTTGAATTCTTAATACCCCATTAAATTTAAATTGTTATGAACAAGAAAAACATTTTCATCTATTGTCAAACGTAGCTAAAAATTTTCAGTTATTTTATTGTTTATTCATATATCTCACAGCCAACATGGGAGTGGTGCCACTTTTCTGAGATTCAAAATGAAGGCCTAAATGTTCCAAGGTCCCTTTCTGAAATAAAACCCAATAAATTCACAATATAGCATTTTCATAGATATGCAGATATTTATATATTGAATAAACTCATTTTATAATCTATTTTAGACTAATAAGAATGCTAACAATGTCACAAAATATTTTTAAAAGGGAGTACAACCAAATTCTCAAGTTTCTTTCTCTGTATGG
The DNA here is from genome assembly GCF_000001405.40 of Homo sapiens. NCBI lineage: Eukaryota > Metazoa > Chordata > Mammalia > Primates > Hominidae > Homo > Homo sapiens. Next base: position 46,966,777 of record NC_000004.12, on the reverse strand, counting down.
ATTCTCAGATCTTTATAAATGATGTGTAGCTCATGTGTTGCACAGTTGCTCCAATTTTTCATGTTCTAAGCATTGAAGATTTAGAAGAGACCGAATTTCAGAGAAAATGGATTGGTGAGGAACTGGAAAAATGAGTTTTTATTTCCATGCATTTATCTTGTGCCTAGCACCATGTGACATATTATAAACCTGAAGCAATCTTAGGCTTGTCTACCCTCAAGAAGACTATGGTTAATAAAGCTGTGGAAATGAGGATTACACACCTGTATCAGTTAAGGAACAGTAGTAGGCAGAATACAACAAAATTCTGAATTGAGGAGACAATATTATTTTCTCCAAATCAAAATACCTTATTCCTTTAATATTGCATCGGACTCATTATTTCTTTGGTTGAACATGCATTATTTGCCTTTCAGCTGGGGATTGGCATGGATTACAATATGCAGTTTAAATGCCTTCAACATCATTGTTCTATTATTATCATCATCACCATCCCCAAATGTGTTGTGTGTCAACTTCAGGAGCTATCCTAGTCATTATATAGAATCAGTTTAAATGGATGTAGCAAATCCTCACAAAAATTTCCAGACTTAACTGCATAACATGGATTAGACAGACATATATAGATGCAGAAATAGACAAGAGTTCAAATATTAACATTCTTAAATAATGTGTTACTCTATAGTACCAGTGGCAAGGAGAATTTTTCTGCTAAGAGTGGGAACTGACATTTTTTCCAAGCTAAGGAGAAAGCGTTCCTGGATGTGGTGCTTCAGAAGCCTATTGATGGAGGAGAAGTACTTCTGTTCCTTTTGCAAATATTTTCCAGCCAGTTGTAAACTGATGGGTGGTAAAGGTCCAATATTTATAATGCCAAATTGCTCTGGAAATCTATTCGTCCAGTAATATAACTTTATTGTTTTATAAAAATGAGGCTTCTGCACAACTAGTAAATTTAGTATTTTAATTCAATAGATAATATTTAAAGATAAGAAAGACCTATGTATAATTCATGCCTTTTCTGGCAGTGGTTCTCAATAGCAGTGGGCCATGCTTAACTCCAGAAATTCTGATGCTCAAATTTAGGAGGCCAGTGTTGCTCACTTTCCATTCCTGGATGAGAGTCAGTGCTTCAGTGAGTTACTCTTCCTGAGAGGTGTGTGTCTGTTGAGTCCGTTGGGTGTGTTGGCTCAGTTTCCAGGATCATCCCACTGTGTGCTACGTGCGTTACATGCTTTTAACCTTTATAGAAAACCCAATCAGTGGGTATCAAATAAAGCCCAAAGAATTTTCCAAACTCAAGGCAGGACATATTAAGCCAATTATGAGAAAAACTAGGATTAGAACCATATCTTTCACTCCAAAGCCTGTGCTAATTTTATTGAACCACTAAGATTCCAATTCTCCATCAAAGATGGTTTTCTTTGAGTTATTGTAGTTTTGTTAACCCTATTCCACATGATTTTCTAGGTTTTTGTTGGTGGTGGCGGTGCTTTTTAATACAAATGATGGTAAGGTGTTTTGTCTCTCTGCTCTTTTGCTTTGAAGGAATAACAACTGTCCTCACCATGACCACACTAAGCATCAGTGCACGACATTCTTTGCCCAAAGTGTCCTATGCTACCGCCATGGACTGGTTCATAGCTGTCTGCTTTGCTTTTGTATTTTCGGCCCTTATCGAGTTTGCTGCTGTCAACTATTTCACCAATATTCAAATGGAAAAAGCCAAAAGGAAGACATCAAAGCCCCCTCAGGAAGTTCCCGCTGCTCCAGTGCAGAGAGAGAAGCATCCTGAAGCCCCTCTGCAGGTATTTGACTTAATCCACCTTCAGTTTAAGATTTTAGCTTCTTGGTCAAATTTATTTTGTCAGGGAAACAAACTGAGAACTTAAAAATCCTGATATCAACTTGTAAGTCATTTAAAAATACAGAAAAACATAAAAGTAACTGTATGAGCTTAAACTTTATGTTGGTGATTAACAGCTTAAAAATTAAACAGCTGTGACAGAGCTAGATGTAGGCGAAGCTAATTGTTTGAAAGTTTCTTTCGGAGTTACAGGTTTTTTTTACAGAAAGGGGCAAAATCCCATGTATACTATTAGGAGGAACCTGTGGACATCTTTAAGTGAGTTGAAAAAACATTTTAATAGAGTTCATTGTGCAAAGCAAAGCAGCAGTTAGTTTTTGTTTGTGTCTTTAAAAATTGCTTATGTTTAATTTTTGTGACTACATAATAGATGCATATATTTATGAAGTACATGAGATGCTTTGATACAGGCATGCAATGTGAAATAAGCACATCATGGAAAATGGGGTAGCCATTTCTTCAAGTATTTATTATTTGAGTTACAAACAGTCCAAGTACATTCTTTAAGTTATTTCAAAATGTAAAATTAAGTTATTATTGGCTATAGTTGCTCTGTTGTGCTATCAAATAGTAGGTCTTATTCATTCTATTACTTTGTACCCATTAATCATCCCCATCTTCCCTCCACCAAACTCCCGCTACCCTTCCCAGTCTCTGGTAACCATCATTTTACCCTCTATGTTCATGAGTTCAATTGTTTTGATTTTTAGATCCCACAAATAAGTGAGAACATGCAAGGTTTATCTTTCTGTGCCTGGATTATGTCACTTAACTTGATGATCTCCATTTCCATCCATGTTGTAGCAAATGACTGGATCTCATTCTTTTTTATGGCTGAATAGTCATTCACTGTATATATGTACCACATTTTCTCTAATCATTTATCAGTTTATAGACACTTAGGTTGCTTCCAAATCTTAGCTATTGTAGACAGATCTGAAACAAACATAGGAGTGCAGATATCTCTCTGATATACTGATTTCCTTTCTTTTGGGTATACACCCAGTAGTGGAATTGCTGAATCATATGGTAGCTTTATTTTTAGTTTTTTGAGGACTCTCCAACTGTTCTCCATAGTGGTTGTACTAATTTATCTCCAGTGTTTGCTATTGCCTGCCTTTTGGATATAAGCTATTTTACCTGGGGTGAGATGATGCGTCATTGTAGTTTTGATTTGCATTTCTCTGATGATCAGTGATGTTGAGCACCTTTACCTATATCTGTTTACAATTTCCATGTCTTCTTTTGAGAAATGTCTGCTGTATTAGTCCATTTTCACACTGCTGATCATGACATACCTGAAACTGGGAACAAAAAGAGGTTTACTTGGACTTACAGTCTCATATGGCTGGGGAGGCCTCAGAATCATGGTGGGAGGTGGAAGGCACTTCTTACATGGTGATGGTAAGAGAAAAATGAGGAAGAAGCAAAAGCAGAAACCCCTGATAAGCCCATCAGATCTGGTGAGACTTATGCACTATCACAAGAATAGCACAGGAAAGACTGTCCCCCATGATTCAATTACTTCCCCCTGGGTCCCTCCTACAACAAGTGGGAATTCTGGGGGATAAAATTCAAGTTGAGATTTGGCTGAGAACACAGCCAGATCTTATTATCTATTCAAATTTTTGCCCATTTTTGATTGGATTATCAGATTTTTTCCTATTCAGTTGTTTGACCTCTTTATATATTCTGATTCTTAATCCTTTGTCAGATGAATAGTTTGCAGATATTTTCTCCCAATCTATGAGTTGTCACTTCACTTTGTTGATTGTATACTTGGCTGTGCAGAAGCTTTTTAACTTGATGTGATCCCTTCTGTCCATTGTGGTTTTGGTTGCCATGCTTCTAAGGTATTACTCAAGAAATTTTTGCCCAGACCAATGTCCAAGAGATTTCCCTCAATGTTTTCTTGTAATAGCTCAATGGTTTGAGGTGGTCTTAATTCATTTTGATTTGATTCTTGTATATGGCAGAGATAGGGGTCTATTTTCATTCTTCTGCGTATGAATAATACAGTTTTCCCAGCACCATTTATTGAAGGGACCGTCTTTTTCCAGCTGTATATTCTTGGCACCTGTGTTGAAAATGGGTTTGCTTAGGTGTGTGGATTTGTTTCTGGGTTCTCTATTCTGTTTCATTGATCTATGTGTCTGTTTTTATGCCAGTACCATGTTGTTTTGATTATTACAGATTTGTAGTATAATTTGAAATGAGGTAATGTGATTCCTCCAGTTTCATTCTTTGTGCTTAGGATATCTTTGGCTATTCTGGGTCTTTTGTGGTTCCATATACATTTTAGGATTGTTTTTGCTATTTCTGTGAAGAATATCTTTGGTATTTTGATAGTGATTGCACTGAACCTGTAGATTGCTTTTGGTGGTATGGAAATTTTATTAATATTGATTCTTCCAATCCATGAACATAAAATCTTTTTCCATTTTTTGGTGTCCTGTTCAATTTATTTCATCAGTGTTTTCTAATTTTCATTATAGATATCTTTCATTTCTTTGGTAAAGTTAATTCCTAGGTATTTAATTTTATATGTGGCTATTGTAAATAGGATTACTTTTTTGTTCCTTTTTCAGATTGTTAACTATTGACATACAAAAATGCTACTGATTTTTGTATATTAATTTTGTATCCTGCAACTTTACTGAATTTGCTTATCCGTTCTAATAGTTTTCTTGTGGAGTCTTTAAAGCAGCAGCTCTTAACATGGCCACACATTAGAACTACCCCATGGGGCAGGGTGGGGCCTGTGCCTGTGTATTAAAGAAGAAAACAAAACCAATAAGCAAGAAGTTAGATAGTTGTAGTAAATGTACAGTCAAAATTAGGAATTCTCGACCTGAAGGGATAGATCTAAGACAATGTGGAAAGCCCAATAAAAGCTATTGTATTTTACATTTGACACATCAGTGAGTCTGTGATTTAAAACAAACAAACAATTAAAAAGTATCTTTTTCTTCATGGAGTCCAACTGTACAAAAATAGTCAGATCCTCATAAAAACATAGAAGCAAACAAGCAGCGCCCCTCTCACTCTCTTTCCTCTTCTTCCTCTTCTTCTTCCTCCACTACTCACCTATCTCCTTCTCTCTCTTTCTCTCTCACTATCACTCTACTCAGCTTCTTTTTTGAACCAGCAGACAAATGCCTGTGGTCACTTAAATACAGTCTATGGTATTTGCCACATATGGTAGTCTAAGACTCCCTTTGTTTGCATATACCCAAATCAACACGTATATAAATCATCAACTTTATTTCTCTATAGATAACAGATCGGTCCCTTATTCATTCATTAATTGATTTATTCACTCATTCAACAAATATACATTTGTGCCAACTTTGTGCCCGATTTCCTGTTTAGAATCTGTGAGCCGATAGTGTACCAAAAAACAAATATCCTGCCAGGTGGAGCTTACATTTACTTGTGTGGGGCAAGGGAGAGGAGGCAGACAATACTGAAAAACATAAATAACAAAACAGGTGATGTGTTAGATAGTGATAGGGCTATGATAATAGTAAAGCACTAAAGGGGACAGGAAGTGCGGGAGGAGGATGAGGAGGATGGGATTCTGTTCTCAGAGAGATGCCAGCTGAAGAAATTAGGTTAGGCATTCACCCTGGCAGGGATTAACTGGTCAGGGTCCTGCAATTTATAGCTCTGCTCCTACAGGGCACTGGGCCCTTTAAGAATGGCGTGTGTGCAGGTGAAAAATTAATATCTTTCCACTAAGTAAGTTTAGATAGTTTATATTTTCCTTTAAATGAATCAATTTCATCACGATTTTGAAAATCATCAGAATGAATTTTACATACTATTTATTAGTTTAGAAAGTAGTGATTGAGTATGCAGTTTTATTTTCTTTCCCATTCCCCATAGGTAAATTTATACCCTCTGTGCTTGTTGTTTTATTTTGCTTTGCCTTGTTGTATTGAAGCCATGATAGAAGATTCTTGTCATGGAAACTTTCAAAAACTTGAGTCTTGAATTTATTTATTTATTTCATTGTTTCTATTTTCTAATTATTGAGTCATGATTGTATTTGAATTCCATCTTTCTGCAAGTTAGTTTTGTTACTCCTTTTCTAGCTCCTTGAGTTTGCCTCTTATTAGTTTATTTTCACTATGTTTTATTTAAATAATAAATTTTTCTTATTGCAATAAGATTTCCTTTGCAAACAACTTTGGCCATAATTCATACCTTTAGATATGTAATATTATTATAATTATTTGCTAAATATTCTATAATTATGTTGCTACTTTTATCTGTGAACTAAGAATTATTTGGAGATAATATTTTCAAATGGGATTTTTGAAAACTTCATTGTTAATTTTTATTAGTATTGCATATGTTCAGAAGTATTACCTATACAGATTTGAATGTTACAGATATTTTAACTGTGCCCTGAGCTATGCTAAAAACTTATAAATGTTTGAAGCCAAATTGAAAAAAGTTAATTTTTGATTATTAAAACAATTTTACTTAAAATATGATTTCAGCTGTTTAACATATAACCTTTTATTATCTTGATTTTTCAAATACCAAGAAATATTTGAAAAATTCTCCCACTGATTTTATGAGATCATGTTAATTTTTTTGCATTTTATTTTTATTTTATACATTTTAATGCTATGATATTCAACATGTAAAGACACATAACTGCTTTATTTCTATATCATTCCAGGCCTCTAGTAATAAAATAAAGTTATTGTTTATTCCCATATAATGTTTTTTCCTCAAATTCTATTTGATCTGATTTTAGTACTTTTGATTTTTATATTTCTTAATATTAATTTTGCTATTATATTTTTATCACTAAAATTTTCCTTATTCTTTCTTTCTTCATGTATTTTGGAAGTTATTTCATATTTGTATATCACTAGTAGTTAACTTTAAGTTTTAAAACAATGTATTTCAATTTGTGATTTTCTAATAATGTTGAAATTATAAAATATACTGACTGTCTCATGTAGCTACTAACACTCCTCAATGCCAGGATTGCTGTAGGTCCACGTATTCCAGTTTTGGAGACACACTCACACACACACATACACACACACACACACATATATATATATATATACATAATTTTTGTGTTATAGTGAGTTGATAGAGTTTTCTTTTCTTTTTTTTTTTTTTTTTTGCAAAGTGATGAGACTCATTATACTAGTGCTATCATGGAATATTCTAAACACTTCAAAGTACTACTTAATCAGAATAAAACCATTCTGCTGAATTTCCAAAGATGGGAAGAGAATTGATAATCTTCCATGGGCTCCCTGAAACATACTTCCTGACTACAGCAATTGCCATTACAGTAAATGGTTGGTTGAGCTCATTCCATTGGCTAAGTTCATTCTGATTTAGTAACTCCTTTTTCAGCATGATCCACATGCTGTGTGCAAATGGCACATCCAAGGTCAAGAAGATCAAATTTGGTTGTGAAGGACATAGGATTATACCATTTAATCATTGGGAAAGACTTTAAAATAAATATAGTCAAAATTTGCATTATATGCTTCATATCCTCTACAATGTGTGACTATGTATGTGTAATGACTTAGATCTCCACAGTGGCTTACTTGAAGACTATCTGTGGTCTAAAGACAGTGATTAATGGGTTGGCCCACCCATCCTCCTGATTCTAGATCCCTGCCAGAGTGCAGCTGGTTTTACAGTATCACTTGTCATCAAATGCCTTCAGTATCAAGTACAACTTTAAAGATTAAGAACACATCAAAATTAAAGGACAGAGAGAGAAAGAGAAATAAGAAGAAAGAAATCAAGAAGGAAAAAGTATGTTAAGAGCAAAATGTTACAACGTATAACTAGAAAGAAATATTTATTCTAAGAATTATAAGTTTTGAATTTCAGTAGAGATTTCAATCAGGAAGCTGAAATTTGCTTATTCAAATATGTGTTCCAACTTGTAAAGCTATTTACTTATTCAAATGATACTGCCTTTGCTTAAAATGTGTTTGAACTCCTCACTTTGAATTGTCTTTAGAGTCTACATGACATTTGGTATTTCAGTAGACCTTTGGGTAACTCACTGGTAGTTTGATTCATCATCACTATATGTGACCTATGGACTGTTGTTGATAACCTGGCACAGGCTTATGGTGATCATTTCGGTTCTTTGGGAATTGGAATAGTTCATGGAATATTCATGAAGCAAGGAGAAAAGTCCAATTGGTGGAATCTAAAAGCATCTATGGGTAGCTTGAGTATGTCTTTGGGCGTCTCAGAAGGCAAACCAGCTGTTCTGTTTCTGCTGATTATTACCTTGATGCTGCATTTGTCCCTGTTCTTATTTGAGTTGAGTCTCATTCTTGTGGTTCTTTCCTTTCACATTCTCATTTCTTAGAGTACCTACTCTCTCATGGATGCAGGTGATTTGGATTAATAGAATAATTAGAAAAATAAACAACTATAGAACAAAAAATAAAGCTTTCTTAATGAAATGATATTTTTAAAAATCACTTCAATCGTATATTCTTTAGTTCTTATCCAGCCACAAATTATGCATTAATATATGCACACTGTATCTTATGAAAAAAATCAGTGATATAATGAGATGGCTAACATTAGTTATGTCAGGTACTATATAATGTGCTTTATGTGTATTACTCAATTTCAAGCTCACAATAACTATTTTACAGATGAAGAAGCTGAGGTTTGCAGTTGTTAGGTGATATATTCAATATAACACAGACAGAAAATGGTAAACCTAATATCGAAATTAATTTGGCTCTGTCTGAATGCAGAGCTCTTTTTCTTAAACACAATTCTATGGCATTTAATATTTAATATCTCTATTAAGAATAGACATTAAACTGTATGTATTTTATATACATATAAATGCACACATATACATATGATGCATGTATATATGAATACAGAAGATAATAAGCCCAATATAGAATATTTTTGTTCATATTTCTATGAATAATTAATAGCTTAATATTCTGAATGCTTTCTATGTACCAGTAATAAAAACTTTTACATTTAGTCTATACTTGAATTCTAACAACTTATAAAATATGTTCTATTTTTATCCATGTTTTTACCATTGAGTAAATTATTAGTTAATGATCAAATAATCTTCCCAAGGTCACCTATCTAGTAAGTGGCAGGGCTGAGACAGGAAGCCTCATGCTTTTAAGCTTCAAGACTTAATGACTGATTGGATATATTGGGTGAGGGAAATGGAGGCTGAGATAGATGGTGGTGGCATCAATCACTAGGATAGGGAAGAGAGATGAAGCACATTTAATGAAGAAGCAAATTAATTCAAGTTTAGATAAGTGGAGATTTCCATAGCAGGACAACTTGTCCTTTCCCATAATAACGACTTTCTTTTTTCAAAGTTCAAGTGCAAAATTCTCTACTGTATGCATCTCCTTTTTGATCTACCTAATTGCTATTTCTCTTTATTTCCATTTTACCCTAACCATAACTAGTCTTCCCAGACTTTTCAATTTTAAAGTCCATAGATTCTTACAATTCTATTTGCAAAAGTAAAGAGCTATTTTCTCTGCTTAGACTCCTTAAGAAAAGATTATGTTAAAAAAAGAATGTATAAATAATAATTCAAGTACTCTTATGATAATTTTTTTTGTATTTATCCTTCAAAGTCAAACTGTAGCCTTATTTTCTTTTGGGGGCTCATTCTGACCGAGCTCTAGGATCTTGAGGATATGGCCTTAAGTATTCGGATCCTTAAAGTGGGGGTAATAATATAATCTACTGGAAAGGCTTATAATAAGGATTAAGTTATGTCATTCCATAAAGTACCCAGTACAGTGCTTAGTGACCAGTAAATAGTATCTGTGATTATTACTTTTTATTTCTTTAGGCATCTTAAATAAAGTATGCATGAACTCATTTATCACTTTATAATATTCTGTGGCATTTTGCTTAATTGTTTCCTATGTGATTGCTGTACTTATTTAGCGCTATGGCAAGCTCATTAATAAAATGAATTATAGCTTCATACAGCACACTTATTTTCCCATACAGCACATAGCATAATGCTTAACAATTACAGTTGTTTATTGGTTGGTTATGAACCAACTATAGGAATCTGACAATAGGAAATGTGGTACTTTTAAAAAGTAATATATTTTTCCCCAGTTTTCAAAAAGTGAGTCTTTGATGGCAATTTTTTTTACCTGAAATAAATGTGAGCATAAGGCACATGTTAAGTGGTGAGCCGCAGCAGGATTTCTGTGACCATTTAGGACAGCAAATACTCATTCTTAGCGTTCTGAGTCACATTTTCAGCAGTTGGACTTGGCTGATGGGCAGAAATAGAGAACTGAGGACACTTTGGGGGAAAAAAAAGCAAAACAAAGAGGCTCGGCAAATCTACGCAAACAGCTGTGCATTATAAGGAAAGAGTAGTTGGCTATCATAATATACAAGCTTCATTCCATTCCTAAAGGGTATATAAACTAGGTCAGTTTCAGATTTTCACTTCAATCATTCTCAAAATTCCTCTTAAAAATGCTGTTCTTTAAATAGTTTAAGCTAACATGCAACAAATCTTATTTTATTCATTTGTCCTTATTTCTTTCATTTTTAAACTTGGTTTTGGGCAGTTTGAAAAGGGACATGAGGCAGTACCGACAATTCATCTGACATTTAGGTGTGTTTATGACAGGAGTTTAGTGACATTCTTTAAATTTTATATAAATAAGTACCTCCCCAAACTCATACCTGTTTTAAGTACAGAATGTTCTGTAATTAGTAATGCTCTTTAGGCAATGAGTGATTGTTTAATGCACAATTACTAAATTGTATGTTTTAAGTGCCCAATATATTAGAACTAACTATGTTTCATCTCCAGCCATTTTTTATGTTAGTTTGGTTATTTTTCATATGTAGAGAAATGATATGCTAAGCATTAGAACAGATCTCAGCTACTCAGATAGCAAGTGTTTACCAGGCAACTATTGTGAAGTCACCTGCAAAGCACTGAGGATTCAAAGACAAAATCTAGGAACTTAGCCTTATAAGAGAGACAGGCTATTAATCTTGTTAGTGGCTGTATTTACTATATAAAAGTATGGTCTGAGTATTAGTTTTAGAATTCAAGTATGTTTGTTCAAGTATTCAAGTATACTTACTGCCAGATTTTTACTGCCACCTTAAACCTGTCTCCTGAAATACAAACCTTTATATTCAGTTACATACTGGGAACCTGTTATATTTATGAAATACCTATCAACTGTCAGTATGTTGGGAATACTGTGCTCCTTCCTTCATAGATATGAGGGTGGTAGGAATGATAGTCATTCAACAATTAATTTAAAATAAATAGTGACAAAAATGCTGTGAAGGAGAGGTAGAAGGGGTAATAATACATTGTAGCAGAGTTGAGCTTCAAATTACTCTTTGAAATGCGAAAAAGTAATAAATTAAGTATTACCATTCAAAATGGCAAAGAGAAGAAGAAATCAATTTTAGCAGTTTATTGAACCAATATTTTGCATATTTTGGTAATCATTGGCAATAATGTCACATGGAAATAAAAATGCCAACATTCGCATCAAAATTGAAGATTTAGGTTCTTTCCTTTTCCATAAAAGGAAATGCCATAAGTTTAGTGTTGCATTAAGAAGGCTATGTATATTAACTGGTGATCAAGGAGGGAGTAAGGCAACATAGTATAATATGGTAGGGTGTGTATGTGTGTTATGTGGTATAAACATAGATGATATAGATGAATAGTATATTTGTTCATTTATTTTCATGTGTTCTGTGTTTATAAATAGCATGGCAAATGAAGAAGCTGTGAAATGTATTTAGCATAGAATTTAGAGAGCAGCATGTCATCAACATCATCATCATTTATTGAGTACCTACTATGTGCTACATACTGTGCTAGTTGCTTTACATGAATTATCTCTAATCTTTATAACAAACTCTGCCATCTGTTGTTATGTTGTTATACACATAATTTTATGGTTGAGCAAACTGAGCCTTGGTATTTTGGTAAGTTGCCTAGATCATATGTGTAGTAAATGGTAGACTTGGATTTGAGCCCTGCCTGTTTGGCATCAGAAAGCTGGATGGTTTCAGATTCATGGTGCTGCCTCTCACCTAGAAATAACTGCAGGCAGGCATTAAGGGATTTTGTCTCTCTCAGTTCTCCAGTGTAGTGTAGCTTTAATCACACAACCTAATACTTAGGTTTCCATTTCTCCATCTGTTAAATGATGAAGTGAGGCAAGATTATGTCTAAATTCACATCTAATTAAAAATGTCTGTATTAGTACAAACTCATCCATTCTTTGTAACTAATGCAAGTTTGCTCTGCACTCTTTTTTTTTTTTTTTTTGGATGGCGTTTCACTATTGTTGCCCAGGCTGGAGTGCAATGGCACGATTTTGGCTCATTGCAACCTCCACCTCCCGGATTCAAGTGATTCTTCTGCCTCAGCCTCCTGAGTAGCTGGGATTACAGGCGCCTGCCACAATGCCCAACTAATTTTTTGTATTTTTAGTAGAGACAGGGTTTCACCATTTGGCCAGGCTGGTCTCGAACTCCTGACCTCAGGTGATCCACCAGCCTCCGCCTCCCAAAGTGCTGGGATTACAGGAATGAGCCACTGTGCCCGGCTCTTTAACAAGTGCTTACTTTAGTACAAATGATGTATGAAGAGCTGATTAGAGGAAGGATGGCTCTTTGTGGGGTCACTGAGTCAGATCAAATTAAATATTCAGGTTATTTTATACTCACCTCTACAGCAGAAATCTACACTGCTCCAACAGCAATAAAAACATCAATTATACTGTGCTTATTACTTGCTGGAGAATATTTTAAGCACTTCATGTATATTCATATAGCCTTCACAGCAATACTTTTTACAGATGAGAAAATTGAGGCACAGAAAGGTCTAAGTGATTTGCCCAGAATTACATAGCTGTTAAGTAACAGAGACCAGATTTAAACTTGGGGGTCTAGATCCAAAGTGTAGGTTCACAACCACTACAGACTGTTGTCCCTCAGTTATAACCCATCACAACCACTGCTGAACTCTGCTGTGTCCCTGGCCCCATACTTACTCCCCAACTATCCACAATTTTTCTGAAGATTGTCTTAATGTTTACATTGTTAGAAGTGTAAGCCATACTTTGAAACTCTATCCCATTTATATACAAGCCATACCCTTAGTCAGTGGTTTGGTTTACGTAGAAAGCGGTCAGAGAAAATTAATCACATTTTTTAGATCATCTACTTTTCATAAAATACATGTGGATTTTGTCAACTCTAAAAATCACCAATTAATTTTGCACAGTTATTTTAACAAATTGTAGACTAACTAATCCACAGTTTTCCCAAAATGTTGTGACATTTTAAACATTTAGAAAACTTTAGAATATATTACCATTATTTTGATTTGAAATAATCTATTTTATGTGCATCAACATATTCAATTAACAATACTTATTTACAACATCTGTTGTTTTAAAAGTGGGAAAAATTTCCAAGAAGTTTAGGAGGTAGTTTTTGCCCTGAAATACTACATCAGGAGACAGAGTATAGTGATATAAATAATCCAGAGGAACAGACACTGTATTTGGACCAAGGGACACTACAAAGAAGCATGCTGAGCTTTAGGGGGTGAGGGATGCTGGCAGAACTCAGATTGGTGGTGAGGTGTATTTTATTGATCGTCAGCAGATAAAGGAGAGTAGAAAGGATAAGCCAGCTCATTATTATGAATATCATGAGTTGGTTTGTAATGTTTATGGTCTAGCTTAAGAATCATTCTAGAATTGCTATCTAATTTATAAACAATTACCATATTATTGGAATTGTTATTACTTCTCCATTTACTCCGTCACTTCCCCAGCACATCTGGCACATATTTCCTAACACATAGCCAGGTGCTCAAGAAATGCCTGCTGATTGATTTCATTCCTCATATAACTGAGATATAGACATGGTTGCTGGTGATAGCAATATATGAAAAAACTACACATTTCCATTGGTGAAATTTTGTTATTAAAAGGTTTTTTTCTGGTACTTCAATATTTTATTTATTTTATAATCTTTTTTTTCCATTTATATCGCAATGTGAGTGGGCCAGCACTTCTTTTTAGAATGGAAAAAATCAGCTTCAAAAATAAACAACTGCTTTAAACAACTTTCCTCAACATTTAGTTATATTTTCCACCAAGTTCTCATCCCTAAGCTACTGAGTAAGATTATTCATTCCTTCTGGTGTATTTGACTAAGCTGCCAATTTTCCCTTTTGCTATTTTGAGGAGCTAATTTTCCCACAACATAATATACATCGCTAAATCTCCAGCTTTTTGCTCAGCCTCAGATGATTTAGAAGTTTCAAGAAACATCAGTTTGGGTATGACTTATTTTATTTCACTTAAATGAATTAGAGGATATTATGTATGAAAAATGTCTTTGGAAAAAGAAAATTTTTATGTATTTTGATCAATTTTGCAACAGTTTTAGAAAGAGGACACTTTTCACTCAGATTGTATGGCATGGCATGCTTTTCTTAATATTTTCTAGTATTTCAGATGTTACAGGATTTTTTTAGCTTCCTAGATTCTTTACTTGACTAATACATCATGTACTTTCCCAAACTGTCTTTTGCTGCCACGATGAATAATCCTGAATTTTTAACTTCTTAGTTGTTCTGTAAGACTATATTCCTTCTCCCTCAGTCTATAGCTCTTGAATTTGAGTTCAATTTTTATAACTCTGATATCTTCATATCGATGACCAGTATGGAGATTTCTTTATACTCTCTAGTCTCACCAATCCCAAACAATGTAGGCCACTAAATTTTTCTTCTCTCTCAGACTCTCTGTCTCTCTTTTGAGGGTGGGTTGGCTAAAACAAGCTTTTAAAAAATAAATACTTTTAATTGCTTTTTGTTGTCTAATTGCAAACAGTTTTAGGCTTCCTAGTGAGAGAGAAGGCCATTCTTAGGGGATTCACAGAAGCAGTAGTCATGTGGGCACTCTATTTTTGCCTCCCTGAAAAGTTTTTCTAAGTACAGTCAGTTTAATGTGGATATCAAGATACCGCTTGAAAATTATATATATATGTACACACACACACACACACACGTACACACATATATATACACACATATATATACACATACATATACACACACACACATATATATATATAACAAATTTCCTAGTATTTTATTATACATATTAATATTAGGAAAACGGAAGAGCTATAGAGGAAGAAGAAGCCCCACCGTTTAGCACATCTGCACTTTCTCTTTGTCTAGGTCCCTGGCACTTGGAGATTGGGATTGACATCTCCAAAGAGAATTTGGCAAAGAGTGGCAAGGACTCTGTATTCAAAAAGCAGAAAGTCAACTCTTTAATTACAAAGTGGGAATATTACTATCTCCAGCGTAACAAGCTATGAGGACATATGGGTTTAGTTTATTGGGCAGATTTATTTGAAAAGTGTTTTGAAGAGTATGAACTTGAAGACCAATATTTAGTGGCCTGGCACCCAATATTTGTTGATTGAGTCAATGAATGAAAGACTGTATGAATACAATGTAGTCTTTGTAAAATATTAATTATAAATACATAGTATATATTTAATAATATATAAAATATTATTAATATTAACTGGTTAGATAACATAATAACAGTAAAAAGTCCCACAAACCCATTCAACATTGTTAATTAGCTTTTTGAGGGTCACATATAGGTTTTGGATAACTGAAGGAAATCTGTGTAACTCTTCTCTTAACCACAAACGACCTAATTTCTTTGGAACTCACCCATATGAAGCAAGTGCTATTCCTGTATTCCACTGGCTTTTCCTCTGAGCCTTAGTTTTATTATGCCGGTTGTCTCTGTCTCCCAGTGCAGATAGGTATGAGATAGAAAGTAAGAGTCATGCTCAACTCTGCTGGTCAGGGATACCTGGGGCCCCAGTATAGGTTTTCTGGCTATGAGTGAAGGAAGGAATCTAATACTCGCCTGCTCTAATAATAATCAGATACTCTTCTGAGGGCTAGCTTGGCTGGAAGAGCTCTGATAAGGATATCTTGCTTTGAAGGAGTAAAAACGAGATTTTCTTGGAGCTTGAAGCTTCTTGCTTCCCTGGAGAGTAAGCAAGAGCTGGACAAGCATATAGTAATTTATTTATTTATTTATTTATTTATTTATTTTCTTAGAGAATATCATTAGCTTAAAAAAACGTGGGAGGGCAATGATAAGTGGAAGCCTGGGTTAGGCACTTAACTTTCACATGCTGCTTCTTCCATGAAGAAATGAGCCTGAGATTTGTTTTGAGAAAAGCTAAATTTTATTAGGTTGAGCCATTAGAAAATGCCATTTTGCTAGAGAAAAATGGCTTTTAAAGAGGTGGAAAATGGTCTTTTGAAGTAAAGGTGAGGCCCAGCTCTGACATAAAATTGCCTTATTAGTCGCTTCTTTTTAACAGCAAAAGAGATAATTAATAAGAATTTGTCATGAATGATGATAGTGATTTGCATTTTTAAATTCGTTAGGTTATTTGTTTTGAAGACAGAGATTTAGGCTGAGCTGAGAGTATCAAAACCTTGGAGCCGTACTTTGTGTGCCTGGGCCTAATGGGGGCACATCCTCTCTGGGCATCCTAATGGTCTCAGTAGGATCGTTTTGTTAGCTTGTTTGCTTTGCTTTATTTTGACTTGAAGCAGTTTATGCTTGTATAGATTCTGAGCTTCAACAGGCACTCTCTCTTGTGCTTAGCTCACCATCACTGCTTCTGCAAGCAAGAAACCCACTGTGCTAAAGCCTTAGCTGATCCTGAAAAATGTTAACATGCTTTCTGCCTAATGTTTGCCAACGGGCTGATCTAAAAATGGCACCAAGGAGGTTACCTGTTATACATAGAACAAGAATACATTTTGGGACTGAAATAGATCATGGTCAATGGGGACCTGATCTGCTGACAGAAAGTTATTTTAGCATCCCCAACAATTCATAAAAGTAGAGTGAGATTTTTATATGGTGAATCCTATTTGTTATTGGTTAATTAAAAAAAATGAATCTCTCCTTGATTAGCTTTCAATATCTAATTTCTTTTTCTTTATACTTATTTTCCCACAGTGTTTCTTATGAATTGCATTCATATTTCAAAATTCAATAAATCATTCATTTTTGCACATTTGCAATAGGTAATATCCCTTGCATCACAGTCAAATCTATTTTATCAAATTCATTACTACAAATGTTTCAAAGAAGTGTACCAATATATTATTGAGATAAAATATGGAAAAGTTTAAAACATTTTTTCAATGAAATATACAGATTTTTTTCCAATGTGATCTTCAAATTCCTAGCAAATGATTTTTTTCCAATTAATCTACAATGGATAGTTTGATTTTGTCCCTATTTGCCTGCAATTGCTGGAGTTTATGACTATTGTCCTTGTGGCCTACCCAGGTTAGCATTTGTTCTGAACAAAAAATGTCCTTGCTTGACCAATAGATTAGGTAATCACCCTAACAAGGGAACAAATGTAAAAGATGGTCTTCTAGCAGTGAACATTTGCTAAAGTATTTAATTTAAATGTTTCCAAATAGTAATCTAGATATATGTGACTGTAATAGACATACTATAATGGGCTTAAAGGTTAGTAGTACAATCAAAAAAGGATTTTAGAATCCCGTAAGAATGTGTGATAATGTTTGATTGCAGTTAACTTACTGTCCAGTCACTTTGTAGCCAGTAAGTGCACCTAGCTACTCACAGTTTTAGAAATCATAGCACTATGAAGTTTCTAAGCTTCAGAGAACATAAAATTGAGGGGTAAGAAGGATCTCAAGTCTTTATTACACTACAACATCTGTGCAAGGTTTAGGCCAATTGTTCTATAATGTAAGACGGTTAAATACTGTCTTTAAATACTGCTGCTTTGTTCTCAGAGATTTTGTTACCAGACTATAGTCCTCATTTAGGAAAAGAAAATATATGGAAAGGAGTAAAATTTGGGGCTGAAGCAAGTAGGATAAAATCACAAATATGAAGGTGAGAGGTGAAATCCTGAATAAGATGTCCTTTATTCCACCTGCTGGGATCTAGCATGTGCATTACCTAAGTGCTTCCATTTTTAGGTCTATTTTGTAAAGCAGTCATCAAAGATACCTTAACGTTTCATCATATTTGTTGGCCTGAATGAAAATACATGCTGGACTTTTACTGGGGAGAGACAGTATGAATCCAAGTGTTACATTTGGGGTAGAACCCTGCTGTTGTTTGAGGTAATGGTAATCTGCTTGATAGACCGAATTCAGTACTGTGTAGTGCAGCCTAATTCATTACAGAGTTGTTCATCTCAGAAATAGCTACATGAAATAAAATATTATATATGTTTATTTCAGGCCAATCTGGCAGCACAGTAGAGTGAGCACAATCATCTACTCTCAGCAATGCAAGCAATGAGATGTAATTTGCTTCTGTTTTACTAGCTCACCATAATATTCTTCCCTAGTTTGAATGCTCCCCACAATCAGATTACTGTGTTTCCTCCATGATATTTCTTTGTCATTAATATCCTCTTTTCTGGCAGAGGATCTCTTTATTTATGATAAAGTTTAATAGGTTTCCAAAGGATAAACAAATCTGATTATTTTCAGGGTAACACACAGATTGGATGTTCAGTGGAGGACTTAAGATTTTTTCAGATCACCTGGATGGGGTTCAAAGTCTAGGTCTACCAGGTTCACTATTAGAATAATTTTAGGGTGCTGTGAAAATAGAGACATTAGCCAAAAGCCTCTTGATATATTGAGAGTAGTTGATAAAGTAAAATAAAAAGAATGCAGCCCAGTGTGGGGTAAGTAAAAGGATGCAGTAATTTATTTGGTGCTGCTATTTCCAATATACTGTAAGGCATTCTGGCTGACAGCCCCAGCCTCAACTGCCAGGCCTGGGAGTGAGGACATCTTCTGGGTGATTCCAACCCAGCCCTTCTGATTGAAACCACATGAGAGACTCTGAGTGAATGCTGCTTACCTGAGTCCAGCCAGCCTCCAAACCCTTGAGAGATAAAATTAAAATGATTGCTGTTGCTTTAAGCCACTATGTTTAGGGGAGATTTATTATGCAGCACAAGATTAACTGGGAAACACATGCTTTTAAGTCACATACAACCAAGTTCAAATAATGACTCTGCCTCTTGCTAGTGGGATGATGTCAGCCAAGATCTTGACTTTTTCTTATTCTGTTTGTTCATCTTACAGATGTCTAATCTCGAATGCTGCAGGTGCTCAATAAATATGTTTCTCTTCTTTCCTTCCTGTTTTACTTCCTTCCTTCCTTTTTTGCGCCTTTTCTTCTTTCTATCCTTCTTTCTCCCCTTTGCTTCCTTCCTGCTTTCCTCCTCTTCCTTCCCCTATAAATTTAACTAAGTGCAGCTGCTTTTGTGGTAGGCCATTTTAAACTGGAATATGTTAGTGCCAGGTGTGGATTTAATTGGACCTTTACTTAGAACGCAGGCAGACAGAATTCAGGATGCATTTATTTTTTCAGTGAAAACTGCTGAATCACTGGTTCCAAAATCGGCATAAAATATGCCCAGACCTTCCACAGACGGCGTGTGTGATGTGATCAAGTGCCTTAGGGGAATGGGGTAAACAAATTTTTAAAAAAGGAATGTTTCCATCAGTTCACAGCGAACATTATCAGAATTCAGTTCAGGCAAAGAATATCTTAAAAAGCTAGATAAAGGAAATGAAGGCATGAGCAACATGTTATTTGTAGGAATGACATACATTATCTCCTTGGCAACTGCAGGGTGGCATGCAATTTGGCAATCTATGTTGTGTCATCTTGGATGCCTGGAAGTCACTGTTTCCTATGGAAACAAAGGAAAGAACAACATGAGAAAAAGAGTTCTGATTTTAGTATTCTGGAAAAGTATTTTAAAACCAAGAGACCAGCAGGCTTCCACGGCATAACTAGAACTCAAAATGGCATTAAATTTTTATTTATTAATTCCACAATGCTTTAGAACATGAATTAGATCCAATTATTTTTGAATCTGCTGCACTTTTATTATTGCTTTGTGTTCAAAAGATGACTTAAGAAATTTGTGTGGAACTTTCAATGCACCAGTGCTTAGTCTTTCATAAACATCAGATTCTCAACTTACGCACATTTATTTATCTATTCATTCAACAGATATTTGTTAAAAGACTAATTTGTGCCAGGCGTTGTACTAGGTATCAAGGCTGTATAGACTCCTTATGTCTTATAATCATCCTTTCCTATTCGCAGAATGTTGTGGCATTTCTTTATTTGAAGTGAATCAATAATTTAGCAAGCACTGACTTAGCCCCACAGTGGAGTCCCTATTATATTGGGAACTAAGAGTTAGCAGAAATGAAACATAAGGCTACACAATACTTGATGGGACACAAAACAATTCTCATAATGCTGTTTCTTTGGTTAGTCATTTGGGAAACCTTTCTTGGGTGTAGAAAAGTGCTGTTTTTATCAACAGCCTCCAAGTAAATGGCTCCAAAATATTTATAATAGTGACTCACGCTCTATATAATTTCATTTGATAGTTCATTTGACAGAAATTGAATGTCTTAAATGAAGGAAATGAAGGTTGCAATATAGCTGGCTAGAATCTATCAGTTTCCACTTTGATGAAATTCAAAGAAGTATCAACATTATAAAATGCTACAAATGCAGCTTAAAGGGTTTCAGTGAGACTGCCTGGTCACAGCAGGAGAATGATATAGCCAGTTACATGAGATTAAAGCATCACATCAGTCTTGCCAGGATCACCAGTGGCCTATAGAAATTTTTTGTTGTTGTTTTCAAAATAGTGCTGGAGATAAGAACTTGAGGTTTTATTGTGGAGCAGAAATTTGGGTTCAACAGTCAGCTCTTCCCAAGGACAATGTTACCTCTCATTGATTTGTTTACTGTCTTTAAAGCATTGCTTTGACTGCTTATTCTTCATCTCCTTTCAGTCTCTTCCTAGAAAAAGGTGAGGCATTTATTTACATTCCTGGAGACTATTAAGGAATGATTTTGAGGGAGATTGCTAGTATCTACCAAAGTCTCCACAAAAAGCCTGTAGGCTACTTTTTCAAATGGTGTTTTAAGGTGTTCTTTTAGCTCAGAAGAGTGGAAGCTATATGCCTGATTTTATAATTCCAGTATTAAAATTAACAACCAGATTTCACTTCCTGAATTTTCCTCCTATAGGGTCTTATTTTACTATGTCCTCTCTAAGAGCAGTATTTCAGTTTAGAATTTTCTTGGGTTTGTGGAGATATTCATGGAAGATTTAAATAGCATTGCAGCTGTACAGAAAAGCTGTTCTAGTGTGTGCTTTAAAAATCAGCTTTTCAATAAACGATAGCTTTAGAACTATGATTGAGAGGAAAAAACCAGTCCTTGTTAAACAAGCTATCACAGCTACAGGCTACATGTCCCAAGCAGTTTGAAGAACAGGCTCATATTTCTCATCCCTTTGCTCCAGGAGAGGCAGGTTGGTGTCCATGGGCCTCATGCCTTTCCTGTGTAGCCTCAAAGGGCAAGAGGAAGGTGCAGGTTGATGTAGGAGTTGACCCTTTCCAACTCAGTAGCAGTCACTCAGGCATACTTTTCAACAGGCAGATGTATGAGACAGGAGAGGAAAAGCATTTCATTCTGGTTATCAGTTAATATTCCAGGACTGACTCATTAAACAGTCCATTAACTACTATCATGGCCCAGGAAGTATAATCTGGGTAGAATGAAAGACTGTCATCTGGTTTTCAAGTGGATTTAAATGTGCTACTTTTGACTTTATAGCTCTGCCAACTACTTACTTCCTAAACACATTGTGTGGAACATTTTGAGTATACAAGAGAGAATGATTTTGTTGTTGATTTATTTTAATACTGTTTACTCATCATTTATTTTTCATCGAATTCATTTGACTTACTTTCATTGAATACTTTCCAGTGTTTGGTACTGTGCTAGTTGGTAGGGAAAGGAAAACAGTTAGACACTGTTGAGGCCCTTAAAGAAACTCACAGTCTGGAGGGGCACTCACACAAGCGTGCTGAATGCTAGGCTAGGAAAAAGCATTAGGATGCGGTGTGAAGATGCAATGGTCCTGATTTGAGTTTATATGGTGTAAGATTTGATGAGGGTGGTGGGGTGTCAGAATAAACCTTTCAAAGGAAGAAATATTTAGATACTATCTTGGAAATTATAAAAGGGAGGTAAAGAAGATGAAGGAGAGAAGACAGTGAGAAGAGAATGTGCAAAGAACCAGAAGGAAGGGAAAATGGCTCACATTTCTAGAACTAAACTAAGACATCCTGGCTAGAGTCCAGGTGTTTTAATTTGGGTTTCTCTCAGAGCAGACTCTGTTGCAAGGATGTGTGCAAGCAATTTATTTTTAAGGTGTTCTCAAGAAGCACTGTGAGGGAAGTGAGAAGGAAAAGAAGAAAAGCCAATCAAGTGTCATTAATGAGCGGGTTTACCACTGTGTGCTCATTATGCTTGGGACCTTCCCAAAGTATGTGGGGGACAAGCCTTAGAACTGCCCCCTGGCTGACAAAGAAGTTGGAGTACTTAACAATTCCTGTCTTTTGTTGATTAGGTTCACTTAGCAGTGTTATTTACATTGAAAATGTATATATTTAAGGTGTGCAGCATCATGTTTTGACATACATGTACATGGTGAACTGATTACTACAATCAAGCTAATCAACATGTCTATCTCTTAACATAGATACTTTTTTGTGTGTGGTGAGAATATTTAACGTTTACTTTCGTGCAAATTTATAGTATACAATACAGTATGATTAACCGTAGTCCCGATGCTGTGCACTTGATCTCTAGAATTTACTCATGTTACATAACTGAAATATTGTACCCTTTAAACAACATCTCCTCATTCCCCCCTGGCCCACACCACCACTGGTATCCACCATTCTACTGAGAAATTAGTTAATGGGTACAATGTATGCTATTTGGGAGATGGATACCCTAAAAGCCCTGACTTGACTACTACACAATCTATGCATATAACAAAACAGCACATGTATCCCATAACTGTATTACACATTAAAAATATATAAATAAATAAATAATGTTTATAAAGATTCTGTAGGCAGTATGTCCCTCAGGCAGAGAAAGGCAGTAAGTTACCAGCCTATGTGGAGTAACCTCCTGGGTAAGCCAAGTGAATATGGACCAGATGCTGATAGCCTTTGCTAATACCAGGGTATCTGAGGTGGCTGAGAGGGTGGTTTGGGGAAAGGAAGGGGATGATGAGGCTGGACTGGGAGGCAGGGCCCAAATCATGTAGAATGCTATGCCATATAATTGTTTCCCCTGAAAACAATCAGGTGCCGCTGAAAAAGTTTTAATAAGAAATTGACATGATCACATTTATAGTGTGTAAATATTATTTTAATGAAGAGTAGAGAGATAAAAGGTGCATAAGGATGTTAAGTCTCAAAATGTTAATAGGTTGTGCAATAGCCAGGTGAAAAATGTTGAATGTCTTTGCAAGGGCTGTGGAGAAGAAGAGACAGATTAGAAAAATACTGAGAAAAACTGAAAGGAAAAGAGAATAAGGCAGAAGGAAGCAGAAACAGCTGAAGTTTTGTGGCTTGAAAGCTAGGTGGATAGTGTGCTAATCTCTGAGATCTAAATTACAGCAGGAGATATATTTGTTTGGACAAATATATCAAGTTTATTAGATAGCAATAAATTCGTACCTCTATTAGACTTTGAATATGGGCAAGAATGTAAGTTCCATAAGGGTAAGAACTTTGGGCTGGTCTCTACTCTCCTATTACCAGAGCCAAGAACAGTGCCTGGCACTCAATAAATATCTGAAGAATTGAATGAATAAATGGGTAGATAGATGAATAAATAAATTAAAAGTTTGGTATGACTCTAGGATATCTAAATGATGTCTTGCTGGCTATATGCGTCTAGATGTTAGAAAAAATTGGGGGGAGAAGACATTGATTTTATGATATTGATATAAATATTGTATTCAAAGCAACTGAACAGGCCCATTCACCTGAAGATTAAGAAAACTGTGATAACTGACAGCTAAACCCTATGGAAAAATAACACATTAGAGTTAGGTAGAGAACAAGCATCCCACACTGGAGACTCATAAAGGCAAATGGAACATTGCTAGAATATAGAATAATGGGAAGAATTGAAAGAAACAAAGAATTCATTAACAGTGTTACATACTGAGACAGTATGTAAGACATAATTTTTTTTTTTTTTTTTTCTGAGACAGAGTCTCACTCTGTCGCCCAGGCTGGAGTGCAATAGTGCAATCTCAGCTCACAGCAAACTCCACCTTCCGCGTTCAAGCAATTCTCATGCCTCAGCCTCCCAAGTAGCTGGGATTACAGGTGTGCACCACCACGTCTGGCTAATTTTTGTATATATTTTTTAGTAGAGATGGGGTTTCACTGTGTTGGCTAGACTGGTAAGACATAGATTTTTAAGTGCTAATTATAGTGATCCACAAATAATTTCAAAGGAAAGATGGGAGAATAATCAAGTAACAATGAGTTAAAAAGTGAGTGACAGACGAAGAAGTGGAAACCATAATTGTAGACTATTTTTCCCCAGACTGGTAGTGGTAGATAATAGCTGCTGGAAGAGCTCACAGATTTGAGGAGTCTCATGAGTGGATGTTCCATAAAGAAAAGAATTTTGTACTGTTTTTCTATACTTGTATCACCAGAACCAAGAAGAATGCCTGGAACATAAATAGGTACTCAATAAATATTTGTTGAATAATGGGATGAGTAACTAGATGGCTGGATGAATCAACAAATTAAAAGTATGTTATGCCTTTAAGACATCTGATTGGTGTCCTACTGGATATATGTTTGCTTATTTATAACCCAAAATAAATTTTAGCATGCTATATTTTGAGTAAGTGCAAATATTTTTAAGTTGTTAATATTAAGTAGAATAATATCCACAGGATTCTTGATTTGATGCCTCTCTTGAAGCAGTCACCACCCCCAGAGGAAACCTTTTAAGCCTTTTAAACCTTGGAGCTCTTAATCATCTCTTTACAATTGGCAGATCTGGGCAAGATGGTAAGAGTTTTAGTTAGTTCTTAGTGTTGCTCCAAGAATGCTGATTATGTCCACCTAGGAAAACTAAATAAAATGAATTTTGAACATGGCACAAAATACAGGCTCTCATACATTTCCAACATTTACCGAAGTGGAAAGTTACACTATTATCATTTAGTTCGGTTGAAAAATACAAATATCTGAGTATAGAAATAATGGACAATTCTATAGTAATATTTTACCTGACAGGGGCCATCTACAGATCTGAGTTAGAATATTAAATGATAACAATAGAATAAAAACATTTAACAAATATTGATCATTTACTATATGCTAGAGCAATGTGTTAAGCACTTTATGGAAATTACCACACCACTAACTCTAAGTAGTAGTTATTGTTATTATTCTCACTGTACTCAGGAGAAACCTTAAGCACAGGAAGGCTAAATAAGTTACCCAAGGTTATCAAGCTAGTATCTAGCAAAGAAGTCCAAAACTTGAATCTATCTGATTTCAGAACCTATGGTTCTGACTTTGTTTTTTTAAGTACTAACATAAGAATGATAATGAATGATAATGATAGTTCATAGTTTTGGTTTTAAGATTTGTTTTATACAAGTTGATAGAGAGCACATTTCCTTTACTGCCTACTAGATATTTGGGTCTTCTAGTTTCTGGCCTGCCTGGCTGAAGTGGTTATATTGGCAGTATACATTAATGTGCTGATGAGCCATTTGCCATAAATTGCAACTCAGCTACTGGTTCAATTCATGCTAAATTTGCAATCTGCCTTTACTGAAGTGCAAAATTGGCTTTCTTGTCATAAAGTGGTAGAACATGCAAAATAGTCTAATACCTTATTTTCTAGCTCAAGTAAGATTAGCTAGACTCAGAGAAAGTTAAAAAAAGTTTCACTTTGGATGAACAGCTGTTTCAGCTTGAGAGCCTTGTTAAACGTTGAATGTTTTTTGATAATGCCCATTGGAAACCATAAGCTGATAGCTTAGAGCTTACTCTTCAGGACAAGTTAAATTATTTTCTGGAAAACAGCCAAATGGCTTCAGCAATTTTTTGGGGGGTGTTGAGAGTGGGGGGTGTCTGTTTAACAATGTAAGTGCTACCAATCGGTGTCACAGTAGAACTTGAGTTTGTTCTGCTGACTTAATGTGCTGTTTTACTATAGATGGAGTAGATTTGTAATGAATCGTGTTAATAGGCTAATTCAACATATGCTTTATGACCAATTGACTACTTCCATTGGTAAAGACTAGGGGGGAGAGGACTGATTTTAAAAATATAAAAACTGACACAATAGGTGACTTAATGAATCCTCTTCTGCTACATATACATGTGTACACACAGTTTCTTTATACATAATTTGGCAAATGTGTAAATGAACTTTATTAATTTTAATTATTTGTAGAAAATTTTGAGAGTGATTGAAGAATCATTCTCAAATCAGAAACAAGAGATAGAGCTCATGTTGATACCTTCTCTGGGCTACAGATGGAGCTGAAATTTCAGTATCCTATGTACCAAAGGAAAAATGTTTCAATCAGTTTTACCATATATCTTGAATAGTAAATTTTTAAATAGCTTTTTAAAGTGCTATATCCAAATTTCAGGGATAGTTTGTGGAAGAAAGATAGGGAATAGATTTCCTCTTGTAGAAGAACATCATAAAAATATTTTTATCACATAGAAGATGCAGATTTTGAGTAGCGTTGATGCATTTTTAAAATAACTCACAGGGAAAGTGTCTTCAATTAAAAATACAACTTTGCTCAGCTAGATTGCACTTGTTAAGATACAGTTTTCTGTAGAATAAATCAACTAAATGTAAGCCTATTTATAAATATTTATTTATGCCTGAATGTAGAGGATATTTGTGATACAAAGTATTATCTATAAGCACTTCATGACAGTCAAGCATCAAAGTAGAAAGAATATTATGAATGGGAGTAAGAACGATCAGTAAGAACCTAGAACAATTTTCACATGCAATGGGAAGAAAGGATTTTCTAATCATGAGAAAATTTTTTGTGAGATACAAAAAAAGTTAGTACAGTATTTAGCTTATAATGGAAACTATGTAAATGTAAGTCAAATCCAAACTGTTTACAAAGATCACTTAGGGGTTATTGTGGACAAATTTCAGATAAACTTTTTTCTGTTTTTAAAAAAATCTCATAAGCATGTATTTTTAATTCCATGAGTATATATATTTTCTATTCCAGGTGGCCTCTTGAAGTGGTTAAGAGTATGTATTTGGGATTCAAATAATGAATAACACATTTTAATTGTATCATGCTGGGAGAGAGAGGTGCTCAACGTTTTAGGTTTCAGTGCCCTCATTGGGAAAATGAAAACATTAGTACTATCTCATGGGTTGTTGTAGGAACTATGTGAGGTTATTTGTGAAAACCCTTTGGGTAGTGCCTGGCCCATATTAAGGGCTCAATACATTGTAGAAATATTGATGATGATTCAGGATTTCTGCCTGGAAATTGATATTATCAGATATTAATTATGTTAGAATAGAATGCATTATAAAATTGTTCACTTTAAAAGAAAAAGTAAGAAGAGAAGGGAAATTTAGAATATCTTCAAGAAACCTCAAATTTCTGTTGACGAGGAAGAGTATCGGTCTGCCTTATCCTTATACCACTGAGAAAAATCTTTGAAAAATTGTTTCTAATATCAACAGCATCTTCTTCCCTCACCCCATAAGGGAATGAGGAGCTCTTTTGCCTATTTAAAACTTACTTGTTGCTAATATCTCAGCTTAAGTATTACTTCCACAAAGAGGTTTTCCCATCTCCCAGGCTGGGTAATGTATTCTCTAGTACCTCTAATTTTTCTTTATACCATTTTGTGTTTATTTTTTTGTGATTCTTGAGAGAAATTGCAAGGAGTGTATTATTTTTCACCCCTGTGCTCCCAATGCCCAGCAAAATAACTTGAAACAGTTGAATGAATGAATGAATGAATGAGTTGAATCAGTGTCTTTAATAAGACCTTATTACTTGTGTCTTTAATTGTGGATCTTCTAGTACCCACTTGACCTGGATAATAAACTCCAACAAGAGATGAAACATGGAACTTGAACTATTTTTCACTAAAAATAGATCTATTACAGTTATTATAAATGTGTATGTTCAGTAGGCAAACATTGTCTGGAATTCCAAAGAAATTGAAATTGGAATTGGAATTGGAAATTGGAATTCCAAATTCAGCAAGGTTCTTGGCTCATCAAAGACTTCCTCACCTTGCATAGCTATGATTTTACAGAGGTACATGGCTTATAATTCCTGAGCTATGGAATATTTTCTCCCCAACAAAAATATACTGAAAATCCCACCTTGATAAATGATTGTTTTTAAGACAGTGCCCCTGTTGCCTTTGCTGATGTAGATGAAATTGTAACTCAGACTACTTGCTATGCGAGCCTCCTATAGGATTGGCATGGACTTGAATCTTTCTGGATGGCTATTCATCATAGCACAATTTCATTGTGATCAACTCATATCAAGTCTATATTAAGAATAAAGCATTGTGCAAATATTGTCTGAGTTTGAATGTAATTTTTGAATATATTGAAGCTGAATAAAATAATTCCCATAGGATAATGTGGATGCTGTAAAGGTGAATTTACTTGGCCATCTAATTTAGCATTCTTTTGCAATGTTTTATGAGATCTCTCTCTATATATATTAACTCCACTTTCAAGGATTAAAAATATTCTTAATATAAAGTGTGAAAAAGAAAAGTTATAAATTATATTGTTAATTACATTTTTCAATATTTAAACAAATGCATGCTTTGAAATCCAAAACACATGTACACTTGCACACATACACACAGAAACATACTTATTCACATTATGAGTGAGTCATAATCACTCACTGTCTGAGTGAAAATATTCAGGGAGGTGAAGATATTCAGGGAAAAATATTTGGTGGTTGAAGAAGCAGCTCAAATTATGTCTAAACTCTGAGGTTAAATAAAAGCTCCAGTTAACCGAATTCCCCTGATTTGGGTTAAGAGGTGCTGAAAATAACTCAAGAGTTACCTGGAGGAATCTTATCTAGGCAATTTTGACCAAATTAGGAAGAGGATGTAGATGCCACCTAGTGGGTGTGAAAGTATTTTCTCTCATCAACCACAAGTAAAAATATTAAAAAGAAATTAATGCTTAATTCTTGTCAAAAGTATTTTAGCTTTTCTGCATGTATTTTTTAATCTTGGCTCTATCTAGAATTTTGGGGTTACCAGAAAAGTATACCCACTCAGTAAAGAAGGCACAACAGAAGAGACTAGAAACAAAGAAAATACCTGAAAGAAGAAAGAGTGATACGTTGAGGTGGTTTTTTTCCTATAAAAAAGATTAGAAATTTTGGAAGACTGTGTGTCTTGAATTTAATTTTATTGACGTTAGATTATTCTTTTAGTTTCCTCAGGTTGCCATAACAAAATAGCACAGACAGGCTAGCTTAAACAATAGAAATTTATTTCTCACAGTTCTGGAGGCTAGAAAGTCTAAGATAAAGGTTCCAACAGGGTTTGGTTTCTTGTGAGGATTCCTGTCTTGATGTGAAGATAGCTGTTTTCTTACTGCGTCCGCACATGATGGAGAAAGGTGGAGGTGGTGAGAAGACAGAGAGAAACCTGGTATTTCTTTTTCTTTTATGAGGGCACCAGTTCCATGGGACAGGGCTCCACCTTTGTGACTTCACTGAACCTTAACCACCTCCTTAAAGGTCTTGTCTCCAATATAGTCATGTGGAGAGTTCAGTTTTCAACATATGAATTTGGGAAAACACATTCCAGTCCACAGTAATGATTAAAACCTCTTAATATTTGCATTTTTGACCTTTGACATTTGTTGCATTCTGCCATCCCTAGTCTGGTGGGCTACACTGCCCCATTTCCCACTTGCAATTTATATGTTGAAGAAAGTCCTTTTGACTACTATAATTGACATAAGAGATAAAGGGAAAAAAGTGACACTATCGTGCCAGACCAATAGATTCACAGATACAATTCTTTTAAATATTCCAATATATTTAGAAAGAGGCCCAGCCAAACTGGGTTGCCAGTGTTGTAATTGTGAGCCAATGCTATGGGTATGTCTTTTCATACATAATGACATATGAATATTCTTGTAGGTTGGGATTGCAATGCTTTCTCCAATCTGTGCTGTTTCCCTGATGACCACTTTCTGGATTTTACTGATAGTTGGTAAAGTCCCAGAAAGAAACAGTGATCTGGCCAGGTGCTGTGGCTCATGCCTGTAATCCCAGCACTTTGGGAGGCCGAGGTGGGCGGATCACCTGAGGTCAGGAGTTCGAGACCAGCCTGACAAACATGGAGAAACTCTGTCTCTACTAAAAAATACAAAATTAGCCGGGTGTGGTGGCACATGCCCGTAGTCCCAGGTACTCAGCAGGCTGAGGCAGGAGAATTGCTTGAACCTGGGAGGCAGAGGTTGCGGTGAGCCAAGATTACGCCATTGCACTCCAGCCTGGGCAACAAGAGCGAAACTCTGTCTCAAAAAAAGGAAAAGGAATAAAAGAAACAGTGATCTGATAGAATAGTACACAAGATCCCCTTCTTATATAACCCACATCTTTTTTTAGACATTGAAACACTTGTGGCTGTAGTCTTTCCTACATGGCACATGACATTAGGTGTAGTAGATAGTTCAGTTAAAAGCATGTTAGCTGAGTGCCAGGTGCAAAAGAATCACTCAAGAAAAGTTAACCATTGTTTTGGCTGTTGTTGTTATTGCTACTTTTTCCTGAAGAGCTTTTTGACATACGTCTTATGCATAAGTTATAAGGTTTACTCTAGTGTTAATTCGCACCCATACTACCTATATGAATTTTGATTTTTCTATTGCATTTTGTATTTATTTGTATTTATTTCTCATTGTCACCAGCAACATCCTTTCCCTGACTGACTTCACCATAGAATATTCTTTTTTTAAAAACTTTTTAAAATTATACTTTAAGTTCTGGGATGCATGTGCAGAACGTGCAGGTTTGTTACATAGGTATACACGTGCCATGGTGGCGTGCTGCACCCATCAACCCGTCATCTACATTAGACATTTCTCCCAATGCTATCCCTCCCCTAGCCCCCCACCCCAAACAGGCCCTAGTGTATGATGTTCCCCTCCCTGTGTCCGTGTGTTCTCATTGTTCAACTCCCACTCCATAGACTATTCTTTCCTTCAGTGATCATTTGCTTTGGTAATTATTAGACATGATGGCCATATTTTCATAGACGTATAATATTGTCTTCTAAAATTTTGTTTCCCGTAATTATTTATTTCTGTGACATATCATTTTCTTTTGGAGGCAGAATCTTATTATGTGACTTCAGCTGGGTTCTTTCTATGTAATATTCGTTTGAATCCTACTATGTGCTAGACATTAAGCTAAGTGCCTTACATGCATTATCTTATATATTTATTAGGAGGAAGGCAGCATTATTACTCCTATAGCAAGGACTTTGAGGTTTTGAGAGGCTAAATAACTTGCTGAATATCTCATAGCTAGTAAATGACAAATTCGGTATTTGCAACCAGGTCTGTCTTATTTGGGAGCCCACAATTTTAACTGTTTAGCAAGTGTTTTTCAATTTCTGATCCCTGGATCACTGGCAATGGCATAGCTAATGAAAAACACTTCCTGCAAATAGGGCTTGTTTGAGACTTTGAGTTTTTAACCAGTCTCAGATTATTTTTATAAACACTTTGTATGACCACAATACTGCTTTTCTACATTGAATAAGAAAAGATTCATCTAGCATAGTATCTGTATTTAGAGGAAGTGAGTGGAGTGTCCTTTGCACTCTTTTCTCTCCAGGGTTATGTTGGCGGCATTGATGAAAGCAGTTCCTGGCATGATTTCAGGTAGCATTTGAACAAGTTTGCTTAATCAAGCTAAGAACCTCTGCTCTGACCAAAGAAGTCTCTAACAAAGCGGTTTCCTCCATTGGAGCCATGTGTCTACCATACAAAACATTTACAAATAAAAAGGAAACACTAGGAATCAGTATGAAACAAAAGTAATCACAAAGTCACCTATCTTAAAGAAATTCTAATGTTTTAAACCCTCAACTCTAAATATATAAAGGGAAAATGAATGGATTCTTTAAGATTTCTTTTTCTGGTAATCCCAAATGGAAAACAAAAGTTTATCCCAGTGCCTGATATTGAAAGTAGTATTTCTGTAACTTATGGAAATACAAACATTGAATTAAATGCCAACATTGGGAGGAAATTAAATACAATAAATAGGGAACTCAGCATTTTGGTTTCTACATTTTGGAGCTCAATATATGATAGAGTGCCTTGGTATATAAAATATTTAGCATGTTTATTTGGAGGGGATGTGTTAAAAATTTCTACGTGTAGCACGTTCTAAAAATGCTGTTGATATTTCTCAGTAAATCATTACCTTGGAGTTTAGTTCTAGCTGCTCTACCACATTTGTTTATTTCCCTATTAAATAAGATGTGTGGCTTACCCATGAAGTCCTGTCCAAATGATCTTGAATAAATGTCTTTATATTACTAGATTCTTTTTTTTTAGTATGTGACTCATTGATATTCTAGAAGATAAACCTATTCGTTATCAGTCTTGTTAGTTTTTAATTTACAAGGATTAAGTTACATTTTATTAAACTTCATTAGCTTCTCAAGCAAGTAATATGAATGTAGCTGTGTGCA
This sequence comes from Homo sapiens, assembly GCF_000001405.40. Lineage (NCBI taxonomy): Eukaryota > Metazoa > Chordata > Mammalia > Primates > Hominidae > Homo > Homo sapiens. Next base: position 46,934,081 of record NC_000004.12, on the reverse strand, counting down.
TTCTGCAGACCTAATCTTAGTCACTTTATCTCATTGCTGCTAGAGTCATAAGTTGAGATGAGTTTTTTTTGCAGTTGATAAAAATTATTTAGAAATTGTGTCAGATCACAGTCATGACTGACGAATTGCCTGGATCTGCTCCTGTTTGCCTGTTGCTGCTTTAATTTGTTGGTAATGTTTAAATCTACCACCTTGCATCTCTTTTCTTGCTTCAGGCTATTGTGACTAATGACAAAGTAATTTCAAACTAAATCATTTTTTAAAATTCAAATGAAGCTTAGGTGCTTTTTCTTGTTCGAAACCACTGTGCATCAGCTAAATCATGATAGAACCACTGAAGTCTCTACACTCTGTACGAAACACAACATCACTCTGACACATTAGTTGCACCAAAATGTGAAAGCTGGGTGAATATTCTTCCCAGTGAGTCGTGTGCCAGATAGATCAGCAGATACCTTATTCCTTTTGTGGTCTGTCATCATGGAAAATGACTACTTTTAACAGAGTAAAACTTGAGACATAACTGCAAAAATAACTTGAGTGTCATTTAACTGCTTGGCAGAGAGCAATGATTTAAGCCTCAAATCAGTCTAATTCCACTTTCCTTTATGTAGGATATGATATACAGAATAGTGAAACTTCTAAGGCATTCTCAGCCAGACTTGGGATTGAGTCAAGATAACTTAAATGCCTTAGGCACTACCTGCAATATTCTAAAGATGTGTCCCATAGAAAAAGAAATAATAAATTGGAGATCAGATAAAAATTTTTGACACTTTCTAATTTGAAAAAGGATCTTGATTCTATAGGATATCCATTTTAATGCAATTTATCAAATATGAAATAGGTGCCTACTGTGTGCATTAATCTACAATGATTGATAAGACAGTCTTTATACTCTAGCTCATTACTTCTTTTAAACTGGAATAAAAACACTTGATCTTTGTTTTCAGACAGTAATCTTTTTGGTACTGTTCATGTTGCACACCCCACTCTCAAAAAGTCTCTTACTTCATTGTTCTTTTTTCTAACCACCTTAGACTGATTCTTTTTATTTTTGCTTAGACTCTCCTCTTTCTCTAGGCATATTCTTCAAATGTAAGATTTTATTTCTTCGATATTTATAACTTATCCAATAGTAGATATCATCAGAATATAGTTTTCCAACTGTCAAAAGCATGACATACAAATAATGAATGGACAGGTCTCCAAGATTGGTTCAATTGTTAATTAATGAGAGACCCACTTAGATGGTAAAATGGATTCAAAATCTTTTTGAGGAATGGCTACGTATAGGCAATTTTTTAAAAGGAAAAGTAAAATAAGACTGGTAGGTTAAATACAGAAGTGCTTAATGTCTGACAAGGCAATAAAACCATAACCTTTCATGATCTTTTGTACTAGACAGGAATCCATAATTGAATATGTTAACTTGACAGTGTTTGGGTTCTAATAAAATATTAAATGGCAAAATCAAACTCAAGTAAATTATTCTAAAGACTTAATAATCCTTGAGTGGGCTTGTTAAACAATACTCTATTATGACATTGAAAGGACATGCTGTATTTTTTTCTGATGTCCAAGTCTTGTATAATTTTTCTTAACATTATACTACTATGAGTACTTGACTGACTCAAATATGTGCAGCTTGTTAAGTTCTTTAAAGCCTCCTCCACATTTGTGAGTAGAGAACCTCTACAGTGAGGCAGAACAGACACCAAGTAAGTAACTTGCTGTATGACTTCCAGTGACCTGTAACCTTTCTGTTCTTACTTTTCTCTACTGGAAAATGAGGTAATGGAATAAGTTGATCACTGAAATCCCTTTCTGTTTTAAAATATTGTAATTCTTATAGAGTGGGATTATGAAGGGCAAAATATGTTGGTCCTTCAGCTAGCGTGTGGATTAGGCAACAGTGCCCCCTAAAGGTCCTCTATGAGTTCTGGGCAGGCCAATCTTCTAAGTATCCCAGAATGTCTGAGGAACTTCCGCCCTCACGAGCCCTTGGCAGCACCTCCCATCAGGACCTTTGATCTAACTCATCTATCTATTATCTATTGCCACAATAATATTGCATAACAAAAAAAATGATACTTCAGGTACACACAATTAATATTTATTTTTGCTCCCAAATCTGTGGATCAACTGTGGATTCTGTTGATGTTGATTACGCTTGCTCGGGCAGCTCATTTTCTCTTAACGGAACACTCATGAATCTAGTGTCAGCTAGTTGTTGGATGTTCTAGGCTTGTCTCATTGTGATAACTGGCTATTCTCCAAATGAGCTCTCAATCTCTAGCAGGCTAGCCCAGGCTGACCTGTTCTTATGGTGGTGGTGTCAGTGTTTCCAGAAAGAGTGTAAGCAAGTAAGAACTGTTGAGGTTAAGAATTGGAAATGACAAACTATCATTTCCGCCACATACTATTGAACAAAGAAAGTCATTAGCCAGCTTAGGAAAAATAGACTCCAACTCTGGATGGGTCAGGAGTGGGTAAGCTCCTGGACATGAATGTGGAGCATGAATATGGAGGCAGGAATATAAAGAGAAATGATGAATTGGTGTCACTTTTGAAGCCAGTCTATTATATAGAACACAATTCACAAGATTTCAGGACATTCCAGAAGCATACTGGTCTAGAACGAAAGAACTTAAATGTTTTAATACTTTGTTTTGGGGGGCAGTAAAGTTACTTAGAGTCAGTTTGATCCTTCCTACTCTTGCTCTTAAAATTCATTAGACAATACCAGAGCAGTGTTTGAGGCTATTTATACTATACTATTAAGACAGGAACTTCTACGTACTCTACCAAATGCTACATGAATGTTGACATTTTCTAGTGCAGCAGGTGGAAACATGCACTATTCCTGGCTTTGGGTGAATGTCAGGTATTGTTTCTTCTAATCATTTTGGACGGTTCCTTTCAGCCTTGGGTAGTTACCTCACACCCATAAACTGATCTTTGCTTAGTAAAATACTCAATGGGGACTCTCTTTAGATCTTTGGAGTTCTCTCTTTGTTTAGCATTCTTATCTCTGGTACTTTGTCCTGTGAACTCTAGCCATCTTGGTCTCCCAAGACTCTCAACTTCATCTCTTCAGTTCAGGAAGCCTGCCAGTTTTTTTCTGTTTTTTCCTTTCCTAAACCACAGCATGGCAACTCTCTCAAGTTTGTTTCTTCCCTCTCGGTGATTATGGTTCTGTGTTGTCTAATGGCCAGTTTCTTCAAACAACAGGTTTTTTTTTTGCATTTGTTTTAAGTTTTGGGGGTCATTTTAGGCAGGAAAGTAGACTTAGTTCCTGTTACTTCATTTTGGCTGGAAGGGAAAGTCTCCAGTCCTTAGAATTTGGTATTAGGAAACATACAGATTTCTAAAGGTCATGGACAACCTAACTGACTGAAAGAAGAAGATGGTATGCAACTATCATATTATATTTGAAAAAAAAATGTATTTCTTTCCTGTTTGTCCAATTTATCATTTTACTCTCTTTTCTTCTCTTCTTGGGATATTCAGCATTTGGTCATAGTTTGGTTCTTGAATATATTTTACCTTTCATTATATTTTTTATTGTATCATGTGTGTATGTATGTTTCCTTGCCAATGATTATATATGCTCTTTAAATTTTGAGGATATACCTTGTTCTTTTTTTATGTTATTCACCATGTATATAATATTTTAGGATCAATGATAATCAGTTAATTACTATCCTTTTCTGTAACAAGAGATTCAAAATCTGAGGATTAATTAGGTGACATTTACAATGTTCTGTATAGAGGAAAACTGCAGGATAAGTAATGGTTCTTCAGCTTTCAGGTTGATGTCAATTTTGATTTCAATTTTCTCCACCCAAATTCAGTGCCATATGTTAGGCTACAATTTCTCATTAGTTCAACTGCACCCTGCTTAGAAGAATACTACAAGCTGACATGACGAATGCTTTCTACACCTGTCAGAGTCTACACTGGCTCTGTTTTGTGAGGCTGTTTTTCCTTCTCTACTCAGCGACCTTGAAGTCATGATTTATGAGATATGAATTGAACTTTAAACATGCTAGATGAGTATACTAAAAAAGAATACATTTGTAGAATAAACCTTTATGTCTAAAGTGAGATTTCAATTAATTGTATATAATCTACCCACTTCATATATTATTAGTATCTGTGAATTGCCCTTTGAGGCTGGCTTCTTCCAATCACCCTTTTATTAGCTGCTCTTCTTTCTCTTTCCTCTATTTCTCCATTTTTTCACTCACCATCTACTTCATGAAATGGTAAGGGGAGAAGTTATGGAAAGTAATGATCATCTAACATTACTATAGCTAAGAATAAGCATAGTTAGGGAGGACAAATTCCTGCAAAAATATAATAGTATATTCTAAAAACTCAGACGTGGGTATTTCAGGGAACATCTGAGAAATTACTGTCCTTCATTAGCATGGAGAATCTATAATTAATTATGTATATAGTTATTTATTGTGGCTGTCAATATTATAAGAATTTTAGTGGTTTACTGCACAACTTTCTTCAAATATAATCTTGTTCTACAAACAAAATAATTTGCTGAAAAGCAGTGAAATATTTCAATTTAATCACTCTTTATTGGTTAATGGTTTGAATTCAGATATTTATGCAACTGTTGGTTGATGCTGTTTATAAGTCTAATACAACCTTTTTCTAATTAAATTTTATTTGTATTTTCATCATTAATTGAAGTGAAAAATAAAATATGTCAGTATTATTAGATTTCATAATAATGTGTACTATTATCTATGCTTTTCATGAAAGTAAATTGAAAGGACTTAGAAATCAAAGTTTTTGGACTTTTTTAAATAAAGGAATGTTAGGTACGTATGGATAGTTGTTATTGTTGATATTCTGTGTACATGACTAGGTATAGTTCTCCCTGTTTATAAAACAAACACATAGAAAACTTTGAAATGTATATGACATATACAGAATATTATTTGCAATAAAGCTAAACAAATAACTTTTACAGCAGTATTCATTAACTCTTAAAATGCAATTAAGCATGACCTCAGCTTGTAGTTCTAACAACTTGATCTTTTTTCTATAGATTTAAGGTTTAATTATTTATAAGAATGTACCATATTTTGAAATAGAAGATTTTTGATTCAAAGTTTCAAATGTATGCACATTATATTTTAGTTATGTATTTTAAAGGTTTTTAAAATCAAGATGACTACAGCTTATTAATAAAGTTTTATTTTATGGAAATGACTAATTTTAAGAATTTTGATCCCTTTAAATTTTGTACAAATCTGCATAAAGTTACATAACCAATATATTTTTTCATATACCTTTTCAGAATACAAATGCCAATTTGAACATGAGAAAAAGAACAAATGCTTTGGTTCACTCTGAATCTGATGTTGGCAACAGAACTGAGGTGGGAAACCATTCAAGCAAATCTTCCACAGTTGTTCAAGAATCTTCTAAAGGCACACCTCGGTCTTACTTAGCTTCCAGTCCAAACCCATTCAGCCGTGCAAATGCAGCTGAAACCATATCTGCAGCAAGAGCACTTCCATCTGCTTCTCCTACTTCTATCCGAACTGGATATATGCCTCGAAAGGCTTCAGTTGGATCTGCTTCTACTCGTCACGTGTTTGGATCAAGACTGCAGAGGATAAAGACCACAGTTAATACCATAGGGGCTACTGGGAAGTTGTCAGCTACTCCTCCTCCATCGGCTCCACCACCTTCTGGATCTGGCACAAGTAAAATAGACAAATATGCCCGTATTCTCTTTCCAGTCACATTTGGGGCATTTAACATGGTTTATTGGGTTGTTTATTTATCTAAGGACACTATGGAGAAATCAGAAAGTCTAATGTAATTTCGTTGCTATAGTAGTTTGCTAAAAGATGATGAAAATGCAGAATGTCTTTTTAAATGTTTTTAAATATAAACAAATATTCTTTACTAAAATAAAAACTCTGTGTAATTTTTCCATTTAAAGATATAAGCCAGTTATTGGGAGAGTTAATTAATTCCTGAGTGAAAAAGTGAACTATGTTTTTTTTCAGAAAAATTATTTTAAAAGAACTCAGCATTCAGTTAGATAGAATACACACCATCCTGGAAAGTTGGGATAAGAGAAATAGAGCTATTAGAGACAAGTGGCGCATATTTTTTCATTGATATTTGAAAACAGACTATGACATTTTAAAAATCTGCCCTATGAGTATCAACCTGCCACCCTAAATTTCCCAGTGGCACTACCCTTAACCAGAATTGTTTATTAGATGTCATATGCAGTGACCTTTGGTGATCTTCTTAGGAACTTCAAGAAAAGGAATTTTCCTGTTAAATTAAACATTGGCAAAAGGAAATGGAATAGTATAAACACTGATCAATAGAGTAAAATATCTGCTGCATAAAAAACTAAGACAAAGACCAGAGGAAATATCTTCCCTTTCTTATGTTGGCTAAACAGTACTTAACAGTTGACTTGAAATTTTGTTCTCTGAGCCAAAGTTTAACTCATTGTATGAATTCTTTTTCATGGTAGTTCATTCAGTTATGTGTTTATTTACTACATAGTTATTCAGAGCCTACTGTGTTCCAGGAACTATGCTAGAAACTGTCTCTCTAGGAAAGCTCTTGCACCTTTATCTACAATATTACTTAAAAAGTAGAACAGTCAATGCATGCCAAAGAACCATAAACTAGCAGAGGACATTGCATTCTTTAGTGAAGGACATTTATTTAGAGTCTGACAACATATTCAAAATATTTTTCAGCCTCTACTGATAGTGGATAACAAATATATTTGTTCACATAACCACTTTGATGTCAGTACAACTTCAGCAATTGGTTTTCAAAATAGATGAGAATATGGTACAGATTGTTCTATAAGTGAAAAGCATTATGTACTTGAAAGTAAAAATCAGGGCAATATAAGACTTAATAGATTAACTGTCGCAAATTTGATCAGAGTCACAGAGTAGAATTTGATCAGAATCACAGAATCATCAGACATAGGAACTGAGCACAGGCTTTTTCAGGTGCTTTCCCCAAGATAGATCTAGATATTAGCTAGTGAAATGCTAAATTTTGAAGAGTTTTGTGTCCGTAGTTCTGTAATTCTGGGCAGTCATCATGTTGGTTTTTTTGGGAGTTTTTTTAAGGTTTAATAACTAAGGGGAATATTTTAAAATTAAGAGAGCAGCAAATGAAAGGAGTAAAGAAAAAAATAGCTGTCGGGTAGGATGCCACTGACTCTGCTATGTGATTTATCAGGGTTTTCATCTACTGACTTCTTTCTCATTAGGTAGGCTTAACAACTTACTTGAGAATTTTGCAACTGTCTATGCAGCTGAATCTAAGTATGGTTTTTTGTCATATTGCCTCTAGATTTTCTTCTGTGCTTCTCTCTATCTGCTCTGGAATGGATGAGTGAATGTGTTCTGGGTGTTTTAGGGAACATATTGATAGAAATGACCACCTTGCAGACAAAATCTCTCTCTCTCTTTTTGTTTTTATAGAAAAGAAGTGATAGTAGTTAATTGGCATCGATTTTTCAGATATTGCACTACCTTATAATGGTTGTTTTTGATACCTGAAAATTGTGCAAATGCCAAATATTAATTGTAAGTCATATCTGAGAAATCATTCTTGGCTGTCTTTCTAGGTATTCCATAGAATCAACACATTTTAAGGCTGAAAGATACTGTCGAAATCACCCAGTCCCAACCCCCCAATTTAAAATTGATTCTAGTAAAATTAGGTCCAGTAACACCTGTATATATGTATATATTTAATAAAGAGTACTTGTACAAAAAAGCTTATCATAAATTATTTCATGAATGTGAATAGATTTCTGGCCTTGAGGACGATGTTTGGAAATATGGTTGGAAGCACAATTCATTCGCTACTAGTTATTCAGAGCGTACTTTGTTCCAGGAACTATGCTGGAAACTGATAGTTCACTATTCTGATGAAAAGGCTGGTTTTGTTGTTGTTGTTGTTGTTGTTGTTGTTGTTTTTGGTGAGGAACTCTTACTCTTTGCTAATCTATTGGCCTATCTTAAGAAATAATTATTTGGTTATTCATTGGCTTCCTTTAAAAAAAAGTGTTCTTCTACAAATCTTACAGAGTGTAAAGAGATAAAAAGAAATGATTTTTTTTCTTACCTTTACATATGAAGGTTTAAAAATACATCATGTGGCCAAAGAATGAGAAAGGACAGAATTAACCAAGGATTCTTAATTGTTAATTTGAAGAACACATTAACCAGAAAGCTTAAACATTATTATTAAAATAAATTATTTCATTTGCACACAATGATAATAATGATGATAATAATAATAATAATAATAATAATAATAATAATAATAATAATATGTTGTTTGCTTTCCTTAACTGAATTTCATCAAATTCATTCAGTGATTTTTATTTTGGTCATTATTTCTATCTTCCCAATAACCCAGAGGTACATCAAGTAAAAACACTTTTGCAAAGAGCCAGTCACTTTTCCCTCTTAGAAAATCTCAGAAGAATGATTAGGGGCACCCAAAGTTCTGGTTATCTATGAATAATAATGAATAATTTTGGCTGAGAATGGTACCTTTATATAACTCTTTTAAAGATGAAATTCAGAATAATTTTATTCAGGACCTAGTATCTGCAGTCCATGTTGGCCACTAACTGCTACATAATTACTTTCAATTTCCTCCAGGCATGACTAGGTATAAACATATATTTACATGATTAATCCACATTTTAAAATGACTTGCACTTGTGCATATACATAGTACTTTGAATAATGTATATTTTAAATTGGACCTCACAAATCTTGTATTAAAGTAGGTAGAGAGTAGAGTCACACTTTTTTTGATGAAATGAGTCACAGAGAAGTTACATGACAAAGATAAAATCACAGGGTTGGAAAGAACTTTGAAAGGTCATTTTTCAATAATCTCACCTTAAAAGTGACCCCTTTTCAAACAAAGCATAAACAATTTATTTGTGGCTTATTTTACCCATGAGCTGGCCAATACTTCCTGGCCTAGAAAAATATCTCCACTCTCCCCATTCCTGTTCTTAATGGTCTTCTCTTCTCAATTTGTAAATATTCTCCAGTAAAAGACACCAGGTGTGGAGATGGGTCACTTAATTTCAAGTTCTGAGTGTCTTGTGGTTTTAAACAAGTCTCTTAACCTCTCTAAGACTGATTCCTCATTTATAACAGGGAGGAGGTGGATTATGTAATATCTAAGAGCTTTTCAGTTTTAATACTCTCTGATTCTCATAGTAAATACAAGCATACTCTTGTAAGAAAAACACTGAATACTTTGAACCACAAATAAGTGTTTATGGACAAAAATTTAGTTCTACTGCTTGATTACTTTAAGTTCATTGCTTGCTTCAAACTAAGGTTTCCCTACCTTCAAAAATATATATAACATCTCTCCATTTAGATAAAGTATATTCTTCCCCAGGGAAGACTGTATTCTTTAAAGACAGTAGAATATTGGCTATTTCTCTTTTCTGGGATTTCCTGGGCTTTTATTCACTAAATGGGCTCCTGCCCAGTTTGGGTACTGTGCTGATTTTTAGATATACAGAGATAAAAATAGCCCCTTTCCTTGCAGGTAGTCACAGTCCGGAAGAGATGATAGATGCATAGACAAAAAATTATGGGATGTAACTAATGCTTCAGTAGAATACAGCAGGGCCAAAACTAGAGTGATACTCATCTCAGGCACAAATATATATGGGGACATCAAAACTTCAATAATCAAGATACCTAATATTTAAGTGAATATTTTTAAAACTCAAAATTAATGCAAAAGATTTATGATGAACAGAATATACAAATTTTAAATAAATTAATAGAATCAGTAGTAATAATATTTTCTTCTGCCTCAGGCTCCAAAATTGCTCAGCATAGCACTGATCTAGATAGAGGTGGATAAAAGATCCACATAACTTAATTACATTGTTGAAGGAGAGGAACAAGAGTGATAGCAGAGAAGGTTTCACAGATATAATCTTAAGCTAAATTTTATAGAATGATTTGGAGTTCTTATAGCCTCCATTCCCACTTCCACAAACAAACAAAAAAATGAAAGCGCAATTTTATCAGCACCTGAGGCAGGAGAAGAGATGAGGATGTGGAAAGTCAAGGGGAACTCTTACTACAAATTCTTAGTTCTGTGTTTGGAGGTAAGGGTGAATGCAGGGAAGTGAGAGTTGTTGATGTTGGAAAGACCTAAAGAGCCTGGATTAGGAAGAGTTTTGTGTAAATTACTGAAGGAATGGAATTTGATCAGGATTAGTGGCAATTTATTAAAAATCTTGAAGAATAATACGATGAAAACTAACATCCTTATTTTTCTGTTTTAGAGAAAGCACCTGATTATTGTGTGAACTATGGTTTGGAGGGCCACAAATCTAGAGGTAGTGGAACAGTTGAGATCTCTTATTTTTTCTTTCCTGTCTTAAACTTTGCCTTCTATTCCTTTTTTCTTTTTTTGACCGCAATGACTTCATTGTCATTTGTAAAAGTGATACATGACTGTTAAAGATAGACATTGTAGAAACTTAAAAACAATCTCAAAATTCTACCACCCAGAAATCAGAAATATTTTGTATTTGGATATGTTTGTCTAGAAGAGTAGATTGCTTGATTAAAAGACAGAGTTTTATAAATGTAGAAGCCAATATGACATACATGCTGCCATTAAATAATAAAAAATTAAATTGACTTTTATCTCAAGATAAGATTAAAATTGGAGGGTAAAACTGAAGAAATTGTTGAAATTTGGATGGTGCTTCTTTAAAGCAAGAGATTTAGAGAGTCAGAGCTTTTTATCCCAGGTTTCAATCTTTATTTCAGGAAAATTTTCTGCAATTTTGTCTAAGTTAATTTTTTTTTTTTAAGAAATGCCAATTATGTCAAATCCCTTTTGTCTCTATACAATAGTCCCCAACTGTTTTGGCAACAGGCACGGGTGAGGGTGGGGGAATGGTTTTCAGATGAAATTGTTCCATCTCAGATCATCAGGCATTAGTCGATTCTCATAAGGAGCGGACAACCTTGCATGCCCTCCTATGAGAATCTAATGCCGCCGCTAATCTGACAGGAGGCAGAGCTCAGGCGATAATGCTCAATGGGTGCCACTCACCTCCTGTTGTGCTGCCCAATTCCTAACAGGTCATGGATAAGTACTGGTCAGTGGCCCAGGGGTTGGGGACCACTGCTCTGTAACTATTTACAGTATTCTTTGTAACTACTTTGGTATCTTTAAAATTTTCTTTAACTTTTGTCAACCATAACCCTAGTGAGTTTTCAGTTGTGATTATTCTATTTTGTAACTTCCAATGTACTTTTCAACTTCATAATGGTTAATTTTGTTTTCCATTGCTTTCTTGGTCACTGTCATTTCATTTTTCTTCTCTTTCTCTATTTTTACCATTGCTTTATTGAAATATCTTCTTTGAGCTTCTCATGTTTCTCTATTAATGAGATCATGTCTATAATATTTTTTGAGACTACAGAGACCTATTTATATAAACTCTTCCTCTATTTCTTGAAAAAGTTTTTATCTGGCGTGAGCTTCATCTGCTTTTTCATTGAGGTTTTATCTCCCTTGCCTATTTTTGGGGCTGGTTTCTTTCTATTAATCACTGAGCAGAGCCAGCTATTTACTGAACTACAGTGTGGGAAGTGGTGGGAGGGTGAGTCAGATCAGCCCACAGAAGCTATTTAAATTTCAGGTTTCAAGCCCACCTCCCCAAAACCGTTTTATGTGTTTTTTCTTCTGCCCAGGCACCATATTTTTATATCTATTTTTGACATTTGGGCGGCCTATGTAGTTCACAGTGTAAAACTCTCTGTTTTACTTTCTTTATGTTATTGCTAGTGATTATTGCTTGTAGTCCCACCCCCTTCCCCACATTAGCCTTAGTATTCTATATTATTCAGCAAGCTTGTTCACAACTCTCAAATATAGTCTATCAGAATTTTTATCTTTACCTCTACATTCCACTATTCGGAAGTATATAGTAAAATCGTATGAAGACAGATTTTGTCTTTTTCTTGCCTGTTTACACTCTATCTTACAGAGGTTTCAAACAAACCATCTTTGTTTGAAACATCGCAGGATAATGATACTTATTGAAATCTACATCCTGCCCAAGATATATGCCAGTCAATTTCCTTTCTCCTATTAGTGCAAATGGCTACCTACTTAAAAGCTGCTGACTATAGTTTGTCATCAATTACTTGTTAATTACAGATATGGTTTTCATTTTTTTTTCTCAATTTTTCATTATGTTATTTTTGGAGACTGTCTTAGGTGGGGAGTGAATTATAAATATTTTTATTTCACCACCTTTAACTGAGTCACCATATGTTATTTGCACTTCCAATAGACCAGGGATTGACCAGAGTATCTTTTACTGATATGACCACCAGAGCTACATGGCTTTTACCTTCTGTATATCAGATGTCACTGGAATCAAGCATTAAACCTAGATTAAATCTGGATTAAACCAGCTGTATGGCACCTTAGAAAATTGAGAAGGACTAGGAAGCTGATAGAAAGAACTCCTGTATAAAAAATAAATTCTTTTTACATTTTCCTTGGTAGTATTTCTGCAAGCTTCTTTAGTTTCTATAGGGGAATCCCAGAGTTTTCCTCTGAGATTGCTTCCCTTTCCTTTGTATTTTCATTTTTCCCTCTTGGGCTTTACTTTTCAGTCGTGTATTTCTATCCCAATGTTAATTTATTACACTGTTTATATTTTCCTGTCCTTCAATTCATCAGTAGATTAGTGAAGTACTTATTCCTTTAATTATAAGTATAAACGTTTTTAATTTCTTTTTGGATAACGATACATTTAATGGAAAATTTTTAAATGCTATGGTTTCTTAATAGCTTTTCTCTACCACTAATTACTTCCGTTAAAAAAAAAAAGAAATACCCATGCGTAATATAAAAGAAATTTTGAATAAAATGTTATCCTTTCCTTTTACTAGAGACAAACATCTCCACTTCAAAATGGAAAAATGGAACTATGCAAAGGAAATTTACGATATTCAAGAGTATGATATTATCACTGAACCGATTAATTTAATTGAAAATACTAACCTGCAAAAAAGAATTACACAAATGTATTTGAAATGTCATCAGATACCTCAAGCTATGACAGAGTTGATTATGTTACACAAGTAGTAAAGGATAAATTAAATATATTCTATATTAACACTAAGATTTAAAACTAATTATAGTCTTCTTTAATTTTTCTACTGTATACATTTCATCTAGTTTTCAGTAAAACAAACTTTTCATTACTTTTACTTATCCCATGCAAATCTAGTTGCTATAAGATATAACCTAATTTGGAAATACCTCCCTGTAATACATTGGAATTTTGGTGTGAGTGTGTGTGATCAGAGAGGATAAACAAATGGTGTCAGCAAAATAGAATGTAAAATATGGAGATAATGTGGATTTACACAATTTGATAAAAATTCTCCCTTGAATTTTGCAGATCATATATGAATATCATCATGTGAAGTGCAATTAGGATTTTTTCATATATTAATACATATACATCATCTCTTTAATAAAATATTTTGCTGAACTCGTTTAATATTTCTCATGTCTCATATTTCATATTTTCTCATATGTCTCATATTTTATATTTTCTCATATGTGTCTCATTTTTATTATTACTATAGTATCCATTAAAGGAGACTGGCAAATACCTGAACAAAGTTATGTTGTTGGCAATATAAGATATTACCAATTGCATAATATTATTTCCAAAGGCAAATTAATATGCAAACTATAGATTTCCATGGGTATCTATACAAATTATTACTTGAAGTCCATAGAAAACAGCTTCCTTAGAGGGAAGTAAAAGAAGCTCTGATAACAGACAATGTATAGCATTTCAGTTAAAGTTTGATTGACATATTTTTTTCTCAGTCTTTTATACTTGTGAATTATAGTCTACATTTTGTCTTTACAGATGTTGCTAACACAGTGCAGCATGTTGGCTTGTCATTTTACTGATTATGTATATTGTCTCCTAGTTCAAGTATACAGTAAATCAGAGCTTTCATTTTTCAAGGGGCAGAAAAATAATTGTTGGTTGATAAGGTAAGGTTATATGATTTTGAGGGAGCTTCATTGTAAATTGAATGAGAATCCGGTTTTCATGCAAAGGTGTATCTATGCGATAATACTTTGAATGTCTGTAGTTTGAAATAGAAGGTTAATTTTTTCCACTGGCTTATCCTTAATGAAGGAAATCCCCTGATAATTACTTTGATTCTGAAAATGTTGAAAACTCCAGAAGAAATAAAGCTTTTCTTTGATTTCTCAGCTGAAGTGTTGTACAAACTGAGGAATATGAAGTCCATTCCCTTCTTTCTTCTCTTGAATAATTTTAAAATTGTTTGTTTAGTTGTACAATTGAAAATATTCCTTATTATAGAAGTAAAAAAACAATAATGCATATTTCCTCATATCATAAAAACTAAATTTGTTATCATCTGAGCTTCAATATTCTTGCTCAATTAGAATAGTAAATATAAAGTGTGATATTTATAACAGTTCAAGGTTTGATAGGAGATAGAGGTGTTTTGATTTTATGGGAAAATTACTTCCTCAAGAACACATTTCTTGAGGTTTTAGTAATCACATTTGACTCCCTGAAATTGGCAATTTTATTCAATGTAGGAATATTATCATGGTATATTATAGTGAGGAGCACATAGTCATTATTATTTTGTTTTTGCAAATTTATTTTGAAAAAAAGGAGCATTATCAAATATTGGTTTACTATTTTAAAGTAATTCATCAGGAAATGATTTTTTAAACACTGTCCCTTTAAGTAAATGTCCCTTGCTTTTCAAAGCTCAACTTATTACTTATGGTAATAGAGTTACTTTGCTTCTTAAAACAAAGTTTATACTAGAGCATAGCATTGTAGAATTATTCAGGTCTCAATTTCTCACTGGAAAATGAGTCTTTAAAATAGTAAGGATTTAAATTTCTATAAAATTTAATCACAGATACTTATATTTTAAGATAAATGTGTTGGAGCTAAACTCTGGAATTATTAAAATATAAAACATTATATCCCTCTAATGTATTTTTTCTATTTAAATTTAAAACAATAAACATAAATATCTTTGGAATATTTTTTGGTTTGTGTATTGTTTTTTCTGTCTATAAATATCCTTCCTTGAAACTGGTCACAGCATTGTGTCTTACTTGATAGTTCTTTGGAATCCCCACTGCTATCATGAATGTTCCTGGTTTTTACTTAACATCTAATTCTCTGTATGACCAATACCACCATCAAGATTGGAATTTTGCCAAGTTTTAATAGTTTGAAAAATTCTTTGTAGGTTACATGGATGAAGAAAAGTTACAGGACCTGTAATATCTGATGTGGCATAATAGAAACTTTTCACTATGTGGTTTTGGTTCACTAATGGGGTTCAAATGTGTGTATTTCTGTGTATTTTTTAAAGATTCAACCCAAGGAAGAGAGCTAAAATTAATAAAATACAGCAATCAATCTATGACTTAATCCTAACTTGGAAGACCAAAGTAAATGTCTGAGAAACTGAATAGGATTAACATTTAATAAAAACATGTGAGTTTATAAATTTTAATATTTAGCTTAGATTATTAACTGTAATTAGTTTGATGAAATAAAACACTTTGAATACTGTGACTGTCTTTTATAAAGTTTTTTTACATCATATAATGTACTATGAAACATTCTAAATGTAGTATTCCAAATCACCTCTTTCTTGAAGAAAAAAATGTAGGTTTTTGATTATAGCTTTTAAAGAAGAGAATGTTCCTGAGAGGAAAAAGTTGACCACAGATGTTCACAACACACACACAACATATTCCTATATGAACACAGACTAACAAAACACATAATACACACAGAATTCTTCTTTTGTTCACTTGTTGTATGACATATTATTTGGGCTAAGTCCACTTCAAATTTATGGTACTTGGTCACTTAAATATGATTTTATACTCTAGTAAGAAAAATTATATTTAAAATGTAATATTTAAAATGTACAGCTCTTTTTATTTATTGTGTAGTGATTTGTGTTATATAAATTTGTGTGTGTTTTTATATACACAATATTTATACACACATATATATGTATGACTGTACATACACACACACACAGACACACACGTTTCTGAAACTCTCATTGATTGCCAGATTCTGTTTCCAGTTGAGTTGAATACTATTTAGAACGTGCTTGCCTCTTATATTCAATGTTGATAAGACAGAATTATAGTCAATTTAGAAGAAGGTGGAAGTCAAAATCAAAGAAACAAAATTTTCCACAAACACAAGCATAAATAGAGATGTAGGGGAAATAAATTAATGGAATACTTGGAGGTATGATAACTTTTAAAACTGGATTAAATCAATGGCATACATTATACTAGTTTCATTTGTTTTAATCTTTGATGAAGAATTTCTATATAGCTCATTTTCTGGAGAAGTGTAGTTGTCCAAGGTCAATTTTCTTTCTGATTAATTGGAAGCCGAAGCTCAATGCTGGTCTCTTGGTTATGAAAATAAACTCTCGGGTGGTTCAGTAATTGTCTACTTGTTTACAATGTTACCTAATCTGCATTATTATCCTCTGTGCATTTTGAGAATTACTCTCTTTTACAAGAAAAATTATATGAATTCCTGCTATGTTATTCCAGCATGTTTTGCTGATGTCAACTATGCATTCATCATGTGAATTGTTAAATGCTATCCCTCTCATTTTGTTCTGAAAAACGTAAAATAACGTCATCTATTTAAGATTAGTTTGGATTATGCTCACCTTTGAAAACTCTTCAGGGTAACATTCATCAACCGAGCATTCTAGGCAAATGGATTCATGAATCTGTATCATTAGCATTAAGATAAATGCTAATCAGTGGCGTCATTTTTTAAGTAAGGCCCATATTTCTGCTTGTGTAATAATATTATTGTCAAGATGCCCCATGTACATTTATCAGTTGAAAACTGAACATACTGATACATGTGTATGCTGAGCAGAGGGATATACCTCAATTGATATGTTACTCTGACATACTGATAGCATTTCCATTTTTTCCATGACTTTAGTTTCCTGCATTTTGCCTACTCTTAACTTGGTGTAAATGTAATACTGTTTGGTACCAAAACTCCTTCCCTCATAGTTTGTAGTGTTTCTAGCAGGGCCACAGAGAGAAGAGAACAAAAATCCCCCTCTCTTCTGCATGGAAAATGGAAAATGGAAAAGATGAGGGCATATTTCTATTTTTGAGTATTTTCAAGTGCATAGTTCTCTAAACACTACATCATATAATAAATAATACTCCTCTATAAATGAGAACAATCTATTTTTCACTCATAAGTAAGACTAGGTCTAATGCTTATTTTAGCACAAAAAAGCAAATGTCAGGGGTTGGGGGAAGCTATTGCTGTTTATTTTGGAAAAGATTACATTGTAAATAGAATTATACCTTCTGGCCATGCGAAGAATAAACCATACATAGAATTGAAAATGCCCTTTAGAGACTGTGCTAACTGAATTATTCAAATATCTCTCCAAGAGCAGATCTAAAATGCTGGCATTCATCATAAAGGTTGAGTGATATGTAATTTATTTTCCATTAGACAATTACTCTTTGCATTTCTGCTCAAGTGATGGCCTTATTGCAGGCTTCTTGATCTTGTCTTTCCAGATTCACCCATTCTACACTCTGATGCCAAATATTTTTAAAGTTCATTTCTGTTCATTTCACATTTGCCGCAGTCTGTATTTGTTTCGGGGGATAAAATATAAATTCTTTACCATGACATGACATTTAGGGCCCAACACAATCACCTTTATCCTTTGCCTCCACCTATTCTATGACCTAGTCACCCAGGACTGCATGAAATTCTCTAAACATATCCTGTATGGACATACCTTGATGTTTTCTCAAGCTAAATCCTTCGCCTGGACTGCCTCTTTCCTGCTCTTGTCTTGCTGGCAACCTGTAAATCACAGCACTGGCCATCTTGCCTGCTGAGGCCACCTCTAAATTCTCCTTAGTGTAATTAATTCCTGGCATTTTCCTATGTTCTCCGTATCTACTTTGTGATTATTTGGTACAATTTTTTAATCTGTAAAGCAATTATATTTTGATAAATGATGAATACCCTCTGATCACAAGTTCACAGTTTTATCCTGTAAGTCTAACAAGATAAAAATCAATATACTCATTGGTCTGATGACAGAATGAGGGTCCTAGCATAGCACTTTGCAATTTGTAGGTTTAGTTTATTGGCTAATTTGAATTGTAAGTTTAGTTGACTAGTTAAAATCTAATCGCCTCACTAATGTCACCTTGCATATTTTATCAATAAAATGTTGATATTTTAATGTCAGAACTGACCTATTACAGCATGCCAACAATAATTTTCACTTTATTTATGTGTTTTTGATAATATAAAAATAGTTTTGATAACTATTTTTAAGAAATGGGCTAGACAAATTACTTCACACAGTTTCAGTTTAAGATTGTGTACTATGACTAAAACAACCATTTGTAATGCTCTGAACTAAAGATACTACAATGGATCTATAATCATAATTCTGATGTTTAGAGCAACTGAAGAGGGAGTCAGATGTAATTAGTCAAGAATGTTTTTGATGTTTAAATAAGTTGAACATGTCTCGAAAGTGTCTTACAGAAAGTTAAATGCTTAATATATTTTTTTTTTTTGAGATGGATTCTTGCTCTGTCGCCCAGGGTGGAGTACAGTGGTGTAATCTTGGCTCATTACAACCTCCACATTCTGGGTTTAAGCGAGTCTCCTGCCTCAGCCTCCTGAGTAGCTGGGGCTACAGGCATGCAGCATCACGTCTGGCTAATTTTTGTATTTTTAGTAGAGATGGGGTTTCACAATGTTGGCCAGGCTAAGTCTCAAACTCCCGACCTCAGGTAATCTGCCTGCCTTGGCCTCCTAATGTGCTGGGATTATAGGTGTGAGCCACTGTGCCTGGCCCTTAGTAAATATTGAGTGTTATTCCAGTTGTCCATTGCTTCTTAACAAAGTTCCTTGAAATTTGGTTAAAAAAAAAAGCATTGTTTTGGATTTTCTTATTCATTTTTCTGTGGGCTTACCTGGGTGATTCTCACTTGGGATTTCTTATGAAGTTGTAGTGAAATATTGCCAAAAATGGAGTCACAGTGCTTTTCTCACTCACAGGCCTGATGCCTGGGCTGAGAGAAGTACAACAGTAGTGGTTGTTTGAGGATCTTTCTCTGCAAATGGCTACATTGAGCTTTCTCATAGCATGGCAGTGTCAGAAGTCACACTTCTTATGTGGCAACTGGTTTCCCCCAGAGTAGGCATTCTAAGTGACAGGAAGTGGAAAGAGCAAATCCACTGCTGCCCAGCATACAAAGTAGCATACTGTTACTTCCGCCATATTCTATTAGTCAAAGTAGATACAGCATCCACTTCAATTCAGGACAAGGGGACATAGGCCTTGCCTCTCTATGGAAGAGAGTCAAAGTATTGGGGCCATCTTTAATTGTCATATATATTGACACTATCCAGTAGTCTATTTAGTGAATGTCATCATTTCACACCTGCTTGGCAGTTGAAAAACTGTGAAATTTAGATGCCTTGGCCCTAGATCCTCTACATTGAAGTGTCAAAAATATGATTGAGAATGGGCGTGGTGGCTCACGCCTGTAATTCCAGCACTTTGGGAGGCTGAGGCGGGTGGATCACAAGGTCAGGAGTTCGAGACCAGCCTGACCAACATGGTGAAACCTCATCTCTACTAAAAATACAAAAATTAGTTGGGCGTGGTGGCACGCACCTGTAATCTCAGCTACTCAGGAGGCTGAGGCAGGAGAATCACTTGAACTTGGGAGGCAGAGGTTGCAGTGAGCCAGGATGGTGCCACTAGACTCCAGCCTGGGTGACAGAGCAAGACTCCATCTCAAAACAAACAAAAACATGTGATCGAATAATTTGCCTTATAGTTAGTACATAATTGTGGCCTATGAAAAATAACCCAAGCTATCATTTCCCTTCGACCTGTATTATTTGGTATATTTTTGTGTATGCTGCCACTAACTAATAGTCAAACACTAATCCAGATAAGATAATTTAGAGGAAGAACTATTTATTTTTCGATGAAATCCATAGAGGATACATATCTCTACATTTATAACACATGAAACAAGACTGTGAGAGAACTGGGTCATAGATGTTTTTCTAGGCAGGGTGTTAAAATTAGAGGTCATTCAGGTTCTAGTAAAAAGAATTACCAGAGTAGAGGGGCTTCTTTCTAAACCTTCACTAAAAATCACCGTACAATTTAATAAATCAAAGAGACTCTGACCTTTGGGACTGTACCACTGAAGCTGTATCCTTCCTGCTCATATTATGCCATTCCCTTAACTGTCCCTTTAATTAGTTGATTAACTCCAGATCTGAGAGTGGGCAGTAACTAAGCCATTAAGTGGCATTTTGAAACTAGGCAAATTTGAAATTAGTTTTTGAGGTTCAAATTTCACAAAGTTGGATGGTCTATGCAAATAAGCAGCTCATATAATCTAAATAGAGATGTCACTTCTGTCAAATAACTTGCAAACCATTAGTTTAAAAAACAAAAACTTTCCAGAAAGCTTGAAATAGAGCCTTTCATAAAGTCATGTGGTCAGGCTGCAGGGCTGTGCAGTCTGGTGTCACAGATAAAATACATTTTACAAGTGCTAGTATAGCTAAATTATTAGTTTAGATTTGAATTTTCTTGATCAAGACATTATTTTATGAATTTTTTTTCTAAA
Source organism: Homo sapiens (assembly GCF_000001405.40). Classification (NCBI taxonomy): domain Eukaryota; kingdom Metazoa; phylum Chordata; class Mammalia; order Primates; family Hominidae; genus Homo; species Homo sapiens. The sequence goes on along the minus strand of NC_000004.12, from coordinate 46,913,219 downwards.
TTCCATTGGTTGTTCTCTTTTTTATCTTATTGAAATCATAGAATTACAGTATGGTAGTCAAAGAATAACAGCACGATGATAAAAATTAAAAGGAAATTTATTTCCTTGGATTCCTTAAACATCATGAAGTGTACATATAACACAAATGAACACTTTTGAAAAACTCCTTTTATCTCTCATCTTTTTTCCCCAGATTCCACATTTACTTCCATATCCTTGCCCCCAAATGTCTCTATGCACGTTTTCCTGAGACCTATGCCGTACACCACTCATCTCCTTATCCTTCCTGTTTTCCTCCTGGCCCTCTAATTTCTCCTCATATTCCATTACAAAAAAAAAAAAAAAAAGCTAACCTGACAGTTGGCCAAATCTGCTTTAGAGAGTTCCAATCACTCCTCTCCCTCAAATTGGATTTATGAGGGGATCTAGACTGAGAACAAAGGTGGGATGGTTGGTGTTTTGGAGATAGATGAGACTTATGTGAAAAGAAGAGGTGAGCACATTGTGCCTCTTCTCACTTCTAAGATTAAGACCTGGGAAGGGGCAGGAGATGGGAAAGTAAACAAACTTTGTGTTTTGAGAGAAGTTAGGGAGAGAAGATCTTGCCATAGGAGACTTATATGTGTTCTTCATCTGGCAAGTTCTGAAGGCATCAGGCTCACAGAAACATACTTCTTTTACATCTTGACATCTTGTTCAACACGGTATTTATCCCAGATGTTTTACTTTTGTTGAAAAATTACTATTTATGTTTGCATTAAAATAAGTCAGTGTGGATTTGTTAGATCTTGACTTTTTACTTCTAGTTTCTGCAATCATCTCATTTTAAAAATGTGAAATGTGTGCAGTAAACAATATTATGCCTTTAACACATGGACAAACCTGACAGACAACTAGCAATAGCCTGTTTCTGTTTATCTGACCTTTCCAGACCAAACCTTACTCACCACTGATATAGTTTGGCTGTGTCCCCACCCAAATCTCATCTTTAATAATAGCTCCCATAATTCCCACGTGTTGTGGGAGGGACCCAGTGAGAGACGATTTAATCATGGGGGCAGTTTCCCCCATATTGTTCTTGTGGTAGTGAATAAGTCTCACGAAATCTGATGTTTTTATAAGGGCAACCCCTTTCACTTGGCTCTCATTCTCTTTTTGCTGGCTGCCATGTAAGACATCCCTTTGCTCTTCCTTCATCTTCTACCATGATTGTGACGCCTCCACAGCCATGTGGAACTGTGAGTCAATTAAACCTCTTTCCTTTATAAATCATCCTGTCTGGGGTATGTCTTTATCAGCAGCATGAAAATGGACTAATACAACCACCATTCTATTAAATACATCATTAAGGATACTTACTAATAAAGGATGGTGGTCTGGGACACTAGCAGCACAGGAAAGTTAGAAAAACTATATTGTAAATATATATTTTATTATTTCCTAAAACTTACTTTAATTTATGCAGTCAAATTAAAAATTGGAAAATTCATTCTTCAAAAGAGGAAAACATCAGCTGTTATTGGGAATGTGATTTTATATGCAGTTCAAGCAATTTTAAAAATAAATTATTACTGTAGAATATGAACTTGAATTGGGAAGAACACAAGGTCCTAGGAGAAAATAAATATTCATAGTAAATTGAGAAACCTATGGGATAATTATATTCTTGGAATGGGCTGTGTTATGCACACAATTAATTAATGCATCTAAACTGCAATTGAAATATAAGCTGTAATTGTTAAAATTCACAAATAGAGTTATATGTAATAATTAGATGATCAATTTTTTTTGTGATAAAACTGGAATTGAGTAAAACAAACAAAAAAGTAGACTTAAACATAATAGCACGTTTCGTTTCTTTGTTGCTTCCAAACAGGACTTTAAAAATATTTGATCCTTAAAAAAAAATCTTTGTAAATAAACTTAAATTATCTACAAAAATAGTAAACTTTTAATGACAGAAAAAATTTGTTGAATTGTGTTAAAATCATTTGAAAATTTTCAAAGAATTCAATTGTTTTGCCAATAAAATACGGGTTTTGAAAATGTAGCAGACTGTAGTTATTAAAAACAAAGCCCATGACACAGGAAAATATTTAAAATACTCATTCAAAACCAAGGGATAATATGAACAAATTTAATTGGATCTTAAATCTTATATAATATTTAACTTTCACATTCTATAATTGTGCTTTGGAATATTTTAAATTTATATAATTTTTTTCATGGGATTTCTACTATAAGTAGTATAAATTCACATTTTTAGAGACATAAAATTTAAAAGGCTTTCCAATTTGCAGGATCTAAATTTGTTAAACCTTCAAAAGAGGCCGGGCGCCGTGGCTCATGCCTGTAATCCCAGCACTTTGGGAGGCCGAGGTGGGCGGATCACGAGGTCAGGAGTTCGAGACCAGTCTGGCCAACATAGTGAAACCCTGTCTTTATTAAAAATACACAAAAAATTAGCTGGGTGTGGTGGTGTGCACCTGTAATCCCATCTACTCAGGAGGCTGAGGCAGGAGAATCGCGTGAACCCGGGAAGGCAGAGGTTGCAGTGAGCCAAGAGGGTGCCACTGCACTCCAGCCTGGGAGACAGAACAAGACTCCATCAAAAACAAAAAAACAAAAAAACCTCAAAAGAATATAAATAACAACAAAATTAATGAAATTTGTCTCATACAAATATGTGCTGAAGATAGGTTACCTTACAGGCCAGAAGAAGGTACTTGCGAAAATATTTGGACTGAAAAAATTACATATTTCAAAATGAAAAAAATAGAAAGGGTATTTTCTGTTTAGCAGAATTTCTATGAGCTTATTTTCTCAATTTAAAATACTATAATACATGGTGAACAGTTAAGTGAAGATGTCAACAATTTGACATATATCACCCATAAAGTACATGTTTTAGAAGAGTATAGGCGATTTAAAAAGTTGACAAGTAATAATACCATATTAAAATATATTCTTTAGAAAATATCAGTGACCCAGTCTTATAGACCAAAACACTAATTAAAATACATCAGCATACAGCAAGAATGATCATTTTATTATACATATATATATTTTGAGATGGAGTTTCACTCTTGTTGCCCAGCTGGAGTGCAACGGCTCGATCTCGGCTCACTGCAACCTCCGCCACTGTGATTCAAGCCATTGTCCTGCCTCAGCCTCCAGAAGTAGTTGGGATTACAGGCATCCGACCCCACGCCCAGCTAATTTTTGTATTTTTAGTAGAGACAGGGTTTCACCACGTTGGCCAGGCTGATCTCAAACTGCTGACCTCAGGTGATCCACCTGCCTTGGCCTCCCAAAGTGCCATTTTATTATGTTCATATTATCAATACAGACTTTACAAAAAGTTTTAGCTTTAATATGTAATTATATCATTTTAATTTTTAGAACTAATTTCCTTTCCAAAATGAATTTTGAATTGCACTTTATTGGCCCACCAATATAAAGTCTCAAAATCTCAAAAAATAAGAAAACGTATAATTTTAATTAATTACATTGCCCTCTTTCACTCTCAAGGGTCTCAGTTTGGGCAAAATATTATGTGGTCATCATAATTAGCATCCTAGTATGCTTAGGAGAGATCAGATGGGCTACACGGGATTTATGACTTGCTTTGGGTTACAGGCAATCTCAAACTTTCCTAATCACCAAGTGGGATAAAGAAGTAACACGGAGCCAGGGGGCTTGCCAAGAGATAGCTGCGACATGGAAGGAAAAGATCCCAACAGGTGTCACTAGGAATTATGTTGGTAGGTAGGAACACCCATCTCAATTCTTTTGTTTGATTCATTACAGAGGGACTTATATTAGAAGAACTCTCCTAATGGCTGTCTTTTTAGTTCCTCCCGTGGAGATAGCAATCATCTATCTGATTGGTCAGTTTGGAACGCGCAGTCCTTCATGTGACCGCCTCTTCCTTTCACCTAAGGCGGAAACTGCTCACAGGAAGTACCTGTTTTACCCGACCCCTCCAGGCTGTAAAACGGAAAGGTTCGGAATTTGCCTCTGCGCCGTCTTTTTTTGCCTGTTACCTGTGACGTCCTTGGTAAGTTTGTCTCATTCTGGGGTTCGTTGTCAGTAAGCTGACAGTTATAAGACATGGTCTTCATTCATTGCTCTAACAGTTATCAGGAAATATTTTGAAATTTTTTTTTTTTTTTGAGACGGAGTCTCACTCTGTCACCCCAGGCTGGAGTGCAGTGACGCCATCTCGGCTCACTGCAAGCTCCGCCTCCCGGGTTCACGCCATTCTCCTGCCTCAGCCTCCCGAGTAGCTGGGACTACAGGGGCCCGCCACCACGCCTGGCTAATTTTTTTTTGTATTTTTAGTAGAGACGGGGTTTCACCATGTTAGCCAGGATGGTCTCGATCTCCTGACCTCGTGATCCACCCGCCTCGGCCTCCCAAAGTGTTGGGATTACAGGCGTGAGCCACTGCGCCCGGCCAGATTTTTTTTTTTTTTTTTTGCCACTTTCCTTTTTTGTTTCATTTCTCCCAGAGGGAATGGAAAGACGTTATATTTTGGACCTTCCTCTCACTCTGACATCTAGGACATAGGATGGGAGTAAAAGGAAAATTAAAAGGAAAGGAATTGCATGTTGCAGAGCGATTTGTGTAGTTGTATCTTCTGGCATGGCTAAAGTGGGAAGTGTTGCACTCTGGCAGAACTGGTCTAGGTACCGATCATATATGTTCAGCTGTAGTGGCAATTTTGCCCACAGGAGAGTAGCTGTTTGTATATAAGCAGGTTTGCATACCTTGGGCTGTGAGCAAAAGCCAATAAGCTTTGAGGGACTCAGCAAACAAAATCTGACCAGGAGTGTTGAGGCATCCCTATTAAACGGGTGTTGGTCACGTGATTATTGCTGCTTGGCTTTGAAATCTGTAGAGGCAGTTTTTTCTAAGTAGCCTTGACTGAGAGAAGGGTATGATTATAGTCTTTTTGTGTACGAGCCTTACAGATCTCAAAGTGGTTCTAGGATGGCCAGTGGTATTTGCAGGAAATGTTTAGTGCCAGGCCTACATAGGGGGCATAGATAGTCTGCTCAAATTCTGGCTGGGTGCAGTGGCTGACACCTGTAATCCCAGCAGTTTGGGAGGCCGAGGCGGGAGGATCACGAGATCAAGAGATCGAGACCATCCTGGCCAACAGGGTGAAACGCATCTCTACTAAAAATACAAAAATTAGCCAGGCGTGGTCGCACGCGCCTGTAGTCCCAGCTACTAGGGAGGCTGAGCCGGGAGAATCGCTTGAACCCGGGAGGCGGAGGTTGCAGTGAGCTGAGATCGTCTCATTTCACTCCAGCCTGGAAACAGAGAGAGACTCCGTCTCAAAAAAAAAAAAAAAAAAAAAAAAGTCTGCTCAAATTCTGATCTTTTATATTGTTTTGACTCCTCTTCAGAGACAAGAGATGGAAGTTTGGTGTGACAAGTCTTGGAGTTATCTGACTTGGCCATCGATTTAATAGTTGTTCCTATTTTTTTTTTTATCTCACAGTGGCTTTGAATTTAACAATTCTGTGTACTCTGGTCATAACTTTTGATCTTTGAGATTCACACTGTGACTCCACCCATAGGAGGTGCATATGGATATCAAATTACGGAGTTGGATATTAAATTAAAAAGCAATGGGAACCCTTCTTGTAAAGACCATATAGATTTTCATAAATCTTCATAAATTGAGGATGAGAAACCATTCAATACAATTATTGCAAAAACAGTGACTGAGAAAGCAATTAAAAAGTCTCATGATTGGAATATCTGGTTCTAAAAATCATTTTTGCTTAGGATTTTAGGTGCTAGCGTAGTTTAAAATTTATGCTTCATTGTTAATAGAGAGCAATGGAAAAATGGAAGCAAGAATAAAATAAGTTAGAGCTGGAGAAAAAGAAAAGTTTTTAGGAGCAAATTTGGGAAATTAGGACACCAGCTTAAGAGAAATGACATAGAAAATGAGATTTGAAGTTCAAGTAGAGGGAAATAGAGATTCAAGAGGATCTAAATGTTGTATGTCATAGGATTGGTAAAAGAAGAGTTTAAGAGTTTAGTTGTTACTTGATTGAGATAAGGACCTGAGTCAAATTAATCAAAAAGAGAAAGAGGCAAGATCTCAAATGGAATGGCTCCTTGAAAGAGAGTCAGGAAATAGGAAACTGTTAAGAAGTCACTGTTAAGGGATGACGTTAAAGGCAGAACTAAGACTAGGGAAATCTGTTGAACTTACAAAGTGTCATTAGGTGGTTTTCAAGGTAACATAGCCATTATAGATTTTGAACATAGTTACATTTTGTGCCTTGAAGGATTGTGCCCAAAAATTAGGATGCAAGACAAGGCTCAAGCAAGAGGGGCATATTGGAATGAGCCAGGCAAGAAGATAAATTCAGGCTTAAATAGACTAGATGTTGGTCTAATGAGAGAAAAGTTCCTGCATGGAACTATTTGTCTCAGGGAGGAAGAGGGGAAAATATGTGTTTGAATGGTAGATACTTTTAGTAAATTCAGAATTGAGTGATTTCATTGTTATTGATAGAGAAGAAGATTCTGGAACTTAAGAACTAGAGGAGTATGTTAGAAAAAAACTAATGCTTAGAAAAAAAATAAGGTAGTCAAGTATTCATTTCCAGCAAACAGCATTAATGCTATGTGTGTTGGAGAAGAGACCAAATTAATAAAAAGGTTAACCAGTTAGAAATTCAACTTCCTAAGTTGATTACATAGCTAAGAACAGTTAAAACTTTCTGAAAGATAGAAGGATAGAAGAAAATAAAAAGTAGAGGTGTGTTTCATTGTTGCAGAAAAATATGTAGCAGAAAAAAATGCTATTCAAGGTCTGTACAATTTTATGATGAAAGACAGGAGCACATGGAAAAGGAATTAGTTCTCTTTGGGCCCCTGGAGGCTCAGGCTTCAGGATCATCAGTTGCAGCTTCAATTCAGGAATCTGCTGAGAGTGATTTTCCAGCTGAAATAAATAGATGAGAGAGGAGACCCTCCCTGAGGGGCAGGTCACCAGCTTATCAATTCCATAACAAGAAACAGTGGAAAGAACTACTGTAATATAGGATTGAAATATATGGGGCCGGGTGCGGTGGCTCACGCCTGTAACCCCAGCACTTTGGGAGGCCGAGGCGGGTGGATCATGAGGTCAGGAGATCGAGACCATCCTGGCTAACAAGGTGAAACCCCGTCTCTACTAAAAATACAAAAAATTAGCCGGGCGCGGTGGCGGGCGCCTGTAGTCCCAGCTACTCGGGAGGCTGAGGAAGGAGAATGGCGTGAACCCGGGAAGCGGAGCTTGCAGTGAGCTGAGATTGCGCCACTGCAGTCCGCAGTCCGGCCTGGGCGACAGAGCGAGACTCCGTCTCAAAAAAAAAAAAAAAAAAAAAAAAAAGAAATATATGCTTATCAGAGATGGTAGGCTCTGTTTTGTAAGATAGAGTCCACCTTTAGCTGCACCAAAGTGGCAGAAACTGAGGGCTCAGAGAGGGAATGAAAATGAAAGTTTTAAAAACATATTGTAGAGGGAAAATTTTATACTTAATTAAAACCTGGTGAACTTGATTAGAAATTTTTAAACTTTTCTGTAAGGCAGGAATGTCTCAAATGTCATTCTCTGAGAGAGGCAACAGTATACTGAGTGCATTTTACTCCCAGGTAGGATGAATCGTTAATGTCAAAATTATCGTATTGATAGGAGTTTTCAGGATTTTGTGTTACTCACATAAATGACAAGCATCCTGATGAGGCTGCAACCAAGAATATTTTCATGTCCCCTTCTTCCTCTAGATGACATTCAGTTCCGGTTTCTAAGAACACAGTGTGCTTTGGGATAACTCTTTTAGGGTTTGGGAAAGTGGCTGTGTTGAAATTACATAGGTGTGGGGACAGTTGTGTTGAGTACATGTATTCTTTTAGTATTGTTTTTGAACCATACATTTGCGAAGTTAAAACAGATGGAAAAATGTAAATTTGACAAACCTTACTTCTATTCATATATTTACCCATGCCTACAGGTTCTATTTATTTAGTTGTTTGTTGCTTAAAAAAAAAAAACTTGTATAATACTTAAGTGTCCAAATACAGTCCTATGTACTTTGCAAATATTAACTCATTTATATCTTGTATCAACTCTCTGAGGTAAGAATTTCTATACTCCCCATTTTAAAAATAGGCTCGAAAAGGTTTTAATTTGAAAGTGGCAGAAGTAGACTTAGGCAATCTGGCTTCAGAGTCATAAGTAAGTAAGTAATCCATTTAGTAGGTTCTACCATACTATGCATACCTAATGTGTTGTCTTTTAACATGCAGACACATACAAATAGGAATCCATGTTCTTAATTTTTCCTTTTCTCTACAAAAGATAGCAAACTTCACACACTCTGCTCTGTACCTCATTTTTTTTCAGTCAACTGCATGTTTTCAATATGTGGAAAACTTTTCCTCGTTGCATGGAATTAATATTTTGTGATGTGAATGTATCATAAACAGTTTCCTGCTAGTGGATGCTTGCATGTATAAATTCCTAAAAGTAGAATTGCTGTATCAAAAGATAAATGCCTGTGTAATGTTTGTGTATTACCAAATTTCTCCCTGTATATGTTGTACTATTTTGCATTCTTCTTATGGTGTGAGATCTGTTTCGTTAACAGAGTATTATGAAAATTTGGATTCTTGACAATCTGATAAGTGAAAAATATTATCTCAGTGTTGTTTTAATTTGTATTTATTATTTAATAAGAATATGTGAATGAGTTGTATATCTTTGCATTTCTTTAAGGGCCATTTTAATTTCTTCTTCTGTGAAGTGATTTTCATTTTTTTTGACCATTTTTAGGAATTTATTACTGTTATCTCCATTTGAGTTCTAGCTGCTCTTTTTATATGATGGAGTTGAATCTTTTGCCTATCATGTGAGTTTGAAATATTTTTTCTCTAGTGTGTCATTTGTCTTTTGACCCTGATTTTTCTTTTAATATAGTACAATTTATCAGTATTTCCTTCTTTATGTAATGGGTTTTAGTCATTTAGAAATGTCTTTTTCACCCCAGATTTTAAAGGAATTTGTGTGTTTTCATTTAGTACTTCATGGTTTCATATTTCTTTCCCTTTGTACATTTAAATCTTTGATTCAGTTTTAGTTTATCAAAGGTCATAAAAATATGATAGAGATACAGCTCACCTTTTTTTGCAGATGATTATTCTTTTGGCTCTTTACAATGTAGCTAGGAAAAATTTGTCTTTGATGTGATATAATATCTGAATCCCTGGAGGAACTACAGTCATGCATCGCTGAACAGCAAGGATATATGTTCTGAAAAATGCATCATTAGGTGAGTTCATCATTCTACAAACATCATACAGTGTACTTACACAAACCTAGATGGTATAGCTTACTACACACATAGGCTATATAGTATAGCTAATCGCTCCTAGGCTACCGACCTGTACAGGATGTTACTTTACTGAATATTGAAGGTCCTTGTAACACAATGGTCAGTATTTGTGTAGTTAAACATATATAAACATAGCAAAGGAATAGTAAAAATACTGTATGAGATAAAAAATGATACACCTGTTTTGGGCACTTAGCATGAATGAGCAGCCTACAGGACTAAAAGTTGTTCTGGGTGAGGCAGTGAGTGAGTAGTGAGTAAATGTGAAGGCCTAGGACATTACTGTGTACTCCTGTTGACTTTATAAACCCTGTACACTTAGGCTACACTGAATTTATTTAAAAAAAAAAAAACTAAGTAATTGCGCTACAATGTTACAAGGACTACTATGTCACTAGTTGACGTGAATTTTTGAGCTCCATTTTAATATTATAGGACAGTCCATCATTGACCGAAATGTTGTTATGTGGCACATGACTGTATGCCCATTCCAAGTATTAAGAATGCCTCTGAGGTGGCAGAAGAATAAATTCATCATGATGTTTTATTGACTTTTACCTAAGCATTCTGATTTGAACATTTTCAAGGTGTAGCTCATAAGGGCATGAAAATTTGATAATGGACTTTAATTTCTTTGAGTGTTAATGGTTTTTTATTTGAATTTCCAAGGTGATTTAGTTTTTGGACTTAAATTTATTCTTGGGAATTTAATAATTGAAAGGGCTTATTTTCAAATTTGGCCTATCTCTATAATGTTAGAATTATATTCTTGGAATTTCTTAAGTTGTTTGATCTCATTGCAGGACCCTGATGTATTATGCTAGATATATACTTATCATAATTTTTGATAAGACACAGAATTAGAAATCAGTTTTCAGCCTTAGTTATAGAATGACTACAAATTTTTTATTTTTATTTTTATTTATTTATTATTTTGAGACAGGGTCTCCCTCTGTTACCCAGACTGGAGTACAGTGGTTTGATCTGGGCTCACTGCAACCTCTGCCTCCCAGGTTCAAGTGATTCTTGTGCCTCAGCCTCCCGAGTAGCTGGGATTACAGGTGTGTGCCACCATGCCTGGCTAATTTTTGTATTTTTAGTAGAGACGAGGTTTTGCCATGCTGGCCAGGCTGTAGAATGACTACAGATTTGATTTAATTTAATTAATGTAGTTTTGACCTACTTTGGAGAATTCGGGGTTCAAAAATCTTAACTGCTAACAGTGGTCTCAGAAGACAATACCTAAAGTCATAGATGGTGTAGGTGACTCATGAAATGGAAGAAGCAAAGAAGCAATGTCTTGATAGATTGCTGATTCCCTTCTCTGAAGGACAGCCATGCCGACTGACCATAAGCTTAATTATTAAGTCCAGTGGTTTAGTAGAACAAAAATGCTGCAGATTATTGGTATATGGAAGGGATTATAGAATGCTTTCTTTCTTTTTGTGATGTTTCCTTTTATGTGGAAGGTCCACTGTTATAACATGTTTGATCTCTTGACCTAACCTTTATGTGAGTAGTTAAGGGAGTTATATGATCGTCGACTTTAGAAGAAGAAACTAGAACATTGTCCTCCTTTTTTTCTTGGGATTCAGCTGTCCTCAGGAAGTTGCTCTGCTCTTCCATTTTACAGGGGTAAGAGAAGGACTTTCCTCATACTGTGTGCTGAGACTGAGTGGGAAGATCTGTATAATATTGGAAAACCCATTGCTCATAGATGTATTAGGCAGGGTTCTCCAGAGAAACAAAGCTAATAGGATATATAGAGATAGATATAGGAATAAGAAGAGATTTGTTAGGGGAATTGTCTAATGCAATTGTGGAGGCTGAGAAGTCCCATAATATGTTGTCCCAAGATGGGGAACCAAGAAAGCTGATAGTGTTATTCAGACGGACTCCTTAAATGTAAGAACCAGAGGAACAGATTGTGTAACTTCCACTCTAATACCCAAGGCCTGAGGACTCATGGGAGACCACTGATATAAGTCTTTGAATGTGAAATCTGGTGAACCAGAAGCTGCAGTGTTTGAGGGCAGGAGAAGATGGATGTTCCAGCTTAAAGAGAGAGAGAGTTGGCTCACCCTTCTCTGCCATTTTGTTCTGTTGGACCCCCAATAGATTGGCTGACGTAAGTCCGCATTAGTGAGGGTGCAGCTTTACTCAGTTTACTGATTCAAATGCTAATGTCTTCTGGAAACACCCTCACAGACACAACTAGAAATAATGTTTTACTAGCTATTTGGGCATCTTTAAGCCCAGTCAAGTTGACACATAAAATTAATCATACAATAGATTAAACTGTACTATCTAAATTTGTTTTATTAGATGCAGAGGTAATATATTGATCTCATCTTAGGACAACTCCTTTGTATCGCTAAATTGTTTAGAACTTGTGTAGGACTGCCAGTTACTGATTTTTTCTACCCCCAACTCGATCAGAGTGGGAAGCCTATGATAAGGACAATAGGATGATTTATGGGAAATATCTGTTGATTGAGAATGTCTCATAGCTGAGGTGGGAATCAAGTCCATCGGTGAGACCATAACTTTCAATACCTGCTCTAGTAGCAGTCCATGTTTAATATTCATGTTGAGGCAGTGTATGACAGGTTATATCACCCCAAGATATCACAAATAAAATGAACGAGGATCATCTGAATGCCACCCTTCATACCTCAATGTTACATATGCTTTTTCTGAAACCAGAATAAGAAATCACAGGAAAATCTGAATTTATAAGCAGATTGAAGCTTTATGCTAGGCTAGGTAATCAAAGGCAGAAATTATAATAAGATGTAATAATAAAGTTACATATTATACACCTGAAGTTCTAGAACTGCTAAAAATATAAAGTTCACATTATGTTGAGTTTTTAATATTTGTCTTTGTCTTTTTGGGGCTGTTATAACAAAATACCATAATCTGGGTAGCTTATAAGCAACAGTAATTTATGTCGCATAGTTCTGGGGACTGGGAAGTCCAAGACTTAGGTGCCAGCAGATTTGGTGTCTGGTGAGGGCACCATTTGCTTATAAATGACATCTTCTTGCTGTATTCTCACATGGTGGTAGGGACAAACAAGCTTCATTGGGCCTCTTTTATAAGAGCACTAATTTGATTAATGAGGGTGACCTATCAAAGGCCCCCACCTCTTAATATCATCACTGTGGGGGTTAGAATGTCAACAAATGAATTTTGGGGGGAACACAAACATTCAAATCATAGCAGTATTTGTTTTTATTAATTTTATTCTGAATTTGAGGTGCCCCATATCAGTAACAGATTTCTTAATGAGAAATAAGACCCCCCTCCTCCCCTGCCACCAGTTCTTACATTTCTGGTGAGACAGTGAGAGCCAGGTCAGTTGTTCTACTCAAGAAGCCAAACTACCCATGTGAGAACAAGAAAAAACAGATTTTCTCTGCTTATTTAAGGGCAAGGAGGCAGCTGTCCACCTCTCTTTCTGCAAGGGTATCCTTGGAAACATAATGGGCATGATTCCTAACTCCAGCACTTTGGTATGTAAATAAAAATCTCCAGAGGAGCCACATAGCCCTTTGTGTCACAGACCTAGAGATGTCTCCAAGCCCTGGCTCTTATTCTTCCTTAAAATATAAATATCTAGGAATTTTCTGCTCTATGCTTTCACCGAGTAACTAGGTAAACTATCCCAGTATGTAACCTTTTGATTTTGGGAGAGCTAAGTTTAATTTTGGATCAGAACAGTTAGCTCCATCATTAGGGAAACAAATTGCTACAGATTTAATCCTTGTGGTATGTGAAAATGTTTTTATGAGAAATGAAATTAAAGATTTTCTGACTATATAGTGAATATATTTCCATGTTGAAGGAGGCTTGGGCTTTTTATAGGAACACTGAGAAATCTAGGGTTGTTTTATTTCTCCACATATCCAGTACATGACTTTTTGTCATTTGTGCTTCATAAACCTGTTAACACTATACCTGGAGCATAGCAAGTACTCTACAAATGATAGCTATTATAATAATTACTATACTTATTATTTTAAGATGTCAAAAATGCCTGTGTAATTGTTGCAGAAATAATCATTCAAATGGAAAATACTTTTACATTTATTTATTTTATTTATGAAATGAATTTGTGGATGAAATTTAAGTTGGATAAAGTCTATCATGAGCCTGGAGACCTACAGAGAAGAATCTGTACTTTCTCATGAAAGGCCAACTATTTAGCTCATGACTTACAATCTCTCTCTCATTGGCGAAAAAGCACCCACCACATACATAAAGGCACAGATCACACACACACACGCACCCTCCAATTGTTAAGCCTGTCTTCTTGAAGTGCATTTAGATTTTCTCTTAGGGTTTTATCAAAATGGATTTTATGCCTATCTAGGAATTGAGACTGAATCTATTCTCTTACTAGTAGCTAAACTCACTAGTTAGGAGATGATTTCTTGCTTGCCTTACTTAACTCATCTTTTAGATTCTAGTTACAAGGTTTCACATTCTTTTTATTTTCTAATACTGTGACACTTTTTCAAATAAATGGGTACTGAAATCTAGCTTGAAAGACACAATTGCTACAGATGGAATTATTAGCATACAGTATAATATAGTATATTTTAAAGCTATAGTAGTTGAAAAAGGAGAGGGATCAATACAGGTAGGTTGGAGTAATTGTTAATTTTTAGTAGAGGAGAAGGATAATGAGTTGGGCCTTATTTTGTATAAGAGGTAAATAAAGAAGATAGCATATCAACAATGGGAATTGATAAAAACTAAGATCATTTCTTGAACATAATTTGTTAATTTTTTTCTCCACCATAGTAAAATACAGCAATGAACAAATAAGAGGTGATGAACAGTCCCTTCCTTCATGAGGTTACACTATAGTAGGTTTATGGTACACTGTGTTCATTGATTAATTCTATCAGTGAATTTGATAATCTAATTTTATGATCAGGGAGCAGAAAGATATATGCAAAAGGATATAGGGCTAGACCAAAGAGTGCAAATCAGATGCTACAGGCAATGTTTTTAAATAGGGAAGTGAAATAATAGGAAACAGTATTTTATGAATATTTATCAATGGTAAATTGAGTGGACTGGGCACGGTGGCTCACGCTTGTAATCCCAGCATTTTGGGAGGGTGAGGCCAGTGGATCTCTTGGGCCCAGGAGTTTGAGAACAGCCTGGTTAACACAGCAAGACCCCGCCTCTACAAAAAATAAAAAAATAAAAAATTAGCCAGGCATGGTGGTGTATGTTTGTAGTCCCAGCTTCTTGGGAGGCTGAGGGGGAAGGATTGCTTGAGCCCAAGAGAATGAGGTTGCGGTGAGCCATGATCACACCACTGCACTCCAGACTGGGTGACAGAGCAAGACCCTGTCTCAAAAAAAATAATGAATGATGAGATGGAGAGACATTTGAATCAGGATGGCCAATTAGGGAAATACTGGAATAATTTAAGAGTAAATGATAAGAGCATCTAATATAGATTTGGCTTTTGGAGAAGAGAATTCAGAAGAGGAGTCCAAAGTTCTTGTAGACCTAAGTTATGAATGGAATAAAAGAATTAATTCCGAGATAGCTTGAGGATTTGGAGAAAATAATGTAAATTTGGAAGGGAAGGTGGCAAGTTAATCTTTATGCATATTTAGATATGGCCAATGACTATATCCAGGAGAAAAATCCCTTTAGACATTGAATATGTAGTACTGGGATTCTAGGGAGGAGATACAGGTTCAGACTTCTCCAACCTAAAGGTGACAGCAGTCATGAGAATGAGTAAGCCCTTTGTGCTATAAGGCCAAAAATTAGGCTTAGAGGCAGCCCATAGAGAGTTAGAAGGAGAAATGGAGAGGTGGAGGTCAGAGAACATAGCCAGCATAGTTAGGGAAGCTGAGGAAATTATAATGTCAAGTTAATGTGGTTAACAATACCAGATTTAATGTGAGGTAAGAGAAAATGAAGTCTGATAAATTCTCATTAACTTTCTGGTTTAAAATATTACCCAGGGTAGGGGTGAGGTGTTTAGTGGGGGACCTGATCTCTTGTGTCCATGTAAATTTACACTTTAAGCCACTGTCATCTGTTATTGCAGACTGATTTGTCTGATGAATTGGGAATGGGCTATTTAATTTGAGCAGTGGAGAGGAAGGAGGGATAGAAGTATGGAAGGGGATAGGACAGCAGTGCTGAGTTGACAGCCGTAGGGATTACCAAGGGGTGCATGAGACAGAATACTTGAGAGAGAACAATAACAGACTAGTTACTAATTTTGTGTTTTCTGATCATATTGGGGACAATGAAGTACTCTTTATTAGCCACAATTAAAATGCTGTCCGTTGAATGGAAGTAAAGGAAAGGTGACTCAGAGAGACACAACTTTTCTTAATACTCAAGAGGGGACACACTTAGCATTCTCCTGAGACAGAGAGAAAGAATCCAGCTGAGCTGGTGTTGGATTGATTTTTTTGATGTGGATATAGATGAGAAGAAATCTGGAGAGATATCGATTCATTTTCTTTCTTAAGACCTGAAACATTGGTGGTGGGGAGAAAGGAGTTGGAACCTTTATTTTACAAGAGCTGGCAGTTCATGACAGAGCCTGTGGCCTGAGTGACCTGTATTCCCAGACAGTTGCACCTGTCTTGACCCTGTTTGTTCCTGGTTCTGTTGTCTGTGCCCCTGGGGTGAGGCTAACATAGGACATTTGGGAAGCCAGCCATAGTCTACAAAACAAGCCTTCAATTGTCATTTTAATGGGTATACTATTTCACCTTAATTTAATTTCCCTACCTCCAAGAATATATCTTGTTTTGTAAGTTCAAAAGCTGACACATCTTCCAGAGAGACTATTTATTTTCCCTATCTTCTTCACACAAAGGCTGAGATTATTCTTGCAACAGTAATCAAGATCTTCTGTCTTTGGGTTGCAAAGAAAATGCATTCAACTGTACTTGAAAGAGAAAATTGAAATTCAGCTACAGATGATAAAGCACATTCTCCTTCTCTTTCAGTTTTGTCTGTCATATCAGCTGAACTGCATTAACAAAAGCAGAGGGTGCCTGTTGCTTGCTATTGGCAAAAAATACAATATTCATTGTCCAAAACTGTGTATGAGGTGTGTTGTGGTTTACTTCTATTAAGGATTCTTGTTCTTCTAGTCCTTTTTTTTTTCTTTTTTGTTAATTCTAGCATGGTATAAAATGAACCAGGAAAATAGTCCCCAGAGGAAGGTTTTTCCACTAGCTTTAATGGCTGAGCAACTGTGAGTCTTTTAAAAAATGATCAAATCTTGAGTGTGATTGGCTTGCCTATATTCCTATTTTAACAGTTTTACAATGCTGGTGTAATTGTTTTAGGAAACATGTAGACTTATTAGCATATTTAATGCTGGCTTTAATTATTTATTGCATTTATTGGGTATGTAAGTCCTAAAATTGTCACTGGGTACATCTACCAATAGCATAACTGCTACAGTGATAAAAAGCATCTAGAAATAAAAGTAGGTTGGTACTACTGAGATAGAGATTTCCATAAACAAAAGGTGCATTGCAGAATTTTCTTTTTCCCCATTAGACAGTCTCATGGGCATGCCAGTTGTGAAACCATAGTCAAATTTATAGATATGCAAAGGTAAGAATAAAATATGAGTTTATACTCAGGTATACGCAGTAAGTAATTATTTTTAGTCAGCTATATAACAAGAGGCCAGTGACACAAGTCTAGGCAAAATTGTAAAGTAGGAATAGCTTATGTTCGGATACTTGTAGCCTGTGTTTTGTGTGTTTAATAATAACTTCTCCAGAAGCTTCCTTGGTTTTCCTCTCCCCTCCAAATTTACTTATTCTCAAGAAGAGATGAAATGTATTCACACTGAGGTTTAACTGATAATAAAGGTGGTGAAAGTGCAATAGAAAGAACTCTTTGAGACCAACCAGTCCTGGCTTCAAGTCTAATTGTAATTATTTTCTAGCGAAGTTATTTTGCTGAATTTCTCCCTTAGGGAGATCAGGATTTGGTGCAAATGGAAGATTATACAATTTGGGGGGGGCCTTAAAAATACAAAACAATGTGTATAAATTAAGAAAGTGATTATGTGTAATTACACATGAAAATAACAAACTCCAGAAAAACAAATAATTTCTAATTAACTTCCTAATACTTAAAAAAACTTTTATTTTAGGTTTAGGGGTATATGTGCAGGTTTATTATATAGGTAAACTAGCGTCATGCGGATTTGTTGTACAGATTATTTTGTCACTCGGGTACTAAGCCTAGTACCCAATAGTTATTTTTTTTCTGTTCTTCTTCTTCCTCTTACTCTCCACCCTCAAGTAGGTCCCAGTGTCTGTTGTTCTCCTCTTTGTGCCCATGAGTTCTCATCATTTAGCTCCCACTTATGAGTGAGAACATGTGGTATTTGGTTTTCTGTTCCTGCTTTAGCTTGCTAAGGATAATAGCCTCCAGCCCCAAACATGTTCCCACAAAAGACAGGGTCTCATTCTTTTTTTATGGCTCCGTAGTATTCTGTGGTGTATATGTACCACATTTTCTTTATTCAATCTGTTATTGATGGGCGTTCAGGTTAGTTCTATGTTTTTGCTATTGCAAATAGTGTTGCAGTGAACATTGGTGTACATGTGTCTTTATAATAGAATGATTTATAAACCTTTGGGTATATACCCAATAACGGGAGTGCTGGGTCAAATGTTAGTTCTGTTTTTAGCTCTTTGAGGAATCGCAACGCTGCTTTCCACAATGGTTGAACTAATTTACACCACCACCAACGGTTGCTTGGCACAGCTCCAACAATTGCTCAATAACCTCACCAGCATCTGTTATTTTTCAACTTTAAAAAAATAGCCATTCCGACTGGTGTGAGATGCTATCTTATTGTAGTTTTGATTTGCATTTCTCTAATGATCACTGATATGCACCTTTCTTTCACATACTTCTTGGATGCATGTATGTCTTCTTTTGAAAAGTGATTATGTCTTTTACCCACTTTTTAATGGGGTTGTTTTTTGCTTGTACATTTGTTTAAGTTCCTTATAGATGCTGGGTATTAGACCTTTGTCAGATGCGTAGTTTGCAAATATTTTCTCCCATTCTGTAGGTTGTCTGTGTACTTTGTTGATGGTTTCTTTTGCTGGGCAGAAGCTCTTAAGTTTAGTTAGATCCCACTTGTCAATTTTTGCTTTGGTTGCAATAGTTTTTGGTATCTTTTTCATGAAATCTTTGCCCATTCCTAAGTCCAGGATGGTATTGCCTAGGTTGTCTTCCAGAGCTTTTAGAGTTTTGGGTTTACATTTAATCTTTAATTCATCTTGAGTTGATTTTTGTATATGATACAAGGAAGGGGTCCAGCTTCAATCTTCTGCATATAGGTAACCTGTTATTCCAGCACCGTTTATTGAATAGGGGGTCTTTTCCTCATTGTTTGCTTTTGTCAGGTTTGTTAAAGATCAAATGATTGTAGGTGGGCAGCCTTATTTCTGGGCTGTCTATTCTGTTCTGGTACCATGCTGTTTTGATTACTGTAGCCCTGTAATATGGGTATTGAAGTCGGGTAACATGAATATTTTCAGCTTTGTTCCTTTCACGTAGGATTACTTTGGCTATTCAGGCCGTCTTTTGGTTCCATATAAATTTTTAAATGGTTTTTTCTAGTTCTGTGAAGAACATTGTTGGTAGTTTGATGGGAATAGCATTGACTCTGTACATTTCTTTGGGCCGTATGGTCATTGTAATGATATGGGTTCTTCATATTCATGAGTATGAGATGCTTTTCCATTTGTTTGTCTTCACTGATTTCTTTGAGCAGTGTTTTTAGAATTCTCATTGTAGAGATCATTCACCTTCCTGGTTAGTTGTATTCCTAGGTATTTTATTCTTTTTGTGTCAGTTCTGAATGGGATTGACTTCCTGATTTGGCTCTTGGCTTGGCTGTTGTTGGTATATAAGATAATTCTTTTTCTCACATTTTTTAAAACTATATACTCTTTGATTATTTTATGTGACAACATTTTATATCATTGTCTGTAGAGAGAAGAGAAAGATATTTTGACTTTTTTAAAGAAGAAAGATTGGTGCTTTTTGTTAGACTGGAGAAGTTTCTTCTACTTTGCTGCATGTTTTTGGAAATGCCACATTTTTTGACTTTATCCATGGATTCTCACTTAGATTGCTTCTTGTCCATGAATAAGCCTCTAGCATTTTGAAATTTCCTTGTATTCCCTCATTGATGCAATAGCTGCCACAGCTATTGCCACAGAACTCATTCAGGCCTGAATGTATTTCTTAAACATTTATTCAGTGTTTTCTTTCTGCCATTGTGCCGAGTCTAGAGAATAAACAAATGAAGGAGGCATTTCTGCCCTTAGAGAACTCACAGGCTAGTGCAAATGGATATTTTATAATGCAATGTGAACAGTTCAACAGCGAAGTATGTACAAAGGGTATAACTTATCCGTGGAGGGAATTTCAACTGGCTGGTATAAAGCAGACCACTTGTGTAAAATGCTATAAAGGAACAAATTTTTATAGCCAAGTAAGTTGGAAAGACATATAATATTACATATTCCTCTCAGACATTCACAATGCCCTCACCATCATTAAGGCTCTAAGAAGTCCTACACCTAAGAAACCTGTTTAATGGTTTAACTAGGCATTCCTTAACTCTACTTATCCATGTGTTAGTCTGTTCTCATGCTACTACAAAGAAATACCTGAGACTGGGTAATTTATAAAGGAAAGAGGTTTAATTGACTCACAGTTCCTTATGGCTGGGGAGGTCTCAGGAAACTTACAATCATGGCAGAAGGCACCTCTTCACAGGGCAGCAGGAGAGGGAAGAATGAAAGCCATGCAAAGGGGGAAGCCCCTTTTAAAACCATCAGATATCCTGAGAACTTACTATCATGAGAATAGCATGGGGGAAATCCCCCCATTATTCAGTTATGTCCCACTGGGTCCCTCTTGCGACACTTATGGGAACTACAACTCAAGATGAGATTTGGGTGGGGACACAGCGAAACCGTATCGGTCCATGAAAATAATTACTTCCACAACAACGAAAGTCAAAACAGCTAGTGGTCTGGACATAAAATGACCTATTTCACTCCTTATTTTCTGAAGATGTTGAGGCTACTTTGATTTTCTCTGTTGATAAGGAGTCATTTTTTTCTGATTATGGAAGTTTATGTGGGGATGAAGCTCAAGGTTTTGGGTGAAAGAGTCAAGTGTTATTGCATAAATCACCTTGTCAAGTACCCCAAGGTGCAAGGCTCTATCTTCCATATAAGCTGATGGGGAAGTCATTAAAGTAACTCATATGCAAAGAATACATGTCACTACATGTTTCAGTTTCTGTATCATGGCCAAGCCAGTACACACCTCATGTAAAATGTGTCATGAATTTCCTCATGGATAATAGAAGTAAAGATACATGACAGTGATTCAAAACATGTCTGTCTATACTGTCTACATATAATAACTCATGTGACATGTCTGATGTACTTACTCCACTAACCTTTTAAAAATCAATAAAGTTGAATAAACAATTAGTGTAATATTGCTTTTCTTTTCTTTTTAGTCTATACCATAATCTATAACAGTGGTACCAGTGGCCCCGGTAGTTAATATCACAGTCATGAAGACTCACAGCCTATTGTAGCTAGCAAGAGGGAATCCATGACTCCTCTGGGAAGAAAGGTGATCATCTTTTCTTTGACATTGGTATGTTGATCAATTCATTCTGTGGAACCTGTGGGTTGTACTCCAGTAGAGTCCTTAGGATGGTCTCTCCTGAAGGATGCCCAACAGTAGCTAAAAGTAAATTTACCAGAATAGAGTGAAAAGGTAAGGAAATAAATGAATACATAAGATATGTGTTTCGCAGAGCTGGACCAAAAGAAACCTACTTAGATCTGAGGCTCATTTTCTCTTCATTGTGTCAGAATAGTGTGCCTGCAATTTAATTTTGTTTTACAATGCTCACAACCAAGCTTGGCTTGCAGGATGTATTGCCCTGAAACATCTGTGGTCTCTTCAGCTTTTCCTGAATCTTCCGTTATTGCCTAGTGACACAGGTTTGAAGAGAAGGGCAAGAAGCTAGAGTGGATGAAGGGCTAAACAAACTTACCAATAATGGGATGACACTGAATTCACTGGTCTACTACATGTATTTCAAAGGGATGTGGAAACTTCATTTTTATCTAAGGTAGTGTGTTTCCACCAGGGCTCTGAGATCAGAAACAAGACATGGAAACTTTAAGAAGTATTATTCAAAGTTCATTCTCTTAGATAGTTTTTTCAGTTGACTTTTGGGACATCGTTCTCTTACTACTTTCCCTCCTTGCCTCATTGCTGCTCCCTGTCAATATTTTCTGCTAGATCATCTTCTTCATTATGACCTCTAAATGTTGAAGTCCCGAGGCTCTGTCCCTGGACCCTTTCTCTTGTTTAAATGTGTTCACTTCCTACATTATGTTTTAATTACCATCTGTATATGGAAGATTCCCCAGGTTCTATTTATTCCTTGAATCTTTCCCTTGGACATCAGACTCATATTCAAATGTCTACTTAAATATGATATATCCAAACTTGATTTCTTGATCTGCCAAATCTGTTTCTACCATGATGTTCTCTTTCAAGTAAACAGTAACGTCTAGTTACTTAGGTGAGAAATTTTGGGATAATCTCTGTTGTCACTCTTTGGTTCACATCCCACATCGGCAAAACTGTTGGTTCAACAACTTTTGAAGTTTACTCTGAATGTAACCATTCCTCTTCATTTCCACTGTCACCACTTTCATCAAGACAGCATCATCTCTAGCCTAGATTCTTACTTTATCCTTCAACCCCTTGCATTTCGTCTTGCCTCCATTTAGTTATGTTTTACACATGACCAGAAAGATCCATTTAAAATGTAACTATGCTATTATCCTCTGTGCAAAATTCTCTAGTGACTTATTATACTGAATAAAATCCAAAATCC
This sequence comes from Homo sapiens, assembly GCF_000001405.40. Classification (NCBI taxonomy): domain Eukaryota; kingdom Metazoa; phylum Chordata; class Mammalia; order Primates; family Hominidae; genus Homo; species Homo sapiens. Next base: position 46,890,821 of record NC_000004.12, on the reverse strand, counting down.
TTACTATTTCCCAAAGCACTCCATTAGCTGTCCCCAGACTACTGTATCTTTCCTCACTGTTCTCCAAGCATTGTTACTCAATACTTTAAGAACACTCCTTCAGAGTTTTTGCACTTTCTAGTCCCTCTGTCCAGAATGCTCTTTATCCAAATGTTCATATGGTTTGTCCTTTCACTTCTTTAATTCTGTGTTTAAGTGTCAGCTTGTCAGATAAGACTTCACTAAATATCTTGCTGAAAGTAGCATCCTTTCTCAATTTTTCTTAATATTTTTGTTGCCTACATCCTGATAAAATGTAAGATCTGTGAGAGAAGAGACATTGTCTAAATGTTTCATTTGTCCTCTTTTGAATACCCAGAGTATAAAATGTTTTGGCATAGGAACTGAGTAGTCCCTCAGTAAATATTTAGGTAATGAATTAATAAAGCATCAATTGTGTTCTAGGGGTTCCATCTGCTTTACAACAATGCCCTTTCTATTGGCATAGGCAAAAAGAATATGGCCACAGTCAAATCTGTTATAGTTCGCAGCTAGTTGCCAGATCTAGCTTTTAGCAGCTAATCTCTACTAGAACGGAAGCCAAATCCTTGTGATTATGCAAACATAGCATGTACTAAGGAAGGCCTAGACTTACTTTTCTCTTTAAAGACACTAGAGTAACATAAAGCTTTAGGACTCATTCCAGATTCTGCTCAGTGGGAGCTTAAGCCTGCTGTCTGCTTTCTTCATTATTATTAGATCCATTATTTCTGGACCTGAGCTCAGTTGGCCACGTAGGTTAGAGGTGTCAATGCTCAGATGAGTTTCTTACCATTCAGGATGCTGGCATATATTTCTTTTTTGGATAAGTCATTTTTTTTCCCTCATAATAAAAGTAACCCAGACTAGATTCATTAGGAAACATTAGGAAAAAAAAAAAAAACCATACTGAAATGCAGAAAAGTACTCAAAAATTCAACTCCTTGGAAACAACTATTATTAACATTTAGATGAATTTCATATCAGTTTCAGAGTGTGTGTGTGTGTCTGTCATTGTAGTGAACCAAGAATATTTACTGAGCACCTTTGTTCCTGTACTAAGTAAACTTAATTAAAAAGCTGAGAGAATTTGACTTTTTGCCCTCATTATCAGCTACTCCTCAAGAGGCATTCCTTTTGTTTGAAAATTATAGACTTTGTTCTGTCCACATTGCCATTACCCATTGATTGAATGTGTACTTGTCCTCTTTTCATACCTTTCTCACCTCTCTGTGGCTAATATTTGACATACAGTGCTCATGGCAGCCTTGCCTATCTTGCTTCCCCGTTTGTCAATTATTTCTGCTTAGACAAGCCAGAGAAGCATCGGAAAACAGAATTAATCAATGAAAGCTTGAGTTAAAATGTGTGAGAGCATCCCTGACTTGAAGAAGAATGTAGTATTGTGGTGTTAGGTCTGGTTGACATGGAGAAGAGTTGAATGTTAAGACTACTTTGTGACAGTTCCTACATCCAGGGAATAGGTGACAGGCTTATTGTAGGACTACAGTTTGAAATCCAGGCCAGTTGTTAGAAGTCCTAGCCAGAGAAAATGTAGATAATAAGCATAATGGGAGGAGGAAATATGAGAACCATCTATAAAGGTGGTTTAACTAGTTCTATCAAATGGATTTTTCTCCTTAGATTTTTTTAAATTTATCATTATATTTTTAAAATTTAAATTTGCGGACACATAATAGGTGTATATATTTATGGGGTACATGAGATGTTTTGATACAGGCATGCAATGCATAATACTCACATCATGGAAAATGGGGTATCCATCCCCTCAAGCATTTAACTTTTGTGTTACAAACAATCCAGTTACACTCTTAGTTACTTTAAAATGTACAACTAATACATAATCATTGCAGCAACACTGGAAGGTACAGATAAGTAACTGCTCACTTAAAGATATCTGTTGGTGCGTGTTTTGTGGTGTTGGTGGCATACAGAATGAGGGATTACAGGAAGATACAGAATTGGGATTGTAGTAATTATTATAAAAACACAGTAGGGAAGTAATATCAATACAATATAAAATGTTTAAGAAACATAGGCTGGGCGCGGTGGCTCATGCCTGTAATCCCAGCACCTTGGGAGGCCGAGGCGGGAGGATCACGAGGTCAGGAGATCGAGACCATCCTGACTAACATGGTGAAACCCCATCTCTAGTAAAAAAATACAAAAAAATTAGCCAGGCATGGTGGTGGGCGCCTGTAGTCCCAGCTACTCAGGAGGCTGAGGCAGGAGAATGGCGTGAACCTGGGAGGTGGAGCTTGCAGTGAGCCTAGATCGCGCCACTGCACTCCAGCCTGGGCAACAGATCAAGACTCCGTCTCAAAAAAAAGAAAAAAAAAAAGGAAGAAACATAATCTGCCCCTGTCCAGCACCGTTACTTAAATTGTATGTATTACTTTTGTGATTATAAAACAAATCTAATATTTAAAAAAATTAAATTCTTAAATGGGCATGAACAAGCTAGAAATAGGAAACTGGATGGGCCAAGATTTAAATGTGGCTTATTTCCCATAATCGTAAAGGACTGAAGTCTCGGTTGAATGCACCATCTATTACCTGAAGGCACCACTGTGAGATGCAAAAGCCTTTCTCTCAAAGGAGAGCACTGAGTTCTTGTGGCACCTTGAAAGCGACACCGCTTTGCTTCTCCTGTTGAGCTCCTAATGCACAGTACACACCATGCGAGTTATTGCTTATCAGTGAAGTTGTGATCATCACTGTGAAATGTTGTTTTCCAGATGTTTGAGTCATTAAGAGTGGTGTCAGCACAGCAAGCAGGTCTTTCATTTGGGTATCTATACCTTCAGTAGGGGTTGGCAGCCTACTGGTTCTGGCTTGATTAATGGCTCCAAATAGGAGTGAACCATGTCTAGGAGACGACAACAGAATCCATGGCCAACTCCCAACCTTTTTTTCATTTTAGAGGCTGCTTGCAGGGTGCAGAGCAGAATGAGGGAGTTTGGGGGAATAGTCAGGTAGTGACTGCTTGCCTAGTTGGGATGCATTGCCAAATATGACTTGATTGTCTTGTCTCTGTATAGGATACTTCCTTTTTTTTTTTTTTTTTTTTTTGAGAAGGAGTCTTGCTCTGTCACCCAGGCTGGAGTGCAGTTGCACAATCTCAGCTCACTGCAAGCTCCGCCTTCCGGGTTCATGCCATTCTTCTGCCTCAGCCTCCCGAGTAGCTGGGACTACAGGCGCCTGCCACCACGCCCGGCTAATTTTTTGTATTTGTGGTAGAGATGGGGCTTCACCGTGTTAGCCAGGATGGTCTCGATCTCCTGACCTCGTGATCAACCTGCCTTGGCCTCCCAAAGTGCTGGGATTACAGGTGTGAGCCACTGTGCCCGGCCAGGATATTTACTTTTTAAAGTAGTTTTATGTACATGATCTTAGATGAATCCTCCAGGACTGAGCCCTGGGTAGTAGGATGCATTCAGATGAAGGTCATGTGGTAATATTTTTCTGTTTTCTCACAGTTGTCAAACCAGCTAGGACAAAATAAAGTTCTGCTTCTTAAAAGAATGTGTTTGCTTTTTTGCCCATACCCTTTAGGGTGGGATACTAGTATCTTTCAATGGAAAATGTACATGAAAATGTATTCCTTAAAATGCTTCTCAGAAAACAGATGGGAAGATTAGGAAGGAGAAATGGGATTCGTTCCCTCTCTTCTTTCTTTTTTTCCTTTCTTCCTATTTGATTTTTATTAAGCCTTCCTTAATGTGAGGCACACATAATAGTTAGAATTGTAATACAAATTGTTTTTAAAAGGCCTTTATATTTCACTTTGCTGAGAAGCTTCCTGTGTCGAGTTTAAAATATGTCTGCGATTTTTTTTCCACACCAATTAACAGTCTGTCCAGTAGGTGGACTCCTTCATGTACACATAAGGGTTTTCTCTTTCCTTTATCAAGTGTTCCTTAAATCTGTGAAAAGGCATTTTTGCATATTGAACTAATGGTTTCACCAATTTATTATCTGAAAGGCTGAAAATAGATTCTGAGATTCTGCTTACTTCTGTTTGAGAAAAAAATTCATGTTTAGTTACTTTTATCTTTCCCTTTGTTTTTGTTCTAACATATATTCTGACATTTTTATTTTTTAATCAGGGATATTTTAAAGAAACTAGTTGCTTTTCTTAGGTCAAACTTTAAGATTTATATCAAATTCTTCTGAACAAATTACATTTCTGAGCTTATATTCAACACAATATACACAAAGGACTAAATTAATTATACTTGTGAGAATAAGAGTTGTTTAATGAGTATGAAAATACGCTGGATAGAAGGAATAAGTTCTTGTATTCGATAGTACAATAGGGAAATTATAGTTAACGATAACTTATTGTATACTTCAAATCAGGTAGAAGAAAAGAATTGCAAAGTTCTCCACACAAAGATAAGATGAATGTTTGAGGTGGTGGATATCTTAATTACCCTGATTTAATCATTACACATTGTATATATGTATGAAAATATCACATGTACTCAAAAGTTTATACAACTATGAAATATCAATTAAAATACATTTTTATGGTCTCCATAGTTTTCTACATTTTGTTTTTGAGTGCTTTTAAGAATGCATTTTATACAGAAGAATCTGAATGAGTCATTTTTAACCTGATCCCTGTAACTACCTAAAGTCAAGTGGCTTTGGCAGTTTCTTTGCCTGCCTTCAAGGGCATTGGGGCAAGTACAGATTAATATTATTAATTAGCCTTCTTTTCTTCCCAAATCTTTACTTTTCACCCTTCTCTTTTGAAAATCTACGTTATCATTGGCTTGTAGGCAGTAAAATGTCTGCATGGTGAAATTTTCAATAGTTGATTCAATACATTTATTCTAACATGAAAAATAAACTCTTGACCTGGAAACTCAGTTTTGGAAAAGCCTCATTTAGGTAACCTTGTATACTGTTTCTCTGTGACTAGGCCAGCAATGATAGACTGTTACTCAAAACTAACCTTTGCTAAAAATTCATTGCCTTCTTATATATTACAGTTTCTACATCCACCGGAAGAATTATATGTTAAGATAACTGAAAGAATTAAATGCTTAGATAAATGAGAAAAAAACCCACCTGGTTTCTGAATAATCAAGCGCAGTTTTGATGCTTTTAATCTAGATTTTTAAATTGTTGAAGAGAAAGGTTGTATCTTGTTCATATTTATGTCTCTCCTGGCATCTGATATCAAACATGGAGGTATAATATCCTGCCTATAATCACTGGTCAGCTGATGTTTCTTGAATAGAATGGGGTATGTTTATTCATTTCATAAACAAAATCAGTAAGGTGCTGCGCAAATACAAATCTACAAAATCATTTGGAACTTGTTTATATGTTTACTTATCCAACTGCACTATTACATATATATGTATATGCTATTTCTCCTTGAGAAGAAGAGGAATGTTTCAAAATTTTTTATATTTCTATTACCTACTACACAGCTTTATACACAGCAGCATTTATTAGGTGTGTGATTATATGCGTGTTTTATTTTCCCTGCTAAAATATAATTTTCTAATAAGTATAATGAGTTTTAAATTCACATTTATATCCAGTAGTGCCTTATATATTATAATTTTCAATAAATGTTGTGAAAGGAGTGGGAAACGGCCACAAGTCAAAACAAGACTTGGATGTAATAATAATGAAAATAATATAAACACCAATATTAGTGGCAATATATCCTAAATTAGCAAATAAAGGAAAATTATGTTTGATGTATTTTTATCTCTGTGATTTATATGTATTGGCATTTCTTTTTTACAATACATGTTTTCTGAAAAATTACAAACAAGTTTATAAAAAAACAGATGGGGCAGACAATTGAAAATCAGGGCATTAACAAAAATATTACAGTCCCCAATAAAAATGCTAGCATAATAAAAAAAAAAAAGCAAACAGATCAAATAGATTGTTTGAAGCCAATATTCAATACATTTAGAACTTCATCACAAAAGAAAGTTGAAAGTAATTTGACAGAAGGAGATGTGAAGAAGGGTTGAGGCTGCTAAGCCAAGGAGACAAGGACAACATTCAAAAAGATTAAGAAAACTGCTCAAAAAACACTTCCAAAACAGAGCAATAAAAGGAGCCAAAGAAAATAAAAAGGGATGAATGGGCAATGTGAATATGACAGTATTCCTCCCTGGCTTGCTGGGTTCATCTGCTGGTACTTGATAGCATAAAACATTAATGTGTTGGGGAAACAATCATGGATAAACTAATCTGATTTCTGTGTTATACTAACAGTACTCCACTATTTACTGATCACATATGAGCTAATTTTTGTGATAAAACTCAGTGAGTAGAATATTTTCTGTTGCTTCAAAAACTGAGATAATACAAATTGGAACCTTCTATTAATCAGAATAATTAAGGACATCATTAGAGAACAGAAACTTTTCTTAAAAAGGAAATGCAGTCTGGCCATGGTGGCTCATGCATGTAATCTCAGCACTGTGGAAGGTTGAGGCAGGAAGATTGCTATGAGCCTAGGAGTTCCAGGCTGCAGGGAGCTATGGTGGTGCCACTGCACTCCAGCCTGTGCTACAAAGTGAAACATTGCTTCTAAAACAAACAAACACCACCACCACCCCCCAACTGGCCCCCTCACACATAATTAGATATGCTTGGGAATTTTGACTCTTGGGCTAGTTATTGAAGTTCTTGGAGGTTTAGATTTCTCATTTCTAAAATGGGAACAGCAATACTTAGAAATAATTGAAGACAGGATATTATATAATTTATCCATTCATTTGTTATGAAAAATGAAGATTCAAATTCAGCTCTTCTGATTTTTACTGCATAACACTGAAATTGTCATTCTATACTTTAAGTACCTACAAAGGATTCTCCAGACTAGTTGTAACATCATGTTTCCAGGATGATTTATAAGGAGAAGAGACAAGATAATGTTTGAAACTTCATTCTGAAAGCAGGTTATTTAAGTTTTGAGACCTTGACAAGAATTTAAAATTAATGTTCAGGTTTTTTTTTTTTTAAAGGTTTATTCTGATTAATAGAAGATCTCACTCTGTCGCCCAGGCTGGAGTGCAGTAACACAATCTTGGCTCACTGCAAGTGCAATCTTGGCTCACTGTAACATTGACATCCCAGGTTCAAGCAATCCTCCCACTTCAGCCTCCCGAGTAGCTGGGACAACAGGCACGTGCCACCATGCCTGGCTAATTTTTTTGTATTTTTGGTAGGGTCGGGGTTTTACCGTGTTGCCCAGGCTGGTCTCAAACTCCTGAGCTTGGGCGATCCACTCGCCTTGGACTCCCAAAGTGCTGAAATTACAAGCGTGAGCCACCATGCCCAGCCAATTAAATATTTAATACTGAGTTGATAAATAAGAATTTTTCAGAAAATACTAGTGCAAAAATTAAAAAAAAATACAGAAAGGGAATTCTGAAAAGGCCAAATTAGTGAGGTTATTTATGTAAATTAAGCCAGACAATCATGACTTCTACCAAAATACCAGATCTACAAAGTATTTAGGTAAATAAATGATTGGGATTGTCAAAGCAATTGAAAGCAAATGATAATGTCCTTCTCATGGTTAAACATTTCCTTCCAGAATTAAAACATTTAATCTACATATGATGCCAAAATAATTATACTCAGTAGTATTGCTACCGGCTTTACCTATGATTCAGTCTTACATATTAAATTGGTTTTGATTATTTTCATTAAATGTTTAATATGGAGATTTTATTTCTCATTGCCTATCAATATAAGAAAAAATTAATCTTAACTTATAAAATCATAGCCTTCAAATTGTTACCTAGCTGAAACATATTTATTAAACATATGTGTGAAATTAAGTCTCTTTCCCATTGCAAAATTTATCACAAGTAATATGGAATAGTGTAGATATATAGTGATAATGATTTGTGGCTTAAATTCACGTATGGTGGACTCATTTTGTCTTACAAATCAGAAGACTCATGAAAAAAATTTAATAAATAAAACATCACAGTGGAAACACACATTCTTTATGTAATAAGTAACTTTAGAAATATGTAGTTGTTAAAAAATTTGGGTCAACCAGTAGTATGCTGTCCTCAAGAGACCCATCTCATGTATAATAACACTCATAGGCTCAAAATAAAGGGATGAAGGAAAATCTACCCAGCGATCAGAAAACAGAAAAAATCAGGGGTTGCAATCCTAACTTTGGACAAACCAGATTTCAAACCAACCAAAATAAAAAAGACAAAGAAAGGCATTACATAATGATAAAGGGTTCAGTTTAACCAGAAGACCTAACTATGCTAAATATGTATGCATGCGATGCAAGAGCACCCAGATTCATAAAGCAAGTTGTTAGAGACCTACAAAGAGACGTAGATTCCCACACAATAATAGTAGAAGACTTCAACACCCCACTGACAGTATTAGTACAGATCATCAAGGCAGAAAATTAACAAAGATTCAGGACCTGAACTCAACATTGGACCAGATGGATCTGATAGACCTTTACAGAACTCTCTACCAAAAAACAACAGAATACACATTCTTCTCGTCGCCAAATGGTACATACTCTAAAATTGACCACATAATTGGACCTAAAACAATCCTCAGCAAATGTAAAAGAACCAAACCATACCAAACACACTCTCAGATCACAGTACAATAAAAATAGAAATCAAGACTATGAAAATCTCTCAAAATCATGCAGTTACATGGAAATTAAACAATATGCTCCTGTATGACTTTTGGGTAAATAATGAAATTAAGGCAGAAATCAAGAAGTTCTTTAAAACTAATGAGAACAAAGATACAACGTAGCAGAATCTCTGGGACACAGAAGTCAGTGTTAAGAGGGAAATTCATAGCACTAAAGGCCCACATCAAAAAGTTAGAAAGACCTCAGGTTAACAGTGTAACATCACAACTGAAAGAATTAGAGGAGAGTCAAGAAAAAAACCTCAAAGCTAGCAGAAGACAACTGTGAAAGGAAAATATCTTGGGCCCCCAAAATCACTAAAGAAAACTCAAGCTGGAAACTGCTTAGGGCAAACATGCCTCCCATTCTGTTATTATTATTATTATTATTTGAGATGGATCTATCGCCCAGGCTGGAGTGCAGTGGTGTGATCCTCAGTCTCCTTAGTAGCTGGAATTACAGGTGCACTCCACCACGTCTGGCTAATTTTGGTATTTTTTTTTTTATTAGAGATGAGGTTTCACCATGTTGGCCAGGCTGGTCTTGAACTCCTGACCCCAAGTGATCCACCCACGTCGGCCTCCCACAGTGCTGGGATTACAGGCGTAAGCCACCATGTTCAGCCGCCTTCCATTTTATTCAAAGTCACCCCTCTGCTCACTGAGATAGGTGCATATCTGATTTGTATCCTTTGGAAAGGCTAATCAGAAACTCAAAAGAATGTAACCATTTGTGTATCACCTGTTTGTGACCTGGAAGCTCCCTCCCTGGTTTGAGTCTTCCTGCCTTTGCTTCCAGTTGTCCTGCCTTTCCAGACTGAACCAGTGTACTTCTTACATGTATTGATTGGTGTCTCATGTCTCCCTAAAATGTATAAAACTAAGCTGTGCCCTGACCACCTTGGGCACATGTCGTCAGGTCTTCCTGAGGCTCTGTCATGGGTGCATCCTCAACCTTGGCAAAATAAACTTTCTAAATTAATTGAGACCTGTCTCAGATTTCCTGGGTTCAAACAAGAAATAACAAAAATTAGAGCTGAATTGAAGAAAATTGAGACATGAAAAAACCATTCAAAAGATCAATGAATCCAAGAGTTTTTTTTTTTTTTTTTTATTATACTCTAAGTTTTAGGGTACATGTGCACATTGTGCAGGTTAGTTACATATGTATACATGTGCCATGCTGGTGCGCTGCACCCACTAATGTGTCATCTAGCATTAGGTATATCTCCCAATGCTATCCCTCCCCCCTCCCCCAACCCCACCACAGTCCCCAGAGTGTGATATTCCCCTTCCTGTGTCCATGTGATCTCATTGTTCAATTCCCACCTATGAGTGAGAATATGCGGTGTTTGGTTTTTTGTTCTTGCGATAGTTTTTTTTTTAAAGGAATAAAATAGATTAGCTAGGCTAATAAAGAACAAAAGAGAGAAGATCCAAATAAACACAACTAGAAATGATGAAGAGAATGTTACCACTGACCCCACTTAAATAAAAATTGCCATCAGAAACTACTACGAACACCTTATGTACACAAACTAGAAAACCTAGAAGAGATGGATACATTCTTGGACACATGCACCCTCCCAAGACTGAGCCATGAATAAATTGTCTTCCTGCATAGGCCAATAATGAGCTCTGAAATTGAGTAAGTAATAAATAGCCTACCCAGAAAAAAAAAAAAAAAAAAAAAAGCCCAGGACCTGATAGATTTATGCTGAATTCTACCGGATGTATTATAGAAAGAAGAGTTGGTACCATTCCTACAAAAACTATTCCAAAAAACTGAGAAGGAGGGACTCTTCCTCAGCTCTTTCTATGAGGTCAGCATCATCTTGGTATCAAAACCTGGCAGAGACACAACAAATAAAGGAAACTTCAGACCAGTATTTTTTATGTACATTGATGCAAAAATCCTCAACAAAATAACTTGTAAACCGAATCCAGCAGCACATCAAAAAGTTAAGCCACCATATTGAAGGAACCTGCCTCAAAACAGCAAGAGCCACCTACGACAAACCCACAGCAAACATTACACTGAATGGGCAAAGTTGGAAGCATTCCCATGAAAACCGGCACGAGGCAAGGATGCCCTCTCTCACCACTTCTATTCAAGACAGTATTGGAAGTCCTAGCTCAAGCAGTCAGGCAAAAGAAAGAATATACTCATGTAATTGTATCTCTCTACAGAGGAAAAAAACTGTGAGTTCTCATTAATACAGAGAACACCAGTCCAAAACCACAGCATTTATTTTGTGTTAATTAGTGGCACTTTCTGGGTACAATAAAGAGTTGTCATTACAAGGATCCTGAAGGATTGGAACGGCACTCCTTCAAATGAACTATAAAAACAAAATATGTCTCAATTGGCTTTTTTTTTTTTGAGGTCTTCGTTTTCTTTGATAAATCCATCAAGGATTCATCAAAGCGGTACAATAAATGTATTGAAGAGGTACAATAAAAGAAAAACTTGCAATTATAAAACAGATAAAGATTATGCAACATACTCTAATGGATCATCATTTAGAAAAGATCAAGGAGAGGTCTCGGTGTGGTGGCTCCAGCCTATAATTTACATTTCATTGGCCTATAATCTCAGCACTTTAGGAGGCTGAGGTGGGAGGAACGCTTGAGGCCAGCAGTTCAAGACCAGCCTGGGCAACATGGTGAGACCCCATCCCTATGAAAAACTTTTTAAAAAATCAGCAGGGCAGCGAGCCGTGATCACACTGCTGCACTCCAACCTGAGTGACAGTGTGAGACCGTGTCTCAAAAAGAAAAAAAAATTAGACACAGTGGTACATGGCTATAAGTAGGACTTACTGGTTAGTCTTTGGAAGACTAGAGGCTACTTGGAAGGCTGAGTTAGGAGATCACTTGAGCCCAGGAGTTCAAGGTCAAGGCATCAGTGAGCTATGATCATGCCATTGTACTTCGTCTGGGCAAAAGAGTAAGATCCTGTCTCAAAAAAACAAACAAAAAAAATCAAGAAAAGGAGAAAAAAATCACGGCCTTAGTTCATTATGTCCAGATATACTAAATATACTTGCACCTTAATAGTAAGTTGAGAGTCAGTCAGAAAAGTGTCAAGTGACCTATATGTTGTTTACCTACAATCATCTTTGAGCATGAACTGGTTTAGTAATATAATCTTGAGTCTTAGCTGAGCACATGTCTGATTGGCTAAGACTGTAAGTCCTTGCCTTCTTTGTTAGGCGTGTCTGTGTGGTTAAGTTCTGGCCAATGAAATGTAAGTAGAACTAGTGATGTAGGAAGCCTCTGAGTCATGCCCTCAGAGAGAAGGGGTAGACTTTTACTTCACCAGCTTCCCAGGTTTCTGGAATGTGGATTTGATAAGGAAAGCTAGAGGAATCATAGTTGCCCATGAGGTAGAAACCAAATATTGAGGAAGACGGAGCGTTAAGATAATAGGAAACTGAGTGGTTCCTGACACTTTACAGCCAACATATTTTCCCTGGACTCTTTATGTTAAGATTATGATGTGGGAAATAAATTTGTTTCTCTCTTGGCACTAAATTTTTGGGTCTTTAAAACATGTTATTGTATGTATTTAAGATCTAAAATGTAATGTGTATATATGTGTCTATATATATATATATATAATAGTGCTAACTTATGTATATGTAGTAAAATGATTACTACAGTCATGCAAATTATCCTATCCATCACCTTTTTTTTTATGGTAAGAGCACCTAAATCTACTCTTTTAGAAAACTTTTAGTATACATTAGAATATTATGAACTATAGTCATTATGCTATACATTAGATCTCTAGATTTAGTCATCCTATATAACTGAAAGTTCATACCCTTTGACTTTTTTCTCCCCTTTTCCTTACCTCCTCACCCCTGGTAACCACTGTTCTACTGTTTCTATGACTTTGATCAATTTTTTTTTAAAAAAACTTCCGCATATAAGTGAAATCACACAGTCTTTCTTTCTGTGTCTGGCTTATTTTACTTAGCATAACGTCCTCCAGGAACGTTCATGTCATAGAAAATGGCAGTTATTACCTTTTTTTTTAAGGGTGAGTAATATTCTTTGTGTGTGTGTGTGTGTGTGTGTATGCACTACAATTTCTTTATTCATTCATCCATTGGTGGACATGTAAGTTGTTTCCATATCTTGGCTATTGTGAACTGCTGCAGTGAACATGAGAGTACAGATATCTCTAAAGGGTGCTAACTTCATTTCCTTTAGGTATATACCCAGCAGAGATATTGCAGGGTTATGTGGTTGTTATGGTTTTTGTTTTTTAGGAACCTTCAAACAGTTTTCTGTAATGTCTGTATCAATTTACATTCCCACAAACAGTGTACCAGGGCTCCCTTTTCTCCATACCCTCACTCATATTTATTATTTTTTGACATTTGGTATTTGGTATACCTATTCTAACAGGTATGGGGTGGTATATCACAGTGGTTTTGATTTGTACTTCCTTGATTATTATTGATGTTGATGCTTTTCAAACACCTGTTGGCCTTTTTGTGTCTTCTTTGGAAAAATGTCTATTCATGTTCTTTGCCCATTTTTAAATTGGGTTTCTTTGTTAGTAGAACAGCTTAATTCCTAAGATACATGTAATAACTATACCAGGATCTATATCTGTGTAAAGACAACTAGATGTGAGTAGAAAAGTTTGCGGTCACAATGTCCTCCTATACCAAAGAAGAAAAGATTAACCAGCAGTGAAAGACAAATATGTTAGGCATTTTAAGGAGAGTGAAAGATGTTTTATCCAGAGACATGTCTTAGTAAATAAGAAAGCCTTGGTTTTGGACGCAGATGTCCTTGAATTTGGCTATGAAACCTCAGCTCAGTCACATAACAAGCTAGCACTATGTTTCCTCATGTGTAATATGGTAATACTTATTACTTATTCCATATACTCATCTCCCACCTCTTGTCCTCTACTTACCACTCCCTGATACACCAAGTTCAGAGTAATGTGCACTTTAATTCATGTCTATTTTGTATTTAGGAATTTTAGATCATTTTGCCATCTGTCATACTAGAACTGAAACTGGGTTTTGAGAGTCGTTCGATTCTTACTGCTAATGGTTTTAGTTCAAAAACTTAACATTGTGAACTCAAAGTGATAATATGATTTCTTTCCAGACTCATCACAGATTTGTTTATGTAAAGTTTGGTAAATTTTTATATACAAAAGTAGCTGTTGCCAGAAAAATATCAAGTAGCTTTAGCCTTTAGCGAAACTCATACTTGACAAAGTCTCACAAAGATTTGTAATGTAATGACAAAGGAGAATATTGACAGTTGGACTTATCTTTTAATTCTCTCATCTTAACACAGCTGAGATTTCTCCTTTTTTTCTATTCTTGTTTTAGAAAATGAAAAGCTTTCTTAAGACAATAGGACGGGCCGGGCGCGGTGGCTCATGCCTGTAATCCTAACACTCTGGGAGGCCGAGGTTGGCGGATCACGAGGTCAGGAGATCGAGACTATCCTGGCTAACACGGTGAAACCCTGTCTCTACTAAAAAAATACAAAAAATTAGCCAAGCGTGGTCGTGGGCTCCTGTAGTCCCTGCTATGTGGGAGGCTGAGGCAGGAGAATGGCGTGAACCCAGAAGGTGGAGCTTGCAGTGAGCGGAGATGCGCCACTGCACTCCAGCCTGGGCGACATAGCGAGACTCCTTCTCAAAAAAAAAAAAAAAAAAAGACAATAGGACGGACTCTGTGTTTGAAACTGAAAATCAGAGGATCATTCTTCCCTTTATAAAGAGATACAATGAAATATTATTTAAATATCACCATCTGGTATATTTAACCTACAGTTTTATTTATAAAAATGTTACCTCTAACTTTTTCAGAGCACATAGATTTGCCCCATGCATGTCTCTTAGGCAGTCAATAATCTATCCCTGGTAATTGTACAGCTAGTACAGTTGTATTTTTAAAACCTTTTGTTCTTTTTAAAGCATATCATGTTGAGTTTACTTTGCATCCATAAGATGTAGTGTGTTTCCAGCACTGACAAAGCACTGTGGTTAATATGAAAAAAATTGCATAATGAATATTCATGTCTTCAATTGTTTTATAATCTATTTGGACTAACAGTAGTTCCATAGGAGAAACAATGCAGAGCAGCATATAAACTTCACTGAATTACTCTATGTAGTATAAACTCAGAGAAAAGTAAGACCGGTGGGCTATAGTAGTTGAAATTTTAATAGAATTTATAACACTTCAGTTGTTCAGAATTAATAGAATTTATAACACTTCAGTTGGCCTTGGAAGACAGGTAGAATGTGGACAGGTGAAGAGATGGAAAAAGTAGAAGAGAACATTAGGAAAGTCACCAAGCAGAGTGACATGGGCTACGGGGGATGAAAAGGAATGTGTCCTGATGGAAGCAGAATTTAGTTGGGAAGTCATAGGACGTTAGATTGATAACTAAAATGGGATGCTGTTTCCCAAGCCTTGGAAACCTGTCAGTGTAGGGAGTATGGGCCTTTTCCCATAATCACTAGAACCACGGTATGAACTTGCACAAGATTGTGACATGATGAAAGTGGTATTTTAGGAAATTTAATCTAGAGGATGTTTATAGTGTGCATTGGATGTGGCAAAAACTGTCATTAGGCAGTAAAAATTAGCTGAAATTGTTCAGAATTGAGCTATGATGTTAAGGATTGAAAAGATGGAACAATTTTGAGCTCTTTTCAGGGACAACTGAGAATACAGTATGAAGAAAAAATGCAAAGGGTTAAAACTGGCTCCAGAAGCTACTGGGCAAAATTAGTGCACAATACTTTTTCTATTTGAAAGAAACATGTTAAAATCCAATGTTTTACCTGCCATTGAGTTTAAAATGCCTTTAATTTCCTTGTTTAGTAATTATTGTTCCATAACATTTCCAAAAAATCTACAAAATTCCTATTTAAAAAGCAAAACAGAAAAATTACAAAGAACTGGTAGTGAAAGGTTAGAAACACATACTTGTGCAGAAGGTATCTTTATATGTAGGGTAGCAGTTACCAACAGGCAGATGTTTGTTCTAGATAAGTTATGCAGCCTTATTACCCAGCCACAGTCCTGGAAACAAAGGGGGAGGTGTGAAGCATTTTTAATAAGCAGTACTAGGTGGCAGGAATGAGCCTGTAATTTTCAGAGAATTACCTCAGAGACCAGCCTAGTAACAGCAGACCTCTCAGGTAGAAAGCAGATTGGTTAAATACAACTATGATTATACGTCTATGTACAAACAAAAACAACAAAAGGAAAACAATAAGGGTAGATTTGCATGTGTCAGTCTTACAAAAATATCAATGTTGAGAAAAATTTCCAGAAAACATCTACCCAGTTTGCAGGAATTTGGCCAAGTATACATTTTTTTTTCCTGACATTTTAAAGTAGTTTATCTAGTCTACATAGATAAATATTGTGTGCTTTCAAAATGCATCAGGGACTATATAAAACCTATGTATCAAAACATAAACTTGATTTCGAAATATGATTAATGTAACTGAGAATATACTCTGCTCTTGGAACAAAAAAAACCACACAAGAGAATTGATATGATGGTCCATATGTTCTTTGGTAGTTACAGAAATGGAATAGAAAATGAAGAGCAGATAAGTTTCAGCTTGTTGTTTGTTTTTTGTTTTGCACATTAGATGTAGCAATTGAAAAAGCATATTCCCAGTGAAGATTTCAGAGGTGAAATTCTACTCACCACTTCATTCCTTTGGGAACCTCTTGTATCTTCACTGCGACTAAAAACACTTCAGCTTTGCCTGAAGCATATTTTGTGGTTCTTAAAAATAACATGAATTTAAGCAAATTCTAAATTTTTTCTTCTTCCCAACCATGTTGCTCGTACTTAAATAAAACATACATTTTTGATTTTGGTCTTATGTTTTAAATTATGCATGTATTTTGGTCTTCAAGGAAATCTGAGCTGAATGCCCATGCTTTCTTTTTTTAAAAAAAAGACAACGAAATGTATGGATATGCCAAGTTCCCAAACTCAAGATACAAAGAGAATTATAATCTGCAAGCCAATAGATTTTTCTGCATAGGGTCCATGATCTTTTAATCCCATTTACCCATTGGACATCAATTTCAGTCTCCTGATAATTTAACTAGTAGAATGGCACTGTGGCTTAAATAACAAAGAAAATAATACCTCTACTTAAAAAACACTGCATGTTCTCACTCATAGGTGGGAATTGAACAATGAAAACACTTGGACACAGGGTGGGGAACATCACACACCGGGTCCTGTCATGGGGTGAGGGGAAGGGGGAGGGATAGCATTAGGAGATATACCTAATGTAAATGTTGAGTTAACAGGTGCAGCACACCAACATGGCACATGTATACATATGTAACAAACCTGCACGTTGTGCACATATACCCTAGATCTTAAAGTATAATAATTAAAAAAAATAGTAATAGCAAAATTTATTAAGCTCCTACCATATTCTAGGTGATTTATGTATTAATTAAATTAATGCATCCAACAGATATATGAAAAAATGCTCATCTTCACTGGTCGTTAGACAAATGCAAATCAAAACCACAATGAGATACCATCTCATGCCAGTTAGAATGGTGATCATTAAAAAGTCAGGAAACAACAGATGCTGGAGAGGATGTGGAGAAATAGCTTTTACAGTGTTGGTGGGAGTGTAAATTAGTTCAACCATTGTGGAAGACAGTGTGGCGATTCCTCAAGGACCTAGAACTAGAAATACCATTTGACTCAGCAATCCCATTACTGGGTATATACCCACAGGATTATAAATCATTCTACTATAAAGACACATGCATACGTATGTTTATTGCGGCACTATTCACAATAGCAAAGACTTGGAACCAACCCAAATGTTCAGCAATGATAGACTGGATAAAGAAAATATGGGCACATATACACCATAGAATACTATGCAGCTGTAAAAAAGGATGAGTTCATGTCCTTTGCAGGGACATGGATGAAGCTGGAAACCATCATTCTCAGGAAACTAACTCAAGAACAGAAAACCAAACACTGCATGTTCTCACTCATAAGTGGGAGTTGAACAATGAGAACACATGGACACAGGGAGGGAAACATCACACACTGGGGCCTGTTGGGGGGTGGGGGGCTAGGGGAGGGATACCATTAGGAGAAATACCTAATGTAGGTGACAGGTTGATGAGTGCAGCTAACCACCATGGCGCATGTATACCTATGTAGCAAAACTGCATGTTCTGCACATGTACCCCAGAACTTAAAGTATAATAAAAAAAAATTAACACCAAAACCCTATGAAGAAGTTAGCATAATTATCCCCATTTTGTGGATGAGGGAAGTTAGGCACAAAATGAATCAGTAATTTGTCCACGTCACACACCTAGGAAGGGGCAAAGACATGCACTCAGATTCTGACATTCTGACCTCTGAGATCATTTCCTTAATGCTATGCAATAGAACTGCTCTATTGACATAATTTGTGAGGAATTGCCTTCCTGAGATAGAATTAAGAAGCAATGATGATGAAGGACAGGTAAGCCCCCAAATTGTAGTTTAGCTTGGGATAGTTCTTGGCTTTGCTTGGGAAAGAATTCAAGAGCCAGTTGTATTTATCTATTTATTTATAACTTTTATTTTAGGTTCAGGGGTACATGTGAAGGTTTATTACACAGGTAAACACGTGTAATGGGTTTGCTGTACAGATTACTTCATCACCCAGGAATTAAGCCTAGTACTCAATAGTTACGTTTTCTGCTCCTTTCCTTCCTCCCACCCTCCACCCTCAAGTAGGCACCAGTGTCTGTTGTTTCCTTCATTGTATTCATAAATTATTATTATTTGGATCCAGTTTATAAGTGATAACATGTAGTATTTGGTTTTCTGTTCCTGCATTAATTTTATGAGGATAATAGCCTCCAGCTCCATCCTTGTTCCCACAAAAGACATGATCTCATTAATTTTTATGGCTGCATAGTATTCCATGGTGTATATATACCACAGTTTCTTTATTCAGTCTGACACTGATGGCCATTTAGATTGATTCCATGACTTTGCTATTGTGAATAGTGCTGTAATGAACTTTCACATGCATGTGTCTTTATGGTAGACTGTTTTATAGTCCTCTAGGTATATACCCAATAATAGGATTGCTGGGTTGAATGGTAGTTCTTCTTTTAGCTCTCTGAGGAATCACCATACTGCTTTCTACAATAGTTGGAATAATTTACACTCCCACCAACAGTGTATAAGTGTTCCCTTTTCTCCTCAACTTTGCCAGTATCTGGTATTTTTTTTAATAGCCATTTTGACTGGTGGAAGGAAGTATCTCATTGTTTTTGATTGGCATTTTTCTAATGATAAGTTACATGGAGCTTTTTTTCATATGGTTGTTTGGCCACATGTATGTCTTCTTTTGAAAAGTGTCTGTTCATGTCTTTTGCCCACTTTTCAATGTTTTTTTTTTTTCTTGTAAATATGTTTAAACTCCTTATAGATGCTGGGTATTAGACCTTTGTCAGATGCATAGTTTGCAAATATTTTCTCCCATTCTGTAGGCTGTTTACTCTGTTGATAGTTTGCTTTGCTGTGCAGAAGGTTTTAAATTTAATTAGATCCCACTTGTGAATTTTTGCTTTTGTGGCAATAGCTTTTGGTGTCTTTGTAATGAAATCATTGCAAGTTCCTATGTGCAGGATGATATTGTCTAGGTTATCTTCCAAGGTTTTTATAGTTTTGGGTTTTACGTTTAATTTAATCCATATTTAGTTGATTTTTGTATATGGTGTAAGAAAGGGGTGCAGCTTCAATCTTCTGCAGATGGCTAGCCAGTTACCCCAGTACCATTTACTGAATAGAGAGCATTTCCCTGTTGCTTGTTTTTGTCAGGTTTGTCAAAGATCATATGGTTATTGGTGCACAACCTTATATCTGGGCTCTTTATTCTTTTCCATTGGTCTATGTGTCTGTTTTTGTACCATTACCATGCTTTTTTGGTTACTATAGCCTTGTCATATAGTTGGAAGTCTAGCAACATAATGTCTCCAGCTTTGTTCTTTTTGCTTAGGATTGCCTTGGCTATTTAGGCTCTTTTTTTGGTTCCATAGGAATTTTAAAATAGTTTTTTTTTTTCTAGTTCTGTGAAGAATGTCATTGATAGTTTGATAGGAATAGCATTAAATCTGTAAATTTCTTTGGGCAGTATGGTCATTTTAATGATATGATTCTTCCTCTCCATGAGCATAGAGTGTTTTTCCGTTTGTCTGTGTCTTCTATGATTCAATTACAAGTGCTTTGGAATTCTCATTGTAGAGATCTTTCACTTTCTTGGTTAGCTGTATTTCTAGATATTTTATTCTTTTTGTGGCAGTTGTGAGTGGTATTGAGTTCCTTATTTGGTTGTTGGCTTGGTTGTTGGTGGTGTACTGGAATGCTAGTGCTAGTGATTTTTGTAGGTTGATTTTGTATCCTGAAGCTTGGTGATGTTGTTTATCAGCTGGCAGAGCTTTTGGGCTGAGACTATGAGGTTTTCTAGATACTGAATCATGTCATCTGCAAACGGAGATAGTTTGACTTCCTCTCTTCGTATTTGGATGCACTTTCTTTCTTTTCCCTAATTGCTCTGGCTAGGATTTCCAGTACTATGTTGAAAAGCAGTGGTGAGAGAGAGGGCATCCTTGTCTTGTGCTGGCTTTCAAAAGGAATGTTTCCAACTTTTGCTCATTCAGTATAATGTTGGCTGTGGGCTTGTCATAGATGCCTCCTTATTTTGAGTTATTTTTTTTTTCAATATCTAGTTTGTTGAGAGTTTTGAACAGGAAGGGTTATTGAATTTTATCAAAAGCCTTTTCTGTGCCTATTGAGGTAATCATGTGGTTTTTGTCCTTAGTTTTTTTATGTGATTAATCACATTTATTGATTTTACAATGTACTTACGAGTAGTAACAGTAAAATAAACCAAGCTGAGGAAAGAATCTCAGAACTTAAAGACTGGATGTCTGAAGTAAAACAGTGAGACAAAAATAAATAAGAATAAAAAGGTATGAATAAAACCTCCAAGTATGGGATTATGTAAAGAGGCCAAATCTACAAATCACTGGCATCTCTGAAAGGGAGGAGGAGAAAGCAAACAACCTGGAAAACATATTTCAGTATATGGTTCATGAAAACTTCCCCAACCTTGCTAGAGAGGCCAACAGTCAAATTCAGGAAATACAGAGAACTCCCTCAAGACTCTATGCAAGAAGATCATCCCCAAGACACATAATCATCAGATTTTCCACGGCCAAAATTAAAGAAATAATTTAAAGGCAGCTAAAGAGAGAAATGGCAGGTCACCTACAAAGAAAACACCATCAGGCTAACAGCAGACCTCTCAGCTGAAATCCTACAAGCCAGAAGAGTTTGGGGGCCTATATTCAACATTATTAAAGAAAAAAAAATCTTCAACTAGGAATTTCATATTCAGCAAAATTAAGCTTGCTAAGCAAAGGAGAAATAAGATCCTTTTTAGAAAAGTGAATGTTGAGGGAGTTTGTTACCCACCAGACCTGTCTTACAAGAGAACTTGAAAGGATTACTAAATATAGAAAGGAAAGTTCACATGAGCTATTACAAAAAGACACTTAAACACACAAACCAGTGTCACTATAAAGCAACCACCCAAATAAGCCAACATAATAACTAGCTAACAACACAATGATAAGATCAAACCCACACATATCAATACTAACCTTGAATGTAAATGAACTAAATGCACCACTTAAAAGACACAGAGTGACAAGCTGGATAAAAAAGAAAGACTCAGTGGTATGCTGTTATCATGACACCGATCTCACATGTAGTGACACTCATAGGCTCAAAATAAAGGGATGAAGGAAAATCTACCAAGCAAACAGAAAACAGAAAAAATCAGGGGTTGCAATCCTAACTTCAGATAAAACAATTTCAAACCAACAAAGATCAAAAAAGACAAAGAAAGGCATTACATAATAGTAAAGGGTTCAATTCAACAAGAAGACCTAACTATCCTAAATATGTATGCACCCAACACAGGAGCACCCAGATTCATAAAACAAGTTGTTAGAGACCTACAAAGAGACATAGACTCCCACATAGTAATAATGGGAGACTGTAACACTCGACTGACAGTATTAGATAGATCATCAAGGCAGAAAATTAACAAAGATATTCAGGACCTGAACTCAACATTGGACCAAATGGATCTGATAGACCTTTACAAAGCTCTCCACCAAAAACCAACAGAATACACATTCTTCTCATTGCCACATGCCACTTACTCTAAAACCGACCACATAATTGGACATAAAACAATCCTCAGCAAATGCGAAAGAACCACAATCATACCAAACACACTTTTGGACCACATTCAATTAACAAATAGAAGTCAGGACTAAGAAGATTGCTTAAAACCATGCAATTATGTGGACATTAAACAACATGCCCCTGAGTGATTTTTAGATAAATATTGAAATCAAGGCAGAAATCAAGAGGCTTTTTGAAACTAATGAGAACAAAGATGCAACATACCAGAATCTCTGGGACACAGCTAAGTCAGTGTTAAGGGGGAAATTTATAGGACTAATGCCCACATCAAAAAGTTAGATAGTCCTCAGATTAACAATATTAACTTCACAACTGAAAGAATTAGAGAAGCAAGAACAAATCAACCTCAAAGCTAGCAGAAGATAAGAAATAATAATTGGAGCTGAACTGAAGGAAATCGAGAGGCAGAAAAAACATTCAAAAGTTCAATGTATCCAGGAGTTGGTTTTTTGAAAGAAATAATAGGATAGGCCACTAGCTAGAATAATGAAGAAAAGAGAGAAGATCCACATAAACACAATTAGAAATGGTAAAGAGAATGTTACCACTGACCCCACAGAAATAAAATTAGCCATCAGAAACTACTGTGAACACCTCTATGCACACAGACTAGAAAACCTAGAATATGTGGATAAATTATAGGATATATACACCCTCCCAAGACTCAACCAGGAAGAAATTGATTTCCTGAATAGACCAATAATGAGTTCTGAAATTGAATAAGTAATAAATAGACTACCAACCAATAAAAAAGCCCAGGACCTGATGAATTCACAGCCAGATTCTACCAGATGTACAAAGAAGATCTTATACCATTTCTACATAAACTATTCCAGAAAACTGAGGAGGAGGGACTCCTCCCCAACTCTTTCTGTGAAGCCAGTGTAATCCTGATACCAAAACCTGGCAGAGACACAACAACAAAAAAAGAAAAACTTCAGGCCAATATTCTTGATGAACATCAATGTGAAAACCAAAAAAAATTAGCATACCAAATCCAGCAGCCTATCGAAAAGCTAAAATCCATCATGATGAAGTAGGCTTCCCTGGGATGCAATGTTGGTTCAGCATAAGCAGGTTTATTGAGGTGGCCATGTATGGCAGAGTGGCTGCTCCTTGTGGAGGAATGCCAACCCATAGGCAGTGCACTCAGAGCAGCAGGGTATGGGCTGTTCATTAGCTGCATTTAGATCCACTATTAATTACACGCAAATTAAGGGTTGGGCTATTCAGAAATATCTAGAGAAAGGAGTGGTTATTTATGGATGTTGCCATGACACTTGTAAACTGTCGTGATGCTGGTAGGGGTGTCCTATGCTGATAAGCATCAAAGGCAGCTAGAGACAGCCTTTGACACCATTGGCTGGTTCCAGCCAGTTTCTTGATTTCATCTGGTCAGGATCAGAACATAAATCCTGCTGGTCTCCTACCTTATTTTTTCCCATTAGAGATTATATACTACTCCTTAATGTTAAAGGGATTGTAGAAGAGTGGAGGTCCATCTTCTGTAACTGCTTCCTGCTGATCTTATGAGTGTAGGCACTTGCTAACATTGGAGGAGTAGAAACTCTGGTTATCTGATGTAAGGAGGCCAAAGGCAGTATATCTGTTTCCTGGGTCAGAAAGCAGGATGAATTGGAAGCCTTGTGACAACATTGTCTTTAAATGGAATTGTTGTAATCTGGAAGACACAAACTTTACTAAGAGGTAATAAGCAAGGGCCAAAAATTAGTAGTAACAAGATAGCTATTAAAGGTTGTATGAAAGGTAAAAACCAGGTGAGATTTGATAGGGCACTTTTGATAGTCGACTGGATATAGGTGGAGTCAGTACCCTGGTTGTATCTATATAGCCATGTAACTTGTTCATATAATTTTTGAATGTTAAACTCAACTTGTCCAGAGTTATTAATATATCCACAGCAGGTAATAATGACATAGACTATTGTTCAAC
The DNA here is from genome assembly GCF_000001405.40 of Homo sapiens. Lineage (NCBI taxonomy): Eukaryota > Metazoa > Chordata > Mammalia > Primates > Hominidae > Homo > Homo sapiens. The sequence goes on along the minus strand of NC_000004.12, from coordinate 46,866,809 downwards.
TAGTAAATAATGCAACACTATTACATTTGTAATAGTGTTGTAATCCTTTGGCAAAGGATTACATTTGCCAAAGGTCTAGGGACTCTTGAATTCTCTTCAGTGCCCGACCTGTGTTGGTGGCCAATGATTCTGGGGTTTGAGTCTAATTCCTTAGGGTTGTCTCAGGTAGGCAAAGCCACTAGTCCTATTGCTGCCCTGCTTCCCATTAGAAATAATGCTATTGTTTGTTTATTTTTGGTATTATTGGGCCTTATGGGGTTATAGACAGTGACCCTCAGAGGAGCAATGGTGACCAACATACATTTTTGTTTTGATATACAAAACATTTTGTTTTTATGTACAAGTTTTTGATATACAAAAGAAAACTACTCCTAAAAGAATAGGTAGCTCTCCAGGGAGTCAGGAGTAGTTAGTTGCAGGGTCGGATTTCTTTCCAATCAACCACAGACAAAAGTGAGCCCAGTTAGGGCACAAATAGAGGCCATATGTGGTGTAACATCTGTTCTCTGCTGCCAAGGTGGATCTATAGAGGTATTTTCCCCAAATTCCAATGGCAGTGGTCAGACAGCTCCTATTTTCCAGAAGGGGGGATACTTCCGTCTTCCTAAATCAGGCAGTTGCTTTTTCTTTGCATGTATTGGCCTTGGACATGGCATCATGTACGGCTTCCTTACTTAGAAGTTGGATCCCATTTATTTTAGTGCAGCCTTGGGACTTGGAAACTAGGGTTGGAACAGAGCATTGTGGGGAAACTTCCACTCTTGTGTCATTAACACAGCAATGGATGCAAAAGATAGTGTCATTAGATCACTGGAGGTACTAGTACCCAATCTCCCAGGTCCAGATAACAGTGGTGGAGGAAGTTAGGTAGAATCTGTTAAGTGGGGGAGAATTCCACCTAACAAGTAGGGTTCTGTGTACTAAGGGATCATGGTGGTTAATTACGAGGTCCAGAGACATGGTCGTGAGATTTTCCAGATGTGCCAGGACGTGGAACTCTCTATCCTGGGGATGTTGATGACAGAGTCGGCAACCAAGAAGATGATTCCTTGATGCTATACTTTTTTGAAATATTTACTATAGAGTTTTCTCCCACCCACACTGAATTAGGTTAACTGGGGGAGCAAACAGGATTATCAGAGGCAGCATGATGTCTGGGTGGACCTTAGAGTGGCCTCTACACCCAACAAGGACAAAAGATGTGTTTCCTAGGAGGAAGCAGTTGTTCAAAGCGGTAGAGAAAGAGTATTATGATCAAGAAGAAGAGAAAAATTGATACTCCTATTCTTACCACAGCACCACATCTCTGTACCAAATTGAGCGTTGGTCCTTTTACAAAGGTAATGGACCAAAGGAGAAGAGGTTGTTATATGAAAAAGATACTTGCACATATATGCTTATCACAACACAATACACAGTTACAAAGATGTGGAACCAACCTAAGTGCCACCAACTAATGAGTGGCTAAAGAAAATATGGTACATACACAACCATGGACTACTTACTACTCAGCCATTAAAAGGAACAAAATAATGTCTTCTACAGCATGTTGGATGGAGCTGAAGGCCATTATTCTAAGTGAAGTAACACAGGAGTGGAAAACCAAAAAATATATGTTCTCACTGATAAGTGAGAGCTAAACTATGAGTACCCAAAGACATACAGAGTGGTATTAATATAATACTCAGAAGGGGGAGAGTAGAAGAGGTGCTAGAGATTAAAAAACTACACAGGCATACTGTATACTACTCAGGTGATGGGTGCCCTAAAATCTCAGAATTCACTGCTATTTAATTCATCCATGTAACAAAAAACACATGTATCCCCAAAGCTATTGAAATAATCATAATAATAATCATAATAAAAGCCCAGGTGCGGTGCCTTACGCCTGTAACCCCAGCACTTTGGGAGGCTGAGGCGGGCTGATCACGAGGTCAGGAGATGGAGACCATCCTGGCTAACACGGTGAAAAACCGTCTCTATTAAAAATACAAAAAATTAGCCGGGCGTGGTGGCCGGCGCCTGTAGTCCCAGCTACTCAGGAGGCTGAGGCAGGAGAATGGCGTGAACCCGGGAGGTGGAGCTTGCAGTGAGCCTAGATCGCGCCACTGCACTCCAGCCTGGGCGAGACTCCGTCTAAACAAACAAACAAACAAACAAACAAAAAACAACTCTGACCAACAACTCTAGGAATGGGCTGACTGGCCTGATAAGAATAGGCTGATGGTGCCTGCAGAAGACCACAAAACATTGACCAAGAACGCAATGATTAACTGCCCACCTGAGACAGCACACGATCATTTCACAAAAAAATATTTTGATGATTTCTCTTAACTTCTCTTAAAAACTCCTGATCCAGAGGCACAACTTGGAGAGGTGGTTTTTGAATGCTACTTCACTGCCTCCCTTCAGTTGTTGGCTTCTCCAATAAAGCTAACTTCCCTTTAGTTAAAAAAAAAAATGTCGTGGGTGGCCTTCAGAGACTCACAAGTGTAGGTAACATTGTTTGTATCTGAAACCTGGGGGGCTCATAAGAAACAGGTTTAATCCTGGATAGGTGTACTCAGCTGGTGATCCCCTGAAGCTTAATGGCAGTGGGGATACTTAACAACACCTGATAGGGGCCCTTCCATTTTGGTTGAAATTCATCCTTGGGGGATCCTTCTTTCCAAATTTTCAGTAAGACTAAGTCTCTTGGTTGAATGGGGGAGTTAATTATTTCCCTTGTTGGAAAGGGCAGTGCTTTATTTCCATATTCTTGAAGGGCCTTTTGAACGTGACCTAAATTCCAAATAGCGGGCATAGTGAGGCATGTCCGGCCCCTGTTTCCCATCATGACCTGAATTAGTTTTTCAGATTTCGATAGCCAATTAAACATTTTAGTCCAGGTGAGAATGGAGGTTGCTCAACACTCATTAGCCCTTAAAACTTTTTTTAAGCAATCTAAGAATTAAAAAACAAAGGTCAAATATAAAGTTTCAAGAACAGCAAAGAGTATAAAATCAAGTTATCCTGGAGGAAAACATTGCTTTTATAGACCTCTAAGATAAAATATTTCAGCATCAGTCAATATGAAGAGTTAAAACCAGAGGAGAAAAGGTCACAGGAGCTATGAAAAAGCTGGAGCATTATCGTATTAGGCCTTCTCAAAGGGAGAAAGAATTGAAAGCAGCAAGGCACAACAATAGTTGAATATGAGATATGAATCTGAGAAGTTTTAAAAGGAACAGGTTATGGAATTAAAATAAAAATTTCTTGTAATTTTATTAAGAGCAAATCAATATCTTAAGAAGATCTTGCTTTAACATGGGCGACTATTCTCTAGAAAGACAATTATAAACAATTCCCTTCTAATGACAGCCACTTAATTACACACAAAATTCCTTCATGAATTTTCTTTTACAAACTTTATCATGACTTACACAGACTATCACATGCTTGTACTTTCCGACTTGTCCTGTACTATCTCTTTCTTAAATAACCAGTTGTTCTCTAGGACAAGAATTCAGCATACAAGACCCTGTCTTGTATAAAATTAGTCTTTTTGTTAATATCCTTCCTTACCAAAAATACATATGTATATCTATAACTTTATTTACATTTCTCCCTCCTTATCAGTTCCTTTCTATCTCATTTCATAAATAACCTTTTCAAGTTGATAATTTGAATTAACCTTTACATAGCTTTTGAATTAGACAAAGTTATTCTTTTTCTCGATAAAAAGGCATATTCTTTGGCACATATTATATAAACCTACGAAGCAAGAAATCCTGAACTCTTTACCAGATGTTAGCATTTTAAAGATGAGAACAATTTCATAATTTTTAGAAACTTATCTTCCCATATATTATAATAACTCTTTCTTAATTGGAAATGACCCATACGTCCAGTAAACATCCAAAATAATTTTAAGATTTTAAGCTATACAAAAAGTTCACTTACAAGCATTTATCTCATTACACTTACCTAATTTATTTCTTTTTAATAGTTTAGCAAGATTACTTATAAAAGTTGTGCTACTAGGCAAATCTAGTCATCATTCAAAGTTACTTCCTGATTAAACATTTTTAAAGTCTGAACATTAGGTGAACACCTAATAAGAATCTTACAGTTGAATACATGAACATTTTGCTGATAACCCCAAAGATTCAGGTGTTTTTATTGAACCAACAATCTTAAATTAGTCTTATTTATCAAAATTTGAAAATTCGGAAGACATTTCTATTTTTATCCATAATTTTAAACCCAGTTTTATTTACCAAAGATTCACATGACTTTGAAAAGCATTTGGACTTAATTTATGAATATTCATTTGCGCTAATTTGATAGCATGCTAGACACAACACATAACACATGTACATACATAAACATATCTAAATATGTGTATACACACAGAAAGACGGAACACTTACCCATTTGCTTTTACCTCAGAATTCTAGTCATAAGATAGCAATATAAAATTCACCACTTTATAAAATATAGCTGGATTCAATTATTTCTTCAAAGATTGAGACCTGTCCATGTGGCTAAACTTCGTTTTCCCTGATAGGTAAGCCAAGGAAAGCTATAGAATAGAACTTGGGTAAAGTAGTTTTTATTACAGTTTTGATTTTAAAAACCTCTTTTCTCCTTTTTAATAAGGGGAGAGAGGGAAGGGGTTGATAGGATTGTTCTAGGGGTGCCCTTGGAGTCCTTGAGCTGCTGGAGAACTTAACCAGCAGTGGAGAAACTGAAGAAAGTGTTCAGGTGGCTACTTTCTGATGCTGAGTGTCTGCTGCTTCAGGGAGTTGTCCATCAAGTCAGGGGTCTGGGACCTCCAGACAGATGGACTTGAGCAAGGCAATAGTAGGGAGTGTAGGCTGGGGCTAATTGGATAACAGGGAGGGGTGTCTCATGACCTTGGGGTGGAACCCTGAGCTGGAGAACTGGCAGGATCTCTCTTCAGAATCATGGGACGGAGGACACTCTGTGGGAAGGGGAATGGCCTTTCTAGGAGGAACAGCTAAGAGGGGGTTATCCAGCAAAACTGGCACAGCTGCTTCGTGCCTGGAAGTAACATGAGCCAGAAACATTCTACAACCACCGCTTAAGTCAGGATCCTGGTAAAGGACCATAAAGGCCTTTACTTAAGCAACCTCTCCCTATTTTGTTTCTTTTCTACAGAATAAATCTAATTGTAAAAATAGTTTTATAACAAAGAACCATTTCTAGGCCAAATATTTTGTTTTCCAATTTGTACTAGACCTGAGCAATGTTGCAGTAGAAATGAGTTTCTTTTT